>NC_000014.9:106277717-106580717 GCF_000001405.40 Homo sapiens
GAAGTTCCTGTCTGGGAACTTTTTCCTCCTGTCAGAGAACTTTTTCCTCCCAGAATCTCAAGCTCAGTAGGAAGGGGCTGTGCCCTGGCTCAGAATGCTCTTTCAGTGACAGAAATTGTTTCCCCCACCACCTCTTACAATAGAAAATAGGCCTTAGAAAACCCAACATAATCTACAGGGAGACCTCAGCACGGCAAGCAAGGAATCATAAAAGCCATCAGGGAGCCCCTTCCCTGGAGCTCCGGATCCACTGATACGGTCCAGACACATGGCGAGTCCAGGAACTGATGGGACTTTGGGGAAGGCTCTTTTTTTTAGGATTCTGTGGTTGAAGATTTTATCGATTATAACTTTACCCACAGACCCTATGTCTCAAAGCTCACCACCACACACACTCACAGTGGCATATTTGCATAGTAACTGGCCTCGAATTTGCCCTCCTTCTTAGTGTCTTGCCAGTGAAAAGTGCTTCCAACACTGATCCTAGTCCTGGTTATGTTTGTTGTGGTTTTGCTTTTTCCAAACAGCTAAAGCGAGCTAGGTACTAATGGAGATTTGGAAAGTGCCTTCATGTTCTCTTTGCCAGTTCTCACCTGCGCACCCTGCAGATGCCCCATGAGAGGTAAATCTAATTTCAGTGAGGGAGAGGATGTGACCTTGTTCCTGAAGCTGTTGGTCTAAGAGGTTTTAAGTCACTTTACTGTCCTTGACTTTTTCTCTCCCACTGCCTTTGGTTTCCCTAAATTCTAGTCCTTAGATGGAGTCTGTGCCTTTCCACACTTTTCTCTTTAATCCAGATTAATCATATTGGTGGTGAGGTGATGTGGTGGGTAGGGGAGCAGTATATGTTCTGGAAATTGAATTCCAATGATTTCTTGCTATTCTTTCTCTAGGCTGTACCATTTACAAGGAGTATTCAGTGGTACAGCTGATTTTCCTCCGTCCTCCACTCCCCCTCCTGGCTGCAGCATCCACAGATTATTTTCTTGAATCTGACCCCAGATGTTTTATTAATTATACTCCTTTTCATGACTCAGGAAGGCTAAGATGAAGCTGTCTGGGATGGAAAAGAATCCCTTCCCCTCACAGAATAAAGATCTTGAAAAGTATTTTTTCCCTATAGGGTCTGTCTGGAGGAAGTTCTGGGCATACTTATCAGAGTATAGTTCTCCTGATGACAGAGCCATGAGGGAATCTGTTTGGATTCTCATCTTGAGAACCCAGAAGTTTCTGGAGGGAAATTCCATCAGAGTGGGGTGTGCAGCCCCCAGGACTTCTTACCCTACCCTATCCACACTTGTCTTCCAGGCATTTATGGAATTGCCATATAACTCTTCCCAACAGCTTGTGCTTTCAACGGAAGAATCACCCAGTTTATAAATTTAGAAAGGAGACTTTATTTCTCAGAAAGGGTTGAAGCTGCAGGACGGCCATCTTAACAGGCTGGGAAGGAAAGCCTCCCACAGAGACTGTGAGCAGGCACTTTAAGAGAGGGAAAGATGAGAAACAAATTTGTGCAAATGGATTGGCCGAGTGTACACACTCAGCAGGCTATAGAAGGAGCTATGGATATTCACATGGCGTGGAGGCTCTCATGTCTAATAAGCAAACACACATGATACATGCATTTCAGCTTTGCTTTGGGGTGAGGACTTAAGAACTAAATGAATTACAGCTGGGTCCTGCATATCAAAAGGGCTTTGTGCAGGGGCAGAAAGACACACAGTGCACAGCCTCTGGAAATTGGCCAGGACAAGTCCATGGTCAGTGGTCTCTTCACAGGAGAAAGTTACTGAAATCAGTCTCTTGGCCAATCAAAGCTCTCTTTATGGCTGTGGATCATTCTTGCCAACATTTCTTATCTTTTGTCTTGCTGATAATAGCCATTTTAAGTGGTGTGAGGTGATATGTCATTGTGCTTTTGATTCGAATTCCTCTGACAATTAGTCATCTTGAGGACATTTTTATGCTCTGTTTTTCATGCATGTGTCTTCTGAAAAAAATCTATTCAGGTTTTTGCTCTTTTTATGAGGTCATTTGATATTTGCTATTGAGTTGTATGGATTATTTATACATTTTGATAGAACTTCTTGTCAGATATATAATTGCATGTAGTTTTTTGCTGGGCTTGCTTTTGGGATTAACTTCAAATAAATCATTTCTGAATCAATGACATGAATTATTTTTCCATGTTGTCTATGAGTTTATGGTTTCATGTTATGTTTATTTTTGTTGATTTTTGTATATGGTGTTAGAGAAGGTCTAATTTTATTTATTTTGCATATGGATGTCCAGTTTTTACATCATTTGTTGGGAGACTGTCCTTCCTTCATTGTGTGTCCTTGGGATACAAAATCAGGAAGATACATAATTAAAAAAGAAAACATCAGATGAATATTCTTGGTGAACATAGACCTAAAATTTCTCAACAAAATACTAACAAATAGAATCCAGAAGCACTTTAAAATGTGATACGTCATGATCAAGTAGGCTTTACCCCTGGAAGGCAAGTTTCATTCAACATCCACAATTCAGTAACTGTGATTCTCCATGTAAGCAAAATAAAAGCAAAAAACATATGATTTTCTCAATACATGCTGAGAAAGCTTTTGATGAGATCCAACATTCACTCATAAAAACTCTCAAAAGACTAGGCATCAAAAAATACCTCAAAATAGCCTGGTGCGGGGGCTCACGCCTCTAATCCCAGCACTTTGGGAGGCTGAGGCGGGCGGATCACGAGGTCAGGAGATGGAGACCATCCTGGCTAACGCAGTGAAACCCTGTCTCTACTAAAAATACAAAAAATTAGCTGGGCGTGATGGCGCATGCCCGTAACCATAATCCTAGCTACATGGGAGGCTGAGGCAGGAGAATCGCTTGACCCCGAAAGGCAGAGGTCGCAGTGAGCCGAGATCATGCCATTGGACTCCAGCCTAGGCGACAGAGCGAGACTCCGTCTCAAAAAAAAAAAAAAAAAAACTCAAAATAATAACAGCCATCTATGACAAAACCACACTCAACATTATACTGAGTGAGCAAAAGCTCAAACCCCTTGAGAACTGAAATAAGACAAGGATGCCCTCTCTCACCACTCCTATTGAGCATACTACTGGAAATCCTAGTCAGAGCAACCAGGCAATAGAAAAAATAAAACGGAGCTGATATGGTTTGTATTTGCATCCCCACCCAAATTTCATGTCAAATTGTTATTCCCAGTGTTGGAGGTGGGGACTGGTGAGAGATGATTAGATCATGGGGATGCTTCACCCTCTTTTGTGCTGTTCCCATGACAGAGCCCTCAGGAGATGTGGTTTCCAAGTACTTGGCACCTACCTCCTCTCTCTTCCTGCTCCAGCCATGTAAGACATGATGCTTCCCTTTCTGTCATGACTGTTGGGTTCCTGAGGCCTCCCCAGCCATGCTTCCTGTACAGCCTGCAGAACCATGAGACAATCAAAAATCTTTATAAATTATGCAGTCTCAGGTGTTTCTTTATAGTGTGCAAATAGACTAATACAACATCTAAATGGGAAAAGAAGTAGATATATCTGTCCAAACTGATGATATAATTCTATACATAGAAAATTCTAAAGACTCTGCCAAAATAATTCTAAAATAGATAAACAACTTTGGTAGAGTCTCAGGATACAAACTTAATGTACAAGAATCACTAACATTTCTATACCCAACTATGTCCAAGCTGAGAGTGAAATCAAGAACACAGTCCTATCCCACTTACAATATTCACACACACACAAATGAAATGCCTGGAAATACAGGTAACAAACAAGGTGAAAGATCTCTACAAGGAGAACTACAAAACACAGCATAAATAAATAAATAAATCATACATGACACAAATAAATGGGAAAACATTTCATGCTTATGGATTAGAAGAAGGAATATTGTAAAAATTATCACACTGTCTAAAGCAATTTAGAGATTCAGTACTATTTACATAAAACTATCAACATCATTGATCACAGAATTAGAAAAAATAATCTATTCTAAAATTTGTATGGAACCAAAAAAGACCCTGAATAGCCAAAGCAATGCTAAGCAAAAAGAAGAACGCCAGAGGCATCATGATACCCAACTTTAAGCTACACCATAATGACATGGTAACAAAAACAGCTTGGTACTGGTACAAGAGCAGATATGCAGAAGAAACGGAACAAAATAGGAAACAGAAATAAAGCTGCACACCTAAACCGTCTGATACTTCATAAGGCTGACAAAAACAAACAATGTGGAAAAAATACTCTGTGTTCAGTAAATGGTGCTGGGATAACTGGATTCTGGCAGATATGCAGAATGCAAGAGTGAAGGAGGCTGGGCAGTTTCTACCTAGATTTCAGAAGATGTGTAGAGAACCCTATGTGCCCAGGAGGAAGCTTGCTACAGGACTGGATCCACCACAAACAACCTCTACGAAGGCAGTACCAAAGATGGGGAAAGATGGGGTTGGAACCCCATTCAGAGTCCCCACTAGGGCACTTCACAGTGGAGCTACAGAAATGCAGCCACAACCCTCAAGATCCCAGAATGGTAGATCCAAAGGCAGCTTGTACTCCCAACCTGGAACTACTTCTGGCACTTGACTCTGGCCTGTGTTATTAGCCCCATGGAATGTGCCCAGCCATAAGGATGAGATGCCTGAGGATTTTGGGACCCACTTTGTCCTGGTGTACCCTGACTAAGAACATAAAGTCAAGATAGATTATTTTGTAGCTTTAAGATTTAATATCTGTCCTGCTAGGCTTTAGGTGTGTGTGGGGCCTTTGGCCAATTTATTCCTTTTGTATTGACAATATTTACCCAATGGCAATATTGCACCTTGGAAGTACATAACTCTTTAAAACATTTTGCCAGCACGCAGCTGGAGGGAAATTGCCTTAAGACCCTGGCGAGACTTTGTAATTTTCAGTTGGAGGTTGATCAAGTTAACACTTTTGGGAACTATTTTTAAAAAAGATGATTTTGCAATCTTACAAGGATTTGAGACCAGGGGACACAAGAGTGAAATGCTACAGTTTAGGTGATTGTCCCTTCCAAATCTCACGGTGAAATGTGATCCAAAATATTTGAGGTGGGTCCTAGTAGGAGTTTTTGGATTGTGGGGAAAAGATCCTTCAGGTATGGCTTGGTATCAACCCCATGGTAATTAGTGAATTATTTCTTTATTAGCTAATTTGAAATCTGATTGTTAAAAACAGTCTAGCGACCCTCCTCCCCTCTTCTGTGCCCCCTCTCACCACAGGACACTGCCTGCTTCCCCTTTGCCTTCCACCATGACCGTAAGCTTCCTGAGGCCCTCACAAGAAGCAGATGCTGGTGCCATGCTTCTCACACAGCCTCCAAAACTGTAAGCCAAATAAGCCTCTTTTCTTTGTAAATCACTTGGCCTCAGGCATTAATTTATAGCAATGCACAGTAGACTAATACACTGTCCAAAGCAAGATACATATTCAATGCAATTTTTATCAAGTAACCAATATAATTGATTACATGTTTTAAAAAAAATCCTTAAATATATATGGAATCAAAAAACAGCCTGAATAGCAAAAGAAATCCCAAGGAAAAAGACCAAAGCTGAAAGCACCACATTCCCTGATTTCAAATTATACTACACAGATACAGTAAGAAAGACAGCATGGTACTGCTACTAAAAACAATAACAATAATAATAATGTAAAAGAATAGACAGCCAAGAAATAAAGACAAGTTTCTACAACCACCTGTTCTTTGACAAAACTGACAAAAATATGCAATGGAGAAACAACCCTCTATTCAGTAAGTGGTGCTGAAAAACTTAGACAGCCACACATAGAAGAATAAAACTAGACTTCTAGTTTTTCACCATAGACAAAAATTAATTGAATATGGATTCAATATTTAAATGTACAAACTGAAGAAAATGTAGGAGAAATTTTTCGGGACATTGGCCTAGGCAAATAAAATATGACTAAGACTTCAAAAGCATGGTGTGGTAGGTTTGGTTATTCATTATATTGAAAAATAAAGCTATCATATGCTCTGGTGATCCCACTTCTTGTCATATATTCAAAAGAAATAAAATTATTATGTCAAACACATGTTCACTGCAAGATTATTTATAATAGTGTAGATTTGTAAAATAATTTAATGACCACAGATTGATGAATGTGTAAAGAAAATGTGTACACAGAAAACTGAATTTTATTAGGCTTTGAAAAGAAGGAAATTCTGACATTTGCAACAACAGGGATGGGGCTAGAGGACATGATGCTTAGTGGAATAAGCCAGATGCAGAAAGACTTAATGATCTCATTTACATGTGGGATCTAAAATATTCAAGCTCTTGAAAGCAGAGAGTAGAATAGTGGGTCCCAGGCCTGTGAGGAGAGGGAAATCAGATGATGTCGGTCGAAGGGTAGAGGTCCAGTTGTGCAGGGTGAATGAGTTCTGCAGATCTAATGTACTGCAATGTTCTTGTATTTAATGCTGTATTGTAAATGTGATTTTTGCTAAACGGGTAGATCGTAGGTGTTCTCATGAGACACACACACATACACACACATGTAGTACATTTTAAAAAAATAAAATGGTAGCTCCATGAGAAAATGGATATACAAATTACTTTGGCCATGATGAGCATTTCACAATGTGTATCTGATGTGGTTTGGATCTGTGTCCTGCCCCAAATCTCATGTTGTATTATAATCCTCAATTGTGAAGGTGGGACCTGGTGGGAGATGACTGGGACATGGGGTGGGTCTTTCATGAATGGTTTAGAACAAACTCCTGGTGCTGTTCTCATGACAGTGTGTGAGTTCTCATAAGATCTAGTTGCCTAACAGTGTGTAGACCTTCCCTGCTTCCTGTGGCTCCTGGTCTGGCCATGTGACGCACCTGCTCCCCTTTGTCTTCTGCCATGATCCTAACTTTCCTGACTCTCCCCAGAAGGAGAAGCCACTACACTTCCTGTACAGCCTGCAGAACCGTGAGCCAATTAAACACACTTTTTTTCTCAAATCCCTCAGTCTCAGGCATTTTTTATAGCACCGTGAGAATGGACTAATACAACATCAAAACGTCAAGTGGGGCACCTTAAACCTATACATTATTAAAATATTTCAATTATACCTCAATAAAACTGAAAAAATTTAAGCTTATAATAAATACATACTTCATATTTTCTCAATAAAAAGAAGACAACATAGGAAAACTTACACTAAGACATTTGTAACAGCTTTGTTTATAATATTCATAAACTGGAAACAAATTTAAAGTCGATTTACAGGAAAATAAATCAAAATACTGTCATTTACTTATTTAACAGACTGACTCAGATATAAAACCTCTCTCCCTCATCTCTCTCTCTCTCTCTCTCTCTCCATATATATGTGAAAACTTTGAGGTTTCATATCAGAGTCAGTCCATTACTTGAATAAATGATAATATGTTGATCTAATTTAATACCTTAAATAGCAGGAAATAACCTCAAAAAATAGCAATGTAGCCCATTACCAAATTAAGGTCTAAAATGTTTGATTGCATTTATATAAAGTTCAAAACAGAAAAAAAATGGATCTATAGTGTCAGAAATCAAAACATTTCCCCATGCAGGAGCTGACCGCAAGCACAGAAAAAGACGCATGTTGTGGGGAAGGACTTGCTCTTCAGGCTACCTTAGGTGTTGGGAACAAAGGTATTCACATTTGACAGAAACTCTCTAGTGATACATTTCAGGTCTACGCATTTTTTCTCATATGTAATTTTTTTCTTATATAAATAAAACATGTAGAATAGTTTAAAATTCAGTAAATAGTAAAATTAGTATTAAAATCCTACATGAAATATCAACATCATTATAGGAATTAATAAAATGCATTCAAGTATACCTACTAAAATTAAATCCCAGAAATCAAAAAGATAACTGTAACATCTGAAACTTATTAATGAGTATATATTTCATAGAGAAGGAAAAAATTGTCGACATGTGGCACATGTATTTTTTCCAATCAAACGTCATTAAATTATTTATACAACATTTTAACCTGTGTCATTGGTATAAATTACCAATATTTTTTGTAATATTACAACTGAGAACAATTTTTAAAGAAAAAAGGATATTTGCACGCCCATGAACTAAATGGAATGTATTTTCAATGTTGGTCCAACTATTACACCTCTAACAATACCATGGTTTTGAGTGGGGCTTGGAAAAAATATTTTTTATTTTATTTATTTATTTTATTTATTTTATTTTATTTTTTTGAAATGGAGTCTTGCTCTGTTGCCAGGCTGGAGTGAAGTGGCGCCATCTCGGCTCACCACAACCTCCACCTCCCAGCTTCAAGTGATTCTCCTGCCTCAGCCTCCCTCTTTTTTTAATTGAACAAATATTTATAAAGCACCTACTTTGCGCCAGGCATTGTGCTAGGCACCCTCACTGTGTGCTGTTCCCGCACCACAGTCAACTGCTCAGAAATTAAAACAAAGAAATGGAACATTGTCACAACCATACAAACTGGGGGGCACGGGGCAGGATCGGGGATGCAGGTGATTCCCAAACCAGAAAATGTACTCACCAGAAACCTGTTTTCCATCTCTGGGTAAGTCTCCACTAAACAGTTATTTTAAAGCTTCCCCATGTTTTCGGAGAGGAATGTTGTTCTCCCTGTGCCCCCAAGGCTGGCACCTGGAGGACCTTCAAATACTCTGAATGCTATCGGATAAAAGGAGCCCGATGGCCTGGTGTAAAGAATATCAATATTTGGATGAGAAAATGCTTTTTTTCAGTTCATATGGTTCCAACAACCCTTATGAACGATATAAACATCCCTGGCCTGACTGCGTAAATGTTGAAGGTAGACCTGGTTCTGGTTTCCTCAGTCAGAATCTTCCAGTTGTCCACAACCTCACAAGGCCAGAGAAGCGAGAGATTTCTATTCTGGAAAGGAGTGAGTGGATGGCACAACTGGTTTGGAAACACGACACACGGCGCCTGCATTTACAGAAGCAACGCACACAGGGAACGTCCTAGCGCCATCTGGTCTCGCACACATACTTAGGACTCACGGTGGGGATCCCGGGCCTCTGCCAGCCCTAGTTGTTGGTGCCCAGCCTGGGAGGCCTGGGCGGAAGTTATGCAGGCCTGGATCTTCCGGTCCAGCGCCACCAGGAAGCGCCTCCAGGTGGCGCTGTCGGGATTTGCTCTCCTCAGGGCCTATCTTTAGGGAACGCACTTTATCTTCCAGGTTTTGATCCTCTCTCTGCCGCCTCCATCTTCTCAGAGACACAGTCGCACTCTGACTCACGGCCTCTTCCTCTGCTCCGCACTGGCCGTCGACTCCTGCAGCGCCGTGGGCAGCCGGAAGTCGGTCTCCCGCCGGGTCTGCAGCTCCATCTCCCACCTCTTCCCGTGGGCAGCTCTGCGTCGAGGCCGCCTTCAGCTTGTGGTTCCCAGACTGCAGGTGCGTGTCGGCTGCAGCGGCCTGAGAGGCCTTTCATCGTCCGTCCCGTTGACACTGGATGCCGGAGTAGAAGATGGGGCTCCACGCCCTGATTCTCAGGATGATTACTCGAGGGCTCCATGTTCTCCTGGGTCTTGTCTTTGGCTGTCTTGGCCGCTTCTTCCACCTCCTGGAATTTCTCTGCAAACTTTGTCAGCTGCTGCTCAGAGGAAAACCCCAAACCAAACACCGTGTTGGCTCTGCTGTCGGCCCACTGCCCAGACGTCTGTGACGTGTTGGTGAAGGTCATATTCTGTGTAATTGTGTTGTTTATGGTCACCTTGGCGCTGTCCACACTGATGATCCCATAGCTGTTCCTTGTGACATCATAGAAACAGGAAATGGTGACCGCCTGTTGCTCGCAGGCATCCAGTTCTTCTTGGTGTTGGGGTCAATCTGGAAGACCCGCGCTCGGGGGGTGAAGATGGGCTGTTCTCCCATTCTGACGCTGCTCCAGCGGCCGCTCCGACCCGGCCTCTGGCGCTGGCTCTCCGCCCGCTGGGCATCCGCTCCCCGCGCGGCACGTGCGGCGGCCCCTGCGCGCCTGGCTCAGCCCTGGCGCCGCTCCATTCCGCCAGGCGCGGGCGGGCAGGAGCTCTGGAAAAAATTATTCTAAGAGACAAATTAAAAGAATAATCTGTAATAAGGAGACGTCAACATTCCATCTCAGGAAAAAACTGAAAACATGTAATACATACAAAGTCCTGAGAAGAAACCTCGAAGCACAGGAAGGGTCTCATGTATAGTAGGTTGTAATATGTTTATTGTTAAAATTATTACCTTTGTGTTGTTTTGAAAAATTGAAGAAAAATATAATGAAATTAAGTGTTTTGTGCTTCTCTGGTATAACAGCATGTTGAGAAAACTGAAGAGCCCTGTAATCCTGAGGAGGGGGCCTAATCCAAGGAGAGAGAGGCTCCGGGTCCTGTGGACACACACGGGTTGCCTGCTTCACCCCATCTAGGAGCTGCTTCCTGAAGCCTTCAGGAGGCAGGAGGCTGAATTTGTTTCTCAGGACAATCTTAATCACATCCGGACAGGGAGAAAAACATTCATGACCTAGGACAGATAAAATATGTATAATTAAAATTTCATTGAAAATTGAGAAATTTTGGTTGTATGTATTTATAGTGAATAAAGCTATGTTATGATTTATGAATGCAATATGGAATAATTGAATCGAGCTGATTGACATATATATCACCTCAAATCCTCAAATTTTTATTTTTGTGTGTGTGACAAGGACATTTGAAATTTGTTCTTGGATGTTTGAAAATGACCAATACACTATGTTTAAGGTTACAAATAGACATCAATTTATGTAAACTATAGGCAATGATTGAAAGGAATATGGATTACTATATATGTTTCATTCTTTAGGATGTATTTTATAATTGTTATAATAATTTTATTATAACATTAAATATAAAAGACCACATATATGTATAAGTTTGTGTATTTACACATATGTCTATAGATGTAAATTAATGTCCCTATAGCTATGTAGTAGCTGATATCAACAGATGTTAACAAAACTCTAAAAAGAACAAGTGCAAATTATTAGGAAGAATTATTTCTTGAAGGTATGTATTTTAAAAAAATAACCTTACATATAAAATAAAAATTAATAAAACACAATTCCCAATAAAAAAGTTCATGATAAATAACCATAGTAAAATATCACAACCTAATAAGTCTCCAGAGTCCTGCAACAATAAGCCCGCCTCCTGCAGCTGAGAAAGGAAACCACCCGCATGGCCCTGCAGGGAGGTTTGTGTCTGGGCTCACACTGACCTCCCCTCACTGTGTCTCTGGTACACTAATACAGGGCCGTGTCCTCGGTTTTCAGGCTGTTCATTTGCAGATGAAGTGTGTTCTTGGCGTTATCTCTGGAGGTATTGAATCGGTCCTTACCGGAGTCTATGAGGTATGTGCTACCCCCATTAGGATTAACTTGTCCAACCAACTCCAGCCCATTCCCTGGAGCCTGGCGGACACAGTTCATGTAGTAGCTACTGAAGGTGAATTGAGAGGCTGCACAGGAGAGTCTCGGGGACCACGCAGGCTTTGCCAAGCCTCCCCCAGACTCCACCAGCTGCATCTCACACTGGATACCTGCAAACACAGAGACACCCCGGTCAGAAACTGCCACACGTATCCACTGTTTCTCACTCATATCCATTCATACTCAATATCTCTAGTTCTCTATAGATCACGTTTTAAAATAGCAACAAGGAAAACCCAGCTCAGCACAAACTCCATGGTGAGTCCTCTGTGTTCGGTGCTGATCACCAGATGAAAACACCTGGGAATTCGGGGGCTGGGCTCCTCTCCCAGAGCTGCAGGGTCGGGGCTGGGCTGGTTTTTATCAGCAGAGAGTGGGCCCTATTTCCATGTCTCCTACTATATAGCAAGCTCAGGGGTGGGACGGCTGAGGAGAAGGCAGTGCCCGGAGCAGATGAGAGTGTCCTGGAAAACTCTGGAGGTAATCCTATCACTCTGGAAAATATAACTTCAGATTATGTGATTGTGCCTTGGTAATCATTTAGCAGACATCAGCTTATTTAACTTTTACATATTTGCAGAATATATTTAATGCAACTGTCAATGTTACATTTGTAGAGAAGATAAATTACATACAGAACAGAGCAGTTGTGCAATGTGTCCAATATCACACATCTGGCCAGAGTTAGCCCTATTATGCGTGCCTGTGCCTCTAAACACTGGAGGAGACTGCTCCCCTGAGACAGCTCCAGGGTGGTGTGGGACATGCCTAGAGAGGTTTTCAGGATGTCCCTCCTGTCATAACAACTTTGTGTAATTTTGCCTTTTCTAGTGTTTACCTGAAATCTACAATCAGTGTTCACATGTGTGTATTTTCAGGAGTCCTTGATTATTCAAGTGTCGGTATTTATCCATTTCTTGCTCTTTCTCAGCCAATATATTCATTTTTGTTACTGCTTTATTAAAAAAACAATCAATAATGAAATCAAATTGATAGTGCAGCATTTGGAAAATGTTGATATATGTGTGCAGTCATTGAATCAGCACTTCAATCATGTTTTAGCAATTAAGTTAACCTCTAATTTTTTTTATCTAACTTGTCTATAATTTTATTTCACCACGTTGTTACTCTGCCCACCCTATTTTCAGAGAAATTCAGATCTTCTCTATGTTAATTTAGAATATTGCATCTTCTGTGATTTATACAAATGAAATCACATGAAATTGATGGTGAATTCTTTAGCTTCCTCCACTCAGCAAAATTATTTGATAATGCCCTCATGTTCTTATGTGAATGAGGCATGCCTTGATTTCAGTGGTTCATTCTATTTCAGTACATGAATATTTCTCAAATTGTTTAACAATGCACCAAATAATGGATACTTCATTTGTTGTCTTAGTTTCTGAATTTTATTTAGAAATCAGATACTAAGCGTTAGAATGTAAAAATTGAGAAAATGATATTATTCTGACCTCGTTAACAAAAAACATGAAGAATTACAAAAAATAAACCCCTCACCATATCTGAGTTGATGTCACAGAGAAAAAAATCCCTGAAATATGAGAAAATAGGGGCCCGCAGAGAGAACTAGGGTGCGTTTATTAGAGTACCTGGGGCAGGTGCCACTCATGGCATGGTATTGAAGATAGGAAAAAGCTAACCTGGAAATGTTTAATGAGTTGCTTGAAGATGTGTGTGCTAATGGTGTGAGAGTGTGAAACTCCTGGCACTTGCAGGCTTTTCCTACAGAATTGGGGAAATCCCCAGACAACTCACCCACCTGCTGTCCTGTGGTGTTGACTGGGGAGGAAGAACAGTAGCTCCGTTCAATGCTGAATCCCCCTTCATTATATGCAGGAGACATTTATTAAATCTTGTGTCCTGTGGGCACTGGTAGAATCAACTAGAACACAAGGAAACAGAGGACATCAGGGAAACTCTACCCAGAATCACCTCCCGTCTGTTTCCTGAGGAATGAAATCCAGAATCTGTGGGGTAAGGACAGTGGGTCAGAAGCTGAGGACACTGATGAAAAAACAGCATGACTGGGAAGAGACACTGTGACACTGAGGAAGGGAAGGAACAGGAACACTTGGAAGATCATGCATCAGAGCCAGTCTCACCACCCATAGCTAAGAAGGAGGCTCAGCCAGAAGGTTGGAAAACGTGCCCCTGTGTCCAAGCCCCTTCATCCCACAAACAGTCACCAAGTAAATGTGTCAGCAGGATGCACCTGCCACAGCTGAAAGAGACAGCCTTTCTTTGGGGAGAATGAAATGTGAAGATCCAAAGCCAAACAGGGACACAAACGCAGGTATCACCAGAGGAACCTGAAGTTTTTGTGAACAGGAGAAGCTGATTTCAACTCTGATAGCCACGGCAACCATACACTTGAAACCCAAGCCTGACTAGGTTCGCAGAAACATGGTTAATAAAGGCCCAGCAGAATGTAATGTGTGATCATCTCCAGGAAAAACTAATAATAATTACAAGAAAATAAATTACAGGTGAAATGCAAACTGAAATTCTACATGCATTAAAATTTCATTAAAGGTGAATGGCAAATAAAATTCTGTCAGAAAAAAAGATCTGGAGAATATGTGTTGTCAGCACATTCATGTTTCAGGGCACATTTTACAAAGATTCTCTGCGAGTAGCCATGTGATATGCACTCAAAATAGAAATCTCTACAAAGAAATAAAGATTGTAAAAATGGAAAAATCTAGATGAATTGTACTCTTTAACATTTGTAATTGCTATAAGATATAACTGTATAAAGTAATAAAAAATTACATATTCTATTTTACAGCATATGTAAGTGCAAACAGAATAAACAAGAAAGAGTGGCGAGAAGGAGGAATTCAAAGCACACAGTTACACTATCTGTGTTCTTCATATCAAGGCCATCACAGGATTTACATTAGAATCTAATTACATACAATTTTTATTGTAAATCTTATGGTAACTATACAATATTTATAAAAAGGTAATTAAATACCATGTTAATAGAGAAATAAGCATCATTATAAAATGTTAATTTAAACAAAAATTAACAGAAAAAAATATTGTTGGTTTAAAAATAGAATTTATTGCTCATGCCTGTAATCCCAGCACTTTGGGAGGCTGAGACAGGTGGATCACAAGGTCAGGAGATTGAGAGCATCCTCGCTAACACGGTGAAACCCCATCTCTACTAAAAATACAAAAAACTAGCCAGGCGTGGTGGTGGGTGCCTGCAGTCCCAGCTACTCGGGAGGCTGAGGCAGCAGAATGGCATAAACCCAGGAGGCAGAGCTTGCAGTGAGCCCTGATCGCACCACTGCACTCCAGCCTGGGCGACAGAGCGAGACTCCTTCTCAAAAAAAAAAATAGAATTTATTATAGTTGATTTAAAAAAGCAATAGATAGTTTCATCCATGTCCCTACAAAGGACAGGAACTCATCATTTTTTATAGCTGCATAGTATTCCATGGTGTATATGTGCCAAATTTTCTTAATCCAGTCTATCGTTGCTGGACATTTAGGTTGGTTCCAAGTCTTTGCTATTGTGAATAGTGCTGCTATAAACATACGTGTGCATGTGTCTTTATAGCAGCATGATTTATAATCCTTTGGGTATATACCCAGTAATGGGATGGCTGGGTCAAATGGTATTTCTAGTTCTAGATACCTGAGGAATCGCCACACTGACTTCCGCAATGGTTGAACTAGTTTACAGTCCCACCAACAGTGTAAAAGTGTTCTTATTTCTCCACATCCTCTCCAGCACCTGTTGTTTCCTGACTTTTTAATGATCGTCATTCTAACTGTTGTGAGATGATATCTCATTGTGGTTTTGATTTGCATTTCTCTGATGGCCAATGATGATGAGCATTTCTTCATGTGTTTTTTGGCTGCATAAATGTCTTCTTTTGAGAAGTGTCTGTTCATATCCTTTGCCCACTTTTTGATGAGGTTGTTTGTTTAAACCTGCATGTTGTGCACATGTACCCTAAAACTTAAAGTATCATAAAAAATTAGAATATTTAAGGACTGCCAAAATAAAAAAGCAATACACAACTATTAGCTATGTACAAGAAAGTTTCTCTACATATTCACAAATAGAAAAGATAAATATGAGAAAACATGAACCAAGAAAAGCTATAGTAGCTGTATAAATTTAAGACAAGGTAGACATCAAAAAACACTTTCAGGACTTAAGGATATTACATACTATAAAGTTATCAGTTTTTTTAAAGACACCAAAAAAGACTTAACAAATGTATAATAGATGAGGAATACACTATTCATTGTGATTTACATAACAAAAGTGATAAAGGAAGTAAAGATATCAGTGAGACCATGCACGTAAGGGTGTCCTGGGGACTGTGAAGATTCTTTGTATTCATGGAGGGCACCACTGAGAGCTTCCTCTTCAATTTCTCCCTGTTGCTGCCCACATCAACCCTGGTCCTGGAGCTTGCTGGACCAAGCTTATGCTGCAATCAGTGAAGGTGAATCCAGAGTCTTTGCAGGAGAGACTCAGATAGCCCCCGGCTGCACCGTTATTTCCTCTGTCTCCCCCGGTGAACTTCACACAGGACTTCTGCAAACACAGAGGGAACAGACTGAGAACAGCCTCATCTGGAGCAGCCACAGCTGAGCCTGATCCGCAAGGACACTAATATTGAGAGTGATGAGAAGGGAAGCCCAGATCAGCACAGACCCCATGGTGTGGATACTGAGGAAGGCACAGGTGTGGGGTGGTTCCTCACCAGGACCACTACGGACAGGGGATGAGCTGCTCCTCTTGAGTGTGGGAGTGACCACATTTCCATGTCTCCCTTCCTGTGGACATGTGTTTGCTACTTATCAGCGATCATCCCCCCTCTGCCTGTGGATTTCAGGGAGGGCAGATCAAAGGATTCCTGGGATTGGATGCTCAGAGTTAATCTGCAAACTACACTTTCTTTTTCTCTAATGAGGGCACTTTTCAGGTGTCTTTATAGATGAATGTTTATCAACAAAATAACCCAGTAAATACATGAAAATAAACTTTTCCCAGAGGAAACATATATCTGCCTGTAGTCTCTACATGTAGAGCTGTAAACCACTGTTCTTAACAAGAAGGCAAAATGTTCATTTAGAATTTAAAATAAAATGCAGATCTACACATTGTTATGGCTAGAGTCCATAAGTGCTTGTATTCTGAGCTAATTTTGCTACACAGCAGTTCAGCATCAGGCATATATGCTTATGTGAAGAAGGAGTCATTGTGGGGCATGTGTGGTTTTCTGAGGGGAGAGTCCACATTGCAATGTGTGTGCTTGTCTGAGGGAGGAGTCCACGTTGGGACAGATGTGTGTACATGTCTGAAAGTAATTGCCCATTTAGAGACAGTGTGAGCTAGACTGAGCTGGAGTTTGAGGAAAACTTTTCTCACTTAAGAGATTATGAGAATCCTCTGGGTGATTTCCTTGTCAGGAAGGAAACTGGCTCACATGGGAACCTTCTGAAAGAAAACTCTCTAGTGAATGGACACATCTTATATCCAAATGGAGAAAGTTACTTTATTCTTTATTCCCCGTATCTCATGCCATCCCTGCCCACACTGAGTAACATTGCTAGAGATTTCTATACAGTCTGCATCTCATCCTGGGGTTCATGACCAGCTAAGTACTTTTTTAAGTGACTTATATAATGGGTATGTAAAGAAACTTACAACTGATCAAAAATAAACAATGCTATCAAAAATGAGCCAAATACCATAACAAACACTTCATCACAATTATATAAAATAATTAAATATAAAATTTTAGAGACATGTGCATTTAAACAACAATGAGCTATCACCACCAATAGATTAGAATGGTTAAAATACACAATGCTTATAGTGCCAAATGGCAACGAGGATGTGGAAGAACGGAATCTATCATGCATTGCTGGCATGAAACCAAAATTATAACTGCACAAAATGGAGACATTAAAAAATTTCGATATTTTATATAATTTACATAAATGTAGAATTAAAATGTGACCTAAGAGGTGTGTTCCAAAATATTTACAACACCCATTCAAAAGTGTGTGTTAGTGCTCACACTAATATCTTCAGAGGAATTCTTATATCAGTTTTATTAATTTGATTTGTTTTCCACTCCCTGAATTTTGTTTACAGAATACAAGTTGTATGGAAAATTTCCCAAATAATTAGAGTGCATACACATTTATATTTTCCTATTTTTCAATGACTTAACCTCGCTTTCTTTTTGTTGTTGTTGTTGTTTTTTTGAGACGGAGTCTTGCACTGTCACCCAAGCTGGGGTGCAGTGGGTCGATTTCGGCTCACTGCAACCTCAGCCTCCCCGATTCATGAGATTCTCCTGTCTCAGCGCCCAGAGTAGCTGGGATTACAGGTGTACACCGCCACACCCGGCTAATTTTTTGCACTTTTAGTAGAGATGGAGTTTAACCATGTTGGCCAGACTGGTCTCAAATTCCTGACTTCGTGATCCACCCACCTCGGCCTCCCAAAGTGATGGGATTGCAGGTGTGAACCACCACGCCCGGCTGATTTAACCTCACTTTCTAAAAAAGTCTTTAATCAAATAATCCCTGTAATCTCCTCAGCCACAGCATAGCTGCCTTCTCCCTCAGGGTTTCAAGATGTGGGTTTTCACACTATGCCTCTTTCACAGTAATACACAGCCATGTATTACTGTATTACAGGAGGGGGATTTTTAGGTAATGTGTTAAGGGCATATATAATTTTACAAGAAACTAAGAATTATTTTCCTGTGTAGCTGTTTCATTTTGCATTCCCATTAGCAATGTTTTAGACTCTAGAAACCTGGTATGCTCACCAGCATCGGTATGATCCATCTTTCTTCTTAATTTCAGCCATTCTAAAAAGGGTGTTTGGGTATCTTATTGTGGTCTTGATTTGAATTTCTGTGATGAAAAATCCTGTTGAGATCCTGTTTATATGCCTATGTGTAATCTGTACATCTTCTTTAATGAAATGCCTGCACAAACCTTTGCCTATTTTATCCATGGGTTGCCTCTTCTTTTATTCACTGTTGAGTTTTGAGGGTTCTTACTATAATTACATAGGTGGTGATATGATTTGCAAATCTCCTCATCTAAAACTTGACATTCATTTTCTTAAAATCACTTGAGTACAAAAGGATTTTAAGTTAAATGAAGTTCAACTGATATTAATTTCATTTATTGATCATGATTTAAATTTTAATTTTCAAGATCTTTGGTCAACTATTAATAATTTTATATTTTAAATTGTAATTGTTTTTATCTTTATTTGTATAAATTTAAGGGCTATGGGTGCAACTGTGTTACATGGAAATATTACACAGTGGTATTGGCTTTAGTGTACCCAACACCCAAGTAACGTACATTGTACCCATTAGGTGATTTTTCATCATGCTCCCAACTCCTACCCTCCCATTCTGCTAAGTCTCCAATGTCCATAATCCCTCTCTCCATATCCTTGTGTACACACTGTTTTCCTCCCACTTATAAGTAATAATGTGTGATATGTGGCTTTCTGTTTGTGAGTTAGTTCACTAATTATAATGTCCCCCAGTTCTAGGCATCTTGCTGCAAAAGACACAGTTTCATTCCTTATTGTGGCTGACTAGTATTAAATTGTGCATATATGCTATATTCTTTTATAAAATCATCTGTTGGTGGACACTCAGGTTGTCATATGTGCTATTGGGAATAGATTTGTGGTACACATAGAAGTGTGGGTATCTTTTTGAAATATGATTTCTTTCTCTTTGGGTAGCTACCCAGTAGTGGGATTGGTAGAATAAAGGCCAGTACTGTTTCTCATTTTTTGGAAAGTCTCCATACTGTTTCCTTTCTCTCTCTCTCTCTTTTTTTTTAACTATACTTTAAGTTCTGGGACACATGTGCAGAATGTGCAGGTTTGTCACATAGGTATACATAGGCCATAGTGGTTTGCTGCACCCACCAACCCATCATCTACAATAGGTATTTCTCCTAATGCTATCCCCTCCAGCCCCCCACTCCCCGACAGGCTCTGTTGTGTGATGTTTGTTCCCCTCCCTGTGTCCTTGTGTTCTCATTGTTCAACTCCCACTTATGAGTGAGAACATGCGGTGTTTGGTTTTATGTTCTTGTGATAGTTTGCTGAGAATGATGGTTTCCAGCTTCACCCATGTCCATGCAAAGCACATGAACTCATCCTTTTTATGGCTGCATAGTATTCCATGGTGTATATGTGCCACATTTTCTTTATCCAGTCTATCTTTGATGGGCATTTGGGTTGGTTCCAAGTCTTTGTTATTGTCAACAGTGCTGCAATAAAAATATGTGTGCATGTGTCTTTATAGCAGAATGATTTATAATCCTTTGGGTATATACCAAATAATGGGATTGCTGGGACAAATGGCATTTCTAGTTCTATATCCTTGAAGAATCACCACACTGTCTTCCACAATGGTTGAAGTAATTTACACTACCGACCACAGTGTAAAAACGTTCCTATTTCTTTACATCCTCTCCAGCAGCTTTTGTTTCCTGACTTTTTAATCATCGCCATTCTAACTGGTGTGAGGTGGTATCTCTTTGTGGTTTTGATTTGCATTTCTCGAACGACCAATGCTGTTGAACTTTATTTTATGTTTGTTGGCTGAATAAATATCTTCTTTTGAGAAGTGTATGTTCATAACCTTCCGCCAATTTTTGATGGGGTTGTTTTTTTTTTATTGTAAGCTTGTTTAAGTTCCTTGCAGATTCTAGATATTGGCCCTTTGTCAGATGGATAGATTGCAAACAATTTCTCCCATTCTGTAGGCTGCCCATTCACTCTGATGATAGTTTCTTTTGCTGTGCAGAAGCTCTTTAGTTTACTTAGATCCCATTTGTCAATTTTGACTTTTGTTGCCATTGCTTTCGGTGTTTTAGTCATTAAGGCCTTGCCCATGCCTATGTACTGAATGGTATTGCCTAGGTTTTCTTCTTGGGTTTTTATGGTTTTAGGTCTCATGTTTAAGTCTTTAATCCATCATGAGTTAATTTTTGTATAAGGTGTAAGGAAGGGATCCAGTTTCAGTTTTCTGAATATGGCTAGCTAGTTTTCTCAACACCATTTATTAAATAGGGGATCATTTTCCACATTGCTTGTTTCTGTCAGGTTTTTCAAAGGTCAGATGGGTGTAGATGTGTGGCATTATTTCTGGGACCTCTGTTGTGTTCCATTGGTCTGTATCTCTGTTTTGGTACCAGTACCATGCTGTTTTGGTTACTGTAGCCTTGTAGTATAGTTTGAAGTCAGGTAGCGTGATGCCTCCAGCTTTGTTCTTTTTCCTTAGGATTGTCTAGGCTATATGGGCTCTTTTTTGGTTCCATATGAAATTTAAAGTAGTTTTTTTCTAATTCTGTGAAGAAAGTCAATGGTAGCTTGATGTGGATAGCATTGAATCTATAAATTACTTTGGGCAGTATGGCCATTTTCACGATATTGATTCTTCCTATCCATGAACATGGAATGTTTTTCCATTTGTTTGTGCCCTCTCTTATTTCCTTGGGCAGTGGTTTGCAGTTCTCTTGAAGAGGTCCTTCACATCCTTTGTAAGTTGTATTCCTAGGTATTTTATTCTCTTTGTAGCAATTGTGAATGAGAGTTCACTCATGATTTGGCTCTCTGTTTTTCTATTATTGGTATATAGGAATGTTTGTGATTTTTCCACATTGATTTTGTATCCTTAGACTTTGCTGAAGTTGCTTATCAGCTTAAGGAGATTTGGGGCTGAGATGATGGGGTTTTCTAAATATATAATCATGTCATCTGCAAACAGAGACAGTTTGACTTCCTCTTTTTCTATTTGAATACCCTTTATTTATTTCTCTTGCCTGATTTCCTTGGCCAGAACTTCCAATACTATGTTGAATGGGAGTGATGAGACAGGACATCCTTGTCTTGTGCCGGTTTTCAAATCCACCATGATCAAGTTGGCTTCATACCTGGGATGCAAGGCTGGTTCAACATATGCAAATCAATAAACATAATCCATCACATAAACAGAACCAATGGAAAAAAAACACATGATTATCTCAATAGATGCAGCAAAGGCCTTCAATAAAATTCAACACCCCTTAATACTAAAAACTCTCATTAAACTATGTATTGATGGAATGTATCTCAAAATAATAAGAGCTGTTTATGACAAATGCACAGTCAATATCATACTGAATCCATACTGTTCTCTATAGAGGTCGTACTCGTCCACATTCTCATCAACAGTGTCTAAGAGTTCCCTTTACATTTCATCCTCTCCAACATCTGTTATTTTTGACTTTTTAATAACAGCCATTGTGAATGGTATATCTCACTAGTTTTAATTTGCATTTCCCTGATTATTAGTAATGCTGAGCATTTTTATATATCTATTGTCCATTTTTATGTGTTATTTGCAAAAATGTCTACTCATGTTCTTTGCTCATTTTAATGGGGTTATTTGGTTCTTGTTTTCTTTTGTTGTTGTGGTTTGAGTTTCTTGTTAATTCTGTATATTAGTACTCTGTCAGATGCACAGTGTGCAAATATTTTCTATCATTCTGCACTTTGTCTGTTCACTCTGTTGCTGTGAAGAAACTTGTTAGATTCATTAAGTCCCATTTGTCTATTGTTTGCTTTTTGTCCAGAAGAGTTGTCCTGGTGTTTTATTTGAATACATTTACAGTTTGAAGACTTACATTTAAACCTTTAATCTATTTTGTGTTAATTATTTACATGTTGAGGGTGGGGGTCCAGTTTCATTCGCGTGCATATAGCTATCCAATATCCCCAGCACCCTTTATTGAATGGGGTGTCCTTTCCCTGGTGTATACGTTGGTTAATTTTTGTTAACTTTGTCAAAGATCACTTGGCCATAGATTATGTGGCTCGGTTCTGGGTTCTGTAAAATGTACCAAAGAGCCTTGGTTCTCCTGGGGCCTCAGTACTGATCTGCTCACTGCTTGAACTCCGTTGACTCAGTGATGCTCCTATCATTGTAGTGGTTTGTTGTCATGCGATGGCTGTCCTAAAATTGTGGACAATTCTGTTTTCGTGTTCAAACATGAGCTAGGGATTTCATAAGAAAAGTGTTGTCGAATTTTTCATTTCTTTTTTTTTTTTTTTTTTTTTTTTTTTTTTTTTTTTTTTTTTGAGACGGAGTCTCGCTCTGTCGCCCAGGCTGGAGTGCAGTGGCGCGATCTCGGCTCACTGCAAGCTCCGCCTCCCGGGTTCACGCCATTCTCCTGCCTCAGCCTCCCGAGTAGCTGGGACTACAGGCGCCCGCTACCACGCCCGGCTAATTTTTTGTATTTTTAGTAGAGACGGGGTTTCACCGTGTTAGCCAGGATGGTCTCGATCTCCTGACCTCGTGATCCGCCCGCCTCGGCCTCCCAAAGTGCTGGGATTACAGGCGTGAGCCACCGCGCCCGGCCCGAATTTTTCATTTCTTTTCCGCATTGCTCCTCAGACTTACTGAGCTGGGTTTCTGATGTCAAGCTGAGGCATTTTCCTTTCCAAGTGTTGGATTTTATACTTACCTGGGTATTTAATCACTCCCTGTGTGGAAATCAGCCTCATCTATCACACCTTCCCTATAAAATTTTTAGAAATTTATTTGTGCACTGCAAGTGAGACACTCCATGATGAGGACACATTCCATCTTTCTTGTTGTTTCATAAAATTACTTTATTAGTGTAAATTTTTCTCTGCAAAAAAAGATGGTATCTGGATTTTAATTAATCATCCTGCTCTTTTATCTCCACATTCTTCTCCAACATTACTTCCTGCAGTTTAAGATGGCCTATGTTATAGATATTTGTATTCAGCCCCTTGGAAGGATATGAGCTCAAGAAATAAGTGGCCACATATCAGTGATGCATGTGGCCCAGGTAATGGGAATCTTTCATGCTCAATCTTTGTCAAACAGGATACAGCCTCTGCTTGCGTGAATCACTAACAGGGAACATGCCATTTAATAGTACAGAATAGGAAAACAGACAGGGCTCTGAGTCTGGTTGGTATAGGAAACACAAGCCCTGGCAGGAAATGGCATCTCAGTCACACTTTCCTGTTCTGCAGAGGTAGGGAGGGAGCACCACTGAGATGCAGCTAGGTTCTTGTACAGGAGGCATCCTGGGCTGTGTCTCTGTGGTATCCGTGCACAGTAATATGTGGCTGTGTCCACAGGGTCCATGTTGGTCATGGTAAGGACCACCTGGCTTTTGGAGGTGTCCTTGGAGATGGTGAGCCTGCTCTTCAGAGATGTGCTGTAGGATTTTTCGTCATTCGAAAAAATGTGTGCAAGCCACTCCAGGGCCTTCCCTGGGGGCTGACGGATCCAGCTCACACCCATTCTAGCATTGCTGAGTGAGAACCCAGAGACGGTGCAGGTCAGCGTGAGGGTCTCTGTGGGTTTCACCAGCACAGGACCAGACTCCTTCAAGGTGACCTGGGACAAGACCCCTGTGGAGAAGACATAAGAAGATGAAGCCCACAAAGGAGACAACTGATGTTTCACTTCTGAGGAAGTCCCTGACCACAGCACTCACAGGAAGGGGTGGTCAGCAGCAGGAGTGTGTAGCAAAGTGTGTCCATGGTGGGGCACAGGAGTCACTGAGCGAGGCCCCGTGCTCAGCTTTTGAACCCAGAGGAGGGTGGAGCTGGTGGAGATTTGCATTCCCTCATCTGAGTCCTACTCTATGGGGTGCACTCAGGTCTCAGGACTCAGTAGGGGAGTGCATCTGTGGTGAGGAGCAGTGAGCCCTCAGGTGTGGGCGTCCACGTGGGATCTCCATGGGGGACTCCATCTCATTTCAGGACCATGCCTCTCAGCCAAGGCTCTGAGATTCCTGCTCCTACAGACAGGGTCTTCTCTAAGGCTCACCCAGGGAGCATGCAGCTTTCTGGTTTTAGTCCTAGAGGATGAGAGTGGAAATCAATAGAGATGGTTTTCTTTCTTCCTTCAGGAGAAATGAGGGTGGGAATCTGGGAGAGCAAGGGGCTTCCCATAAGTGTTCTGATAAAAATCCTCTTTGTTTAGGGGGAAAGTGATGATTTTTTTGAATGATAGAGAATACATCAACAAAACATTTAAAAATGTATTGTGTAAAGAAGTGTAAATGGCATCTCAGCCATTTACACACTGCAAGACACACAGCTTATTTGTGTGTCTGCACATAGGTGCATTCCTATAGGAATGTTCCATGGATAATCAGTCTTGTCTTTATGCCCTGTCAGCCCTTTAGGAAGAGTAGACTGCATCTCTGACATCCCTCTTCCAGCGCATGAGTGAGCAGAGGCTTTAAACAGGGTAATTGGAGGAATCCCAGGGGAGCAGCTGGTAGACTGTTCCCAGCCTTGATTTCCACCTGCCGTGGAGGTGGTCTCTGTGCTTATAAGGCCATGGAGACTTTTGTCAGTTCAGATTGACCTAATTACTGCAAACAATAATATACAGTAATTGGAAATTTCTAGAACAATGCACATATACATATACACCTCCATGCTAGCCATTCTGAGCTCTGTGATTTAGTGGAAGTTAAGCATTTGCACCGCGGCCATAAAGTAGGATCATTATGTAACTCACAATGTTGTTGTAAAATCATAGTTCTGCAATAATTAAAGGCTGGTGATTTACACTGGGCTCTATCGCTGACAGTTTTGGTTGTCAGCTGCAGGAAACAAGACTAAGAAGCAGTGAGATAAAATTAGTTTTCTTAGATTTAGAAAATGGTCTGGATGTGGCTTATGGAAAAGAAGACAGTAACATTCAAAGTCGTAGCCAATAAGCCCTGGGTTTTTACCTCACTTACCTCTTAGAAGCTCAACTAAAGCTGACTTTCCCCTCTCA
Source organism: Homo sapiens (assembly GCF_000001405.40). NCBI lineage: Eukaryota > Metazoa > Chordata > Mammalia > Primates > Hominidae > Homo > Homo sapiens. Next base: position 106,303,094 of record NC_000014.9, read on the forward strand.
TTGTCTTCAATAATGTTTCAAAGTCTGGGAAAGATTAAGATTGGGCTAATTTTGCCGATGTTACCTTTCAATTCATAATAAAAATGATTTTTTGAGTTATTTCTTAGAGTAAAATAATGACAAATTAGCTAAAATATGTACCAATACCTGTGAGCAAATATAATATGGAAACAGGCATGTTCTAATACTAAAAAATAAATATTAGAAGTTGGGATGATATTAAGTGAAATTCAGTTGATATGTATTGACCTGCATATTACTGTGTTATTGTGTAGTCAAGATATTTTAGAAAATCATAGAATAAAATTCAACATTCATTTCTGATAGAAATTATCAAAAACTAGGTATACAAGAAGGATATCTCAAAAAATAAAGCGCATATATGAGAAAAACACAGCTTTCATCACACGAAGCATGGAAAAACCGGGAAATTTTCATCTAAGAAGTGGAAGAAGACAAAAATAACCATTTTTATCACTTTTATTCAGAATAGTACTGAAATGCTAGCCAGAGTATTTAGTTAACAGTAAAAGGAAATGACCTCAAATTTGGAATTGTGGAAGTCAGATTTCCTGTGAGCAGACAAAAAGATCTTATATTAAAAAAAGAAAACTAAAGCCTTCTCACAAACTATTAGAATTCATAAGCAAATTAAGTAAAGTTGTAAGATTCATCATCTACATACAATAATTGGTGGCATTTCTATATGTTGACAGCAAAACATCTGAGAATGAAATCCATGAAGCCTTTCCTTTTACAATAGCTGCAAAATATACCTAGGAATAAATGTTACCAAATAAGAGAAAGATTTCTAGAGGATAACTATAAATTATTGGTAATAGAAAATGAAATGGACACACATAAATAGGACATATATCCCAGATACTCCACATTTATGGATTGGAAGAATTAATAGTATTGAAATTTTCATACTACCCAAAGTTATTTACAGATTAGATAAATTATCTATCAAAATAATAATGGCCTTCTTCACAGAAATAAGAAAAGCAATCCTTCAATTCACACGTAGGCATGAAAGACCCAGAATAGAAAAGACCATCCCCCAAATGCATGGCATTTACACATTCGCAGTTCATTCATTTGATTATAACAGTCCCCAAACTCTTAACTCATTTCATCATCAACTCTAAACAAGTTTAAAACATAATTTAAATATTAACTAAACCATACATGAGTAAGATTTGAGGTAGAATTATTTCTGAAACAAATTTCTCTCCAACTCTGAGCCAGTAAAACCAGATATCTTATTTTATTGGGGCTGCTTTAACAAAGTGTCATAAAGTGCATGACTTTAACAAGACATATTTATTCTGTGCAGTGCCGAATGCTGGGAAGCCCAAGACAGCCAATCATGTGTATGTAAAGGTTTCCTTCCTGAATTGCAGATGGCCGTAATTTTATCGTATCATCTCATGACAGGGAAGCAAGAGAGAAAAGCTCTCCCGTGACTTTTTATTAGAGCACTAATCTCATTTATGACGGCTTCAACCTTTTCACCTGATCACCCCTTAAATGGCCCACACCCCAATTACACCACACTGGGGATTAGGGTTCCACAATATTAATTTTGGAGTTGCATACACATTCAGTCCATAGCGCTGGACAAGTTATTTGATTTCAAAATACAGTGGTGAGTTAGGCATAAAATAGACATTTTCTCCCCCAAAGAGAAAAATAGAAAAGAAAGGAGGGGTGATGTGTCCCCAGCAAGTACAACACATAACAAAACAAATTACCATAGACCTTAAGGCTCAAGTGGAATCTTCTCTGGGCCAAGCTTCTTCTTTCCCAGCTCATTGCAGCAGCAGAATTAATTCCAATGCTTTAAGTAGAGGCACCAATGGGTAACTGCTGGGTTAAGGTCCCATCCCAAAGACCCCATGCAGCCCTACACACAAGGCTCACTGGGAGTTCCTAAGTTCCAGGCAGTGGTAGGAGGTCTTTTCCTCAAGGTTTTAAGCATGGATGGTCTGGTCTGTTGAAACCAAGGTAGTGGTCATGATTACTTCTAAATAAATTCAAGGTTTATTTTTCTTTGTTCTGGAAGAATGGTGCACATTTGCAACCAAGTAGCTCCATCCTCTTAAATCTGAAGAATCTGACAGTATTCGTCCATTTTGTCTCATCTCCATCCTTGTTCTTTAAAACCTGCATTTATTCTCTTTTAATACCATAAATTCTTTATCAAGTGATATTACAGCCTCATACTCACTGTTCTCTTCAGAACACACTTTCTGATTTTTGCAACACAGATAGATTGAGAATTTTCCAAGCCTTTAAGTTTTGGATATTTTCTCCCTTATAATTTCATTTTCAATTCATCTATTTCTTATTATAAATGCCCAGGAGAAACCAAACTACACTTTCAACATTTTACTTAGAAGTGTTCTCAGCTAAATATTCAATTTTGCTGCTCAAAGTTCTCTTTTACTAAATATCACAACATAGTCTAGACAAGTTTTTTTTGTCACTTTATAACAAAGATCACCATTTATCCAGTTTCCAATAGCACTCTACTCATTTTAATCTATCAGAATGACACTTAATATATAAATTTCTTTATGCATGTCAAAACTATCCAGCCTTTTACACATAACCCAATTCCAAGGCACTTTCCACAGTGTTGAAATAATTGTAACATCAGAACCCCACTTCTTCATCCCAAATTCTCTTTAGTCAGTTCAAACATTAAAAACAATCATACTTGGTAACTTACACAACCTTAATTTTATCTCAGTTCCTCAATTCTGGAAATTCAAAGATAAACATGCTGGCAAGATAGGTTTTATTTTGAGGCTTCTACTGTTGGCTCATAGCAGCCACCATATTGCTATTTGGTCACATGACATCTTCACGTGGAGCGTGTGTGTGTGTGTGTGTGTGTGTGTGTGTGTATGTAAAGACAGAGAAGGGTTCAAGGAGAGAGAGAGAGAGAGAGAGAGAGAGAGAGACTCTTGTGTCTTTACCTCTACAGGCGTTAAGTCCATTTTAATGATTCCACACCCCTAATTTGCTGCACAATTAAATACTTCTTCTGTTCGTCCATTATTGAATTGTAAAGAAATACCTGAGGCTGGATAATTTATAAAGGACATAGGTTTTATATGGCTCACAGTTGTGCAGGCTGTACAGCAAGTGTGGTGCTGACATCTGTTTCTGCTGAGTGCCTCAGAAAGCTTACAGTCAAGGCAGAAGATGAAGGGGAGCAAGAGTGTCACATGACAATAGGGGGGAAGATAAGAGAAGGGAGTGGTACCAGGCTCTTTCAATCAGCTGTCATGTGAACTGATAACTCATTCATCACCAAGGGGATGACACGAAGTAACTCATGAGGGATATGCCCCTAATGCCATGCCTCCCAGCAGACTTCACCTCCAACACTGGGGTTCACAGTTCAACATAAGATTTGGAGAAAACACACATCCAGACCACATCATTCTGCCCCTTATGTCTTTCTTACATTGCAATATACAATAATCCCTCCCCAGTGGTCCCTGACAATCTGAACTTGTTTTGGCATTAATTCAAAATCCAAAGTTCAGACTCAAGGAAAAGTTCCTTTCACCTATGAGACTGAAAAATCAAAAATAAGTTATTTACATCCAAAGTACAATGATGGGTCAGAAATTGGGTGAGGAGTCCTATGCTAAAAAGAGAAAATGGCCCAAAAATTGGGTAAAGATTTTTATGGAAGGCCAAAACCTAGTCGGACAGTCCTTCAATCTTAAGGCTCTAAAATAATCATTGACTCCATGTCTTGTGACCTGGTGCAAGGGTGGGTGCCCAAGGCCTTGGGCAGCCCTACCTTTGTGACTTCCCTAATGCAGCCCATAAGGCTGCTCTCATGGGTTGGAGCTGGGTGCCTGTGGCTTTTCCAGACTCGAGCTGCAAGCTGCCTGTGGATCTACCATTCTGGGGTCTGGAGGTTGGTAGCCCCCTTCCATAGCTCTACTTGGCAATGTCATGGTAGGGACTCTGTGTGGAAGATCCAACCACACATTTTCCCTGCGATTGCCCTGAAAGATTTACTTTGTCCCCTAAAAGAGGGAAGTGCATGGTAACACTTTATGTAATTTAATGATGTATCTGAAAGCTTCATGGTCATACAAATACACATACATGCACAGCAGCCCAGCAAAGACACATAAGTATGATCAGGTGAAATGAATGTATATTTAAACACCAAAACACCATGCCCATTTGTTTCATATTATTCTAATTATTTAATGGCATTTAAATTGTGTTTGCAGTTTGAGATTGTAGTACAAAATAATGTTTTCCTATGTGTATGTCTGCCTATTCCAATATTTAAAAAAACAAATACACTTCGATACATGTTTTGGTAAAACTGTATGTAAATGCAATTATTGTCAAATATGTCACTTAAACGTGCAATGGTATTTATTTTAAATATTGGCCTGTTATTAATAAATTGAATAACTAATTTATTAATAGTTTAATAGAATTAAATAGAATAACTCTATTTAATTAACTCTATCTATTAATTAAATAGAATGTTCAAATAGAATAACTAATTGACCATAGTATGCATTATGAAACTAAACCCAGCCCATGCTTTTCAGGACTCTCTCACAATGGCAGCTTCCTAGAGGGTGGCGTGAGAGTGTGCAAGCACATAGGGATTTGGACTTCATAATCAAAGGACTAGTGAGCCCCAGGGCTGAGCACATAGAGGGCAGCAGGAGGTGAAGAGCCCACTCTGTGGTACTTAAGGAAGGGAGGGTATGGGATGAGGGTGATGTCTGGAGGGACCTAGAAAAGGATGAGGAGGGCAGAGAGTGCAGGTAGATGAGCGTATTCTAAGGAGAACTGTTATACTTCTAAACTTGGTTGGCTTCAGTGATTATGAAAAGAAGGGAACTGATTCACCAGACTTGGAAGACAGAAAGTAAAGGGACTTTCTTTTTCTGCATGGAGACTGAGGAAGATAAATGGCTTTCAAAGAAGAAGGGAAGGTGGAGAAACAGTCTGAAAAACAGGACACTGGAAGCCAAACAAAGTGGAGAAACAGAGCCTTTAAAGTGCTGTTTATTTTCCACAAACAGCAGATGAAAGAAAAAGAAACAAAACACCATGCATATGCTGAGTTAAAGTTAGAAAACATATACAATTGTTTGACTATTACAGCACAAAAACACAAAACTCTATTCATGGAAATAGTCTGTATTGAGGATATGCATTTTTTTTTCTAAGACAGGGTCTCACTCTGTCACCAAGGCTGGTGTGTGGAGGCACAATCATAGCTCACTGCAGCCTCAACCTCCCAGGCTTAAGGAATCCTCCCTCCTCAGCCTTTTAAGTAGCTGGTTGCACCAATCTCAGCTATTTCTTCTTTTATGTATAGAAAGCATCTCACCATGTTGCCAGGCTGTTCTAAAACTCCTGAGCTCAAGTAATCTGTCTGCCTCAGTCTCCCCAAGTGCTGGGATTACAAGTGTGATTTAAAAAATTTTACTATTTTAATAATAGTATTATTTTTAATAATTAAAATATATAAATAACCTATTTTAATAATTGTCCCGAGAGATCATTGCTAGTATTACTCAGAAAATACGCAGCAATAAAAGTTGCATTACATCCCTGTTCTAAGTTAGTGTTTTGTAGGTAAAAGAAATCATGGAATTAAAAGGAAAAATCAGACATCCTGGGGAAGACTTTTGCTTGACCAGGTCAGGAATTTCCAGGGTCTGAAAGGAAATCACAGCCTCTGAAGCTCCTGATGTGCAGCTGCCTCCTAAGAGAACCTGCATGTCCTGAGCGTCCCCTGGTGGTTCTGAGCGCCCCCTGGTGACCTGAGCCCAGAATTGTTGTCTTTAGCACCACCTATGTCCTGAGCGCCCCCTTGTGGTTCTGAGCACCCATTGGTGGTCCTGAGCGCCCCCTGTTGGTTCTGAGTACCCCCTCTTGTCCTGAGCGTCCCCGAGTGTTTCTGAGCGCCCCCTGGTGTCCTGAGCGCCCCCTGGTGGTGCTGAGCGCCACCTGGTGGTTCTGAGCGCCCCCTGGTGGTTCTGAGCGCCCCCTGGTGGTTCTGAGTACCCCGTGGTGACATGAGTGCAGTAGTGTTGTCTTGAGCGCCACCTAGTGTCCTGAGCGTCCCCTAGTGGTTCTGAGCACCCCCCTGGCGTCCTGAGCGCTCCCTAGAGGTCCTAAGCACCCCTTGTTTCCTGGCCACCCCATGGTGGTTCTGAGCAGCATCTACCACGCAGTTCCCTCCTGTCTCTCTGCAGAGATTTTTGTGTCTGGGCTCAGACAGATCTTCCCTCCCCTGTGTCCCTCACTGTAATATACGGCCTTGCCCTTGGCTTTCAGGTTGGTCCTTGTAAGGTAGACTGCACTTGAAAGGGTGTCACTTGGGAATGTTGATTTATCTGTACTCATGGAGAGTAACCCTTAGAACTCCCATATGATCTCTCACTGTTGCTACCCACACCAATTCCTGTTGTGAAGTGTGCTGGACCAAGCTCATGCTGCACCCAGTAAACCCGAAACCAGAGGCTTTGCAGGACAGTCTCAGTGAACTGCTGGGCTGTTAAATTTTTCTCCTTCTGACTCCATCAGTAAACATCACACAGGACTTCTGTGAATACAGAGGAAACAGACTGAGAACAGCCACAGCTGGACCTGATTCACAAGGCACACTAATATTGAGGGGGATGAGAAGGGAATCCAGATCAGTGCAGACCCCATGGTGTGGACACTAAGGAAGGGCAGAGACATGGGGTGGCTCCATACCAGGGCCTGAAGGAAGAGGGCATGAGCTGCCTTTCATGAGGAGGAGTGGGGACACATTTCCATGTCTTCATGTTTGTGGTCATGGGTACACTGCTCAGCACTGCTCATCCATCCTCTGTGTCTACATTTCGGGAGGGCAGGGTCAAAGGATTTCTGGGTCTGGATGCACAGGGTTATTCTGCCCATTACTCTTTTTTATTCTTTAATGTGGATACTGTTCAGGTATCTTCATAGTAGCAACATTATCAACAAATATGTCCAGTAAGAAAATAAAAATACATTTCCAGAGAAAATGGACACCTGTCTCTAACTGGTGCATTTAGAGCTGCAAATTACTGTTTTTGACAATAAGGCAAAGTTAGGTTACAACAAAAAAAATACAGATCTACACTTTATTAGGGAGGGGATTTATAATTACCATTATCTTGAGATCATTTTGCCACAAAACAATTCAACATTGAATATATGTGCCTGTGTAAGGAAACAGTAAATGTGGACATATGTGTACTTATCTGAGTGAAGAGTTCACATGGAGACATATTTGCTTGTCTGAGACAAGAGTCCACATGAGGAAAAGTCTGTTTTCTGAGGAAAGCGTAAATGTAAGGACATACATGGTAGTCTGAGGAAAGTGTCCATGTGGGGACATGTGTTTTTGTCTGAGGGAAGAATCCACATCAGTAAAGGTGTGTTTGTCTGACAGAAGACTCCACGTGTTGACAGGTGTGTGGACTCATCTGAGGGTAAATGCCCATTTAGGGACAGTATATGCCTGAACTGAGCTGAAGTTTGGGGAAAATCTTTCTCAATCAAGGAAAGAAAATAATCCTGTGGGTTATTTGCTTGTCTGGAAGAAAAAACCTGGGTCACATAGAAAATTGATTTTTTTTTAAATTAAAGATCTTTAGTGAATGTCAACATCTTATATGCAAATAAGGAAAATTAGTTCATTCTTTGTTGCATGTGTCTCATGGCATCCTCACCAAATAAGTTATTAGATAATTTTATACAGTCTGCATTTGATCCTAGGGATAATGTACTGCTAAACATCATTTTAAATTGTATATATTTAGGTTTATATTTTTCATCACAAAATTATGAGCTTAGACAAATTAATTGTGTCATGTCTCAACCATTGCATATCACTAAAAATAGTTTTACTCTTCTTAAACATTGCCTTTTTAACTTATTTGATACCCACTCTGTAAATTCCTGGAATATCCTCTCTATGTTTACTTGACTGTAGTTTTGGCTTTTACAGAATTCAAATAAAGAAATTATACAGTGTAATTGAAATGACTTCATGAAGAAAGTGGAAAACGAAGTTGCTGATCTAAGGAACTTTGAAAATGAGGAAATTCTATAAGTTTAAAGTGTAAAGAAACTGCACATAAGCACTCTATTCTAGTAGATAAAAATGGTTCCAAGAAGGGTACAGCTTTACATTTCTGATGCTGCAATGCATGTGTCCTGAAATTGTGCAGCTAAGTAATACAATGGCATATGATGGGATGGGGTTCCTCACTTTGCAGTGGGTGATTATGGACAGTCAAGGAAGCCTAGAAAGGTCGATATGGTGGTAACATAGTTGGGTGAGGAGACCAGTGTATTCTCATTTTTAATGTAATAAAGTTACAGAATATAAGATACATAAATAGTTTCAATGTGTCCTTAAACATGAGTTCATATAAACATGCACATTTACTAGGCCAGTTGGTTGAGAGGTCCTAAAAGTACTTATACCACATTAACAACACATATACCCAGTATCACAAATTTTATTTTAATACTATATTTTAACATCAGAAAGAAGCAATCTTTAGAAAAATGTCTGATTCTATGTATGAAAAAGTTAATATAGAAAATGGGCTTAGAATGTATTGTAATACCAGGAAACAGGAAAGTGTTCAAAAACAAAATGATGAGGTGTGCTGTAAGGATGCAGCATCCAAACTAAATGAGTTCCAAGCACATAATAAAGCTGTGGTGATTTGAACAATAAAATGAATAATATAGCATGGATTTACTTCAGAGTATGAAATAGACATTCATAAACCAATGCGGATATTAATAAATGACTAAATAGAGAAATAATGGGAAAAAGAACACATCTCCTTCCAGAAATATTCCAAATATCTTAGGGTGATAGTCCTCTAATCAAGTAGGTGATGTTTAAACACTCATGAGTAGATTGTGGCCTGAGATTAGAGACATGGAAAAAAAAATCACTATTAGTATATTTTATGATGAGATTTCAGATGTAATGCCAAAGACGTGATCTATGGATAAATGAAATTATACCTGTTTCTTTAATTTGTAAACACACACACACACACATACATATTTTTCTGCAATACACACTGACAAGGGAGTAAAAGACAACAACAGACTTGGAGAAAATACTTCCAAGTCACGTATTTGTTAAATGTTTCCTTTTGATTTGTTAAACGGCTTTTTTGATCAATATGCAGGTATACTTACAACTAATCAGAAGAAAACAATGCAATTAAAAATTAACCAAGTATGAATCACAACAAAATCTAAAATAGACAAATGGGATCTAAGTAAACTAAGGAGCTTCTGCACAGCAAAAGAAACTATCAGCAGAGTGAACAGTCAACCTACAGAATCGGAGAAAATTTTTGCATTCTACCCATCTGACAAAGGGCTAATATCCAGAATCTACAAAGAACTTAAACAAATTTACAAGGAAAAAACAAACAGCCCCATCAGAAAGTGGGCAAAGGATATGAACAGACACTTCTCAAAACAAGATATTTATGCAGCCAACAGACAAATGAAAAAATGTTCAGCATCACTAGTCATTAGAGAAATGCAAATCAAAACCACGATGAGATACCATCTCATTCCAGTTAGAATGGTGATCATTAACAAGTCAGGAAACAACAGCTGCTAGAGAGGATGTGGAGAAATAGGAACATTTTTATACTGTTGGTGGGAGTGAAAATTAGTTCAACCATTGTGGAAGACATTGTGGTGATTCCTCAAGGAGCTACAACTAGAAATACCATTTGACCCAGCGATCCCATTACTGGGTATATACCCAGTTTGAAGTAAAAATAAATCATATATTGCATTCTTAAGTTAAAAGTAGCATAATGTTCAGAAACACATGAACTTTCTTTGCAAAAGGTACTTCTACTAAAACTTACAACACAGGGTCTGCTTTCTCAAGGACCCAGACATTATCACCCTATGAGCTGATTCATCAAAGGCCCAGGTATTTTCAATTGCACCTCAATATTAGACTCATTCATTAAATGCAGATATAGCAAAGTATTTTAAGGGATTGATGTGCTATGCAGAAACATTCAACAGGATGTTAAAGATGCCTTACCACCAAATATTTCTAACAATTTTTTCATTGTCATCCACTTGGAAATTCTTTATTTTGGAAGAGACATCAGAGAATAGCAGCTTCAAACATTGTTAAAAGGCCTTATTATTTATCATTATCTACAAATGCAGCAGTAACTCCAACATGTCAATCCACAGGTTTATGAAGTGAAAATGAGGTGGGTTACAAAAGTTGTTTTGAGATAATTATCATATAGTTGTAGAATCAATAGCAATGGTGGCATCAGTGTAAGGTTGAACAGCCAGTTTCTGAGCTGATGTTCTTGCAAGTGTAATTTTTAATAAGGTTGTGGTGGGCTTCTATCCAAGATGGTGGCTAAGCAGAGTCTATTTATGATAGTTTTTGTTATCAGGAATATGGGCCTAAGAACCCTCCTTCATGTTCATTCCTAGGTCCATTTGTCAGGGTGTTAACACAAGTGGCTCTGTTTTGATTCTTACAACTTTCACACTCTTTCTAACACTACAGGTGAGGAAGGTGAACCTGTGTTAGTTTGCACAACACAGGATAAATTCCACATCCACATTCCACTTTGACCAAACAAGCTCATACCTTTCACAACTATTGGCCACTTGCATTCCCAGGTGAGTCTCCACACAACACACTGGAGGGTTCTGAGCAACGGGAGAGAAGATAGTCCCATCAGCCTCTCCCACGTGGTTGCAGGAGCCACAGTCTGAGCCCCACCTGAGCTGCAGGGAAAGGGCTTGAGCCCTGGAATTTTTACAGCAGGAACCACATCTCCACTTTACAGGGATCAGGAACAGCAAAAGGAAAATCAACAACAAATACAACTAACAAGAAATAGAATGGGCTAGGAGCAAAAGGGGCCCCAGATCAGTGCTGATACTGATTTGCATGCTTTAGTGTCAGGAGAAGGGTCAGACGTAAATCCTGTGAGGTTCTACCTGACACTGACCCTGGCCCAGCCTCTCTTGGCTGAGGTTAGAATTCCTAAAGACTGTTCTCCTCAGGGAACCCCACTAAGGTTCCTGTCCTGAATGTGACTGGAGAAGACTCACTGGGTACCCTTCAGCTTCCACAGGGCTGTGACCCTGGCAACCACTGGCAGAGAGATTGTTCTACATTTAGCACCTGAGAGAAGGTTTCCTCCTGGTACAACAAAACTGTGATATTTCAGAGACTTACAGCTAAGCAGAGCATCATGAAATAAGGGAGGGTCTCTGAAGGAAACATCTAAATGGAGAAGCAGCCCCAGACCCTGGCAGTAAACCAGCCTCTCATCTCCACCTGCACCTGCTCTGGGGCTGGCCCTGTGCTTACTGCAACCTGCCCTTCCCCAGTGGTCGTGAGTCCCCTTGGTGGTCTTGAGTCTTCCTGGAGGTCCTAAGTGCCCTGACAGGTTTGTGTCAGGGCTCATAAGGACACCTCCTCACTGAGTCTTTCACAGTAATACTCAGCCGTGTCCTAGGTGGTCATGGAGCTGAGCTTCACAGAGAACTGGCTCTTGGTTGAGTCACTGTTGATGGGGACATGGACCTGGGTGGAGGGTGCATGATGTGTATTCCTTGATGATCCAGTCTAGTAACTGTGCCCCAGCCATTCCAGCCTGTTGCCCACGGGATGGTGGATTCATCTCAAATAATATCCATGGTAAAAAAAAGAATCCAGACACAGCACAGGCAGAGGGCAGTGTCTGAGGGCCTCATGGGTCCTGGACCTGACTCCTGCAGCTGCACCTGGGACAGGACACCTGGAATAACAGTGGACTTCCTAGTGAGTCACACAGAGAGCTCACTTGTCCCCATTACCCCATTTCTTATTTCTAGATTCTCACACAGAAAAACTGTCATCCATCGAAGACATGTAAAAAGTTGATCTTCTTGAGAGAGAGAATAATGCCTTTCATGGGGAAACTGTGCTCAAGCTGATGATAGAGCAGTATCTGGGGAGGAGAGAGGCTGACAACACCCAGCATTGTTGCTGGGGTATAAACAGAGTTTGAGGAAAAGTGTGCATGTGTCAAGAGCCCCTCACATATAAGGGGCAGGAACCACGGCGACCTTCTGTCTTGGAGCCTCTTCCCAGAGGTGAGTGTCCTGCTCAGACATCAGATAACACAAACTCATTCCTCCTCTGAAAGAGCATCCCTCTGCTGAGTGTCAAAGCATCCATTCTTACCCCAAGGACAGGAAGGCAAGTGATAGAAACAAGCAGTTTTGCTGGACAGAGAGGGAAGGGGTAGGAACCAGGGAAACACCTTGTGCCCAGGACCTACGCCCTAAAATCTCCTGTTTCTTTTGGGTTCCCAGCTGGAGATGATACATTGTGAACTTTCCTGGCAGTCGCGCTTCTGGAGGGAGGATTAGGGGAAATGCTGAGTAAGTTCTCCTCTTTGCTGAGCACGGAGTTTTCACCCTCTGTGGTAAGTGGTGTTATCCCTCCCCAGTTGAGTCACCCCTGCTCACCCTCTCCCTGCTGCTTCCCAGGTTTTGCTTCTTTGCTCACAGTCTTATCCTTTTCTAGGTTTCTTTTCCTGGAGCCCCCATAGTAGCCTTGAGTGACAACATCAGTCCAGTCCACAACATCTTATAAACTGTGATTCATTTCCTTTTGATTACCTATGAACACTTTATAAGAAAATAGATGGTATAGAGAAAACATTGCTTTCCTGTTGTACATAGAGCCCTGCTGTGTTCTCAACAGGCCCAACAGGCCTGAGGACACACACACACACACACACACATCAATTCCCACATCCCCTTTCAATTTCCAACAGGAAAAATCATGACTGTGTTGGAAGAATTGTTTGCATGGGGCATGGGAGCCACAATGAGGCATCATCCCTCTCTGAGGATACAGGGTCTCCATGTTCAAAGAGAGAGACTCCAGGTGTGCAGAAGCCCAGTGTTTCAGGACCTGGGAACAGAATCACGGGAGACCAAGTACAGCAGGACTGGTCAAGAGGACCAAAGAACTAATGGTAGACTTTGAGTGAGGAGAACAAGGTAAGGCCTGATCTTACGTCTTCTGCCCTTCATTCTGTTGATACGATGTGTCACATTGATTGATTTGCATAGGTTGAACCATCCTTGCATCTCTGGGATAAGCCACACTTGGTCATGATGAATGCTCTTTTGATATGTTATTGAATTTGGTTTGCTAAGAATTCCTTGAGGAGTTTTGCATCCATATTCATTAGTGATATTGAACTGTAGTTTTCTTTTTTTTTTGGTATGGCTTTATCTGGTTTTCATATAAGGGTAACATTGGCCTTGTACAGTAAGTTTGGAAGAATTCTTCCCTTCCTTATCTACTTTTTATCTATTTTTGGAATATTTTGAGTGAGATTAGGTATTATCTCTTCTTTAAATGTTTGTCATAATTGAGTGATGAAGTCATCAAGTCCCGGGTTTTTTCTTTGCTGGGAGACCTTTTATTATGGCTTCACTCTCACTACTTGTTACTGATCTGTTCAATTTCTTCCTGGCTCAATCTTGGTAGGTTGTATGTGTCTCTAAATTTATCCTTTTCTTCCAGATATTTCGATTTATTGGCATTTAGTTGCTCCTAGTAGCCTCTAATGATCCTTTGATTTTCTGCACTATTGGTTGTAATATTTCCAGTTTTCTTTCTGATTTTATTTACTTTGGTCTTCTTTGTTTTTTTTCTTGGTCTGGTTAAAGGTTTATAGATGTCTTTTATCTTTTTAAAAAACAACTTTTCATTTGATCGATCTTTGGTATTGTTTTATTTATTTCAATTTTATTTATTAACGTTCTGATCTTAACTTTTTTATTTTACTATGTTTGGATTTGATTTGCTCTTGCTTTTCTAGTTTTTTTTGAGAGATATTCCTAAGATGTTTATGTTATAATTGTCTACTTTTTTAACATAGGTGCTTATAGCTGTGAACTTTCCTCTTAGTACTATGTTCACTGTATTTCATAGGTGTTCATATGCTGTGTTTTCATTATCATTTCTTTCAATAAATTGTAAAATTTTCTTGTTTGTTTCTTTATTAACCCATTTTAGAGCATATAGTTCAGTTTGGAAGCACATTGTTTAATTAAGGAGGATACTGTTTAATTTCCATGTGTTTTCAAAATTCCTCTTATTATTTTAGTTTTCTTTCATTACTATCAGAGAAGGTACATGATATCTTTTTAATTAAAAATGACAAATTTTCTGGTCTACTATGTGGTCTATCCCTGAGAATGATCCATATGCTTAGGAAAAGATTGTGTACTCTGCAGCCATTGGATGAAGTGTTCCATCAATATCCATTATGTCCACTTGGTCTGTCATGCAGATTTAGTCTAAGATTTCATTGTTAATTTTCTGTCTGGAAGATCTGTCCAATGCTGAAAGTGGGGTGTTAAAGTCTCCAGCTATTATGGTATTGGGTCTATCTCTCTGTTTATCTCTAATTGTATTTGCTTGATATACCTGGGTGCTCCAGTGTTGGGTGCATATATATGTATGTGTATAACCCTATGTCAACAAAGGGTGCAGCCACGTTGTCCCTGTCACTGCCTCAGCTCAGCACAGCTGCCTCCTCCCTCAGGATTTCTGGTTCTCTCAGGATGTGGGTTTCCACACTGTGCCTCTTGCACGTGTCCTCAGCCTTTAGGCTGCTGATATGAAGATATGCCATGCTGACGGAGGTGTCCATGGAGAAGACAAACCGTCCTGTGAAGCCCTGGGCATACGTTAGGTTCCCAGTGTTGGTGTTGATCCATCCCATTTCCTCAAGCCCTTGTCCATGGGCCTGTCATACCCAGCTGATAGCATAGCTTGTGAAGGTGTATCCAGAAGCCTTGCAGGAAACCTTCAATGAGGCTCCAGGCTTCTTCACCTCAGGCCCAGACTGCACCAGCTGCACCTGTGAGTGGACACCTGTGGAGAGGAGACAGGAGTGCGTGAAGTCTCACTTGACTGGCCTGGTTTCTCTCTCAGCCCGGTGACTGGGAGGTCCCTTACCTGTTGCTGCTGCCACCAAGAAGAGGATCCTCCAGGTCCAGTACATGTTGAGGTGCTGTGGTCTAGGGGCTTCTTCTGAGGAGAGTTGTGGTTGTTGGATGATGCTCTCAAGGCACAAAGATATCTATATTTACCTCAGTTATTTGCATATTCATGAGCGATCCTATTTCATACCTGATACTGCATGAGAAAGATTGGAGAGTGACACATGTATTACCAACAGGAGGATGCTAAGGGTTCAAGCTATAATCCCCTTAGAGGTCATGTGCCTCCTGATACATCCCTAAGCTCTATGTTGACAAAGCTTCTCCCCCTGGAGAACAATTTTCCCTAGAACAGGACTTCACTGTGAACACACACTTGAATGGCTCAGAGGTAATTTAAAGTATTTCTAGGCTTTAATACATGAATGTCTTATTCGGGGGATGAGTGTGTTTCTCCAAAGTTGCACTTATTTATATAAAAGAAAAGCTTGCTTAACCTCCAGCTGCATACTATTAAGATATCTAGCAGGGTTAGAAATATCTAGTATAAAAGTGGTTCTCATTACAACATCAAATTTGATAAATGCTCACAATTGAATAGGATATTTATAGAATGTTCAGCAGTCTTTGTCAAATACTCATTTTAGATTTTTTTTAGAAGAATGACACAGATCTTGAGAGGAATCCCTCCCCAGCCTCCGGTGCACCTGCTCTGGGGGTGGAGCCTGTGATGGGTGGGCCTTGAGCGCCCCCTGCAGCCCAGCCCTTGCACTGCAGAGAGGCTCCTGTCTGGGCTCCCAAAGCATTTCCCTCCCCCCAGTATGAAGATGCTGTGTCCTGGCTCAGAATGCTCATTTAGTGACATGTGATACCATGTGCTGCTGACACCATCTCTTACAATACTAAACTGGCCGTAGGAAAGCCAGTGAACTCTGCAGAAAGACCCCAAGCAAGGATTCTATGAAACCACCAGGGAGCCCCTTCTGTGGAGCTCCGGAAGCAATGGATCAGTCCACACTCACAATGAGTCCAGGAGCTCCCAGGGGCTTTGGGAGAACACCTAATCTCTTGTCGGTTCCTGTGGATGAACATCTCATCAGATAATTTCTAAACCTACAAAATCACGGGGCTCAGAGCCCACTGCAAAACTCCTAATACACACACACACACACACACACACACACACACACACACACAGTGCCTAGATTCCCCACAGTAATGGGAGGGAAATGTGCCTTACTCTCTGTGTCTACCACATTGGTTGTGCACCCACAGTGCCCCTAGGCCTGGGGATATGCCCTTGTCAACAGAGTGACAGCAAACACTTTACACCTGGAGATGGGGCCCTGCACACACTGTGGCTTCCCTGTTCTCCCAGAACCTGGGATCCTGCAGATGCCCCCGAGAAGCATCCAGGCTCCCCCTGGGAGGGTCGGCCACAGCCCAGCCCCACCGAGTTGGCGCAGCCTGCACTGAGCCGCTGACCTGTGGGGAAAGTCACAGCAGACCCACAGCCCAGCCAGCCCCACTCCCAGAGGCACATCAAGGAAGGGGGCAGGACCTGGGGACCCTTGATGGGGATCTTTTCAGGAGCAAACACAGGAACTGATCAGACACAGGTGACCTGGGAAGGTGAGTAGCTGGTCAGGGTTTCTGAGGACCAGTGTCTGTGATGGGACCTGCCTGTCCCGTCTCATATGAGGTGCCTCTCCTGGGGATCCTGTCCTTGTCTTACTTGTGCAGGTCCACTCTGTGGGTGACTGACACACCTTTATAAACCTCAAATCTCAGGAACATAAGAGCTGTGCTTAAAAAGTCCCCAGAAAGAAGACACATTCCCATCCTGCTGCGATTGAAACAGCTCCACGCTGGGGTTGGGGAGGGCTCATGTATCGCTGATGGGATGCAGAGGATCAGCCACAGGTGAGCTGAGGAAGACTCAAGGCTACTTTCCAGCACTTCCCCTCAGAGTGAAATTTGTGTGTTTGCCCCAAATCCAGGCTGGTTCTGGGACTTGATTCTTCCAAACTTGCTGCTCTGGAAAGTGCAGGCCCTGGCTGTCACTGTCACCGCTGCTGGGACACTGTGGACACCAACCAGGGCAGGAGCCTGGGGATGGGGCTGAGGACAGACACTAGCTAGATGAACCCATTGAAAACTTTGGGATCTGCTGGGGCTCACACTTATGGAAGCACATACACTGGAGGGTTTGGAGGAGGAGGCAGCCTCTGTGAGTGACTCAGGAGCTGCTGCTGCTCTGTGGGTCACCTCGTTGGCAGGTAGCAGTGGGCAGGTGAGTGTGGTTCAGCCCTACAGGGACACCAGGCTTCCACATGCCCCTTCTCACCAGGAAGGAGAGTGGCTTTGTTCATCCTGGTTTCCCCAGCCGTCTGGTCATCCTCTCTTCCTGACCTCCTGCCCATGGCCCTTAGGCCTGTGACACATGGACAAAGGCACTTTCTACTCCAACTGTTGATTACCCAGGTCAGCTCCCTCTAGAAAAGCCATGATGTTTTCCTGGTTCTGTGTCCCTGGCTGAAACACAATGGACACACATGGACATACCAAAGTGTCAAAGTGGAGGACGGGAACCCTAGAAAATACCACTCAGAAAAGAGAAAGAAATTAGTCCGTGGATAACAAGAGGGTGCTGAGCATGTCTGGAGGCTGCAGGTCCCAGAAGCTTTAGATTCCTCAAAGTCCTCAGTTTTGTCTCCTCTGTTGTTTTGGGGCTTCCCTGAGTTCTCCTCTTCAGATAGACTCTGTGCCTTTTCACACGCTGACCTATAGGAGATCGTTAAGCCAGACAAGAAGCCTCAAACCTGGTATATATTCTGATCTAAATTTTCAAAAGATAAACTCCAGAGACATTCAAAGAAATGATTATAAAATATCAATATGTAGCAACTGGCTGAGAAAACCTTAAACTCATATTATTTTTATGAACCATATACATGCTAAAACTTTGTCCAATTTCTCCACTTTATCAGAGACTGCCTGCAGGATGAATTTTGATGCCACCTAATTTAGAGTAGGGGAAAACTTAAAATCCTCTATAGGTCTGAGTGCCACTAACAACAACAACAAAAAGTTTGGACCAGTATGAAATTTTAAGAGACACCACTATCATGGACTGGGCTAACAGGTGATGGCATTTGCCCTGAGCATATTCTGTGAAGAGTGGTTACCATGGCTTTTCCTTCTAATGAGCAGAAAGCAACAGAGAATGTACAAAGTGATAATAATAATGAAAGAGAAAAAAAGCAGTCCAAATTCTGTAACAAAGCAAAGCACTAGAAACTGACACAAATTAAAAGGAGGTATATTGATTACCTGGCAGAAAATTCAAAGGAAACCTTATAAATGTGTTCAATGAGCTCAGAGAAGAATGCAAAAACAACACGAGAATTTTATCAGAGACCAAAAATGGAGAGAGATGAGATACAATGATGTGTAGCTTAACAGTAGGGATACATCTGAGCAATGTGTCCTTAGGCAATTTGTCATCATGCGAGGATCATAGAGTGTGTTTACGTGAACCTACGTGAAATACCCTGCTACACCCAGGCTGTGTGGGATAGCATAGTGCTCCTAGATAACAAATCTGTACATCATGTAAGTGTAGTGAATACTGTGGGCAGTTGAATCACCATGGTAGGTATGTATATATATGAACATATCTAAGTATGGAAGAAATGCAGTGAAAATACAGTATTATAATTTAATGAGATCATTATCGTGTATGTGGCCTGTTGTTCACCCAAATATCATGATGTGCATGATTCTATTCAAGTTGCTGAAAATAAAACAAAACCAATAAAACTGTCAAGTAAAAATATTACACTAATTAAAGCTTTTCTTCAGTAATGTAGGATGTTTCAAACGTTTCTCCAAAAAGCAAAAAGTGGACAAGTGCATCACCACTAGACCTGCCTTACAGGAATGCCAAGGTCTCTGGTAGGTTCCGGGAAGAATGAAGTAGCTGCATCAGCTCCACTCTGTCATCTGCCATTTGATAGACTTGCATAGTTCTTTTTTTCTGTTCTGCTTTTTCCCTCTATAAACTCCTTCTCCCTTCCCTTCATAATTCTGTCTGTTAATGCAACTCATATTTAGCTGAAAATGCTGGGGTCATTGGAATAAATTCCCATCGTTCCTCCACCAAAGCTAATAAGCTGCCTCCAGGGGTGTCCATCTCCATTTTCTTTTCTTCCATTGCCATGGGGTAGTTTCCTTGATCCTACATGAGTCCAGCCCTCCTCTTCATGTACATGGGCCATTGAACCATCACGCACCCGGGAACAGCTTCAGGAAATGTACCCTGCCAGCTTCTCCATCAGCCTCCACCTACAGTGATCATTCCTTCAGCTTTCACTCATGCTGGAGGGCTTCCCACACAAAAGGGCCTTTCACACCCACTCCCAGTACAGTTCTGGGACCCAGTCTACCTCCCAGATACAGGTACATATCCTTCCCCTTTGTTGTTAGTTTTGTTTCATTTATTTAAAATTCACTTGGATATCACCGATGATGGGAATGACCAGCGTGCCCACCCCATTTTCTGTTCACCGCCTGAAAAAGCCACCTGTGAGGGTAATCACCCTAGTGTGCTGCACTGAGGGGCCACCTGGATATACACTGACATGAGATGTATGAGTTATTAGAGGAGGCCCTGGGTCACCAAGTGTCTGTGCTCTACAGGACACAGGTCTGTCCTGCAGAAGAGCCTGCATGACCTGAAATCATACGTGTGCATAACCAGTGGTCTCAGCAGGGCACCTGAGACCAGCTTCAGGCAATTCCTGTGTAACCTGCCCTGGGTGCCTGCAGAGGACAGGTGCATGACAAGGATGTAAGGGAATGATGTGGGTTAGGGGAATTGAAGCTCACTCTTTACTGAGGCTCTACTCGGCACCTGGACCTTATGGAAGACTAAGAACAGAATGAGTCCAGCCCCAAATAGCTCCTAGTTTAGGGTCAGCTTTAGTGGGATTTTAGAGAGTACAAGACACAGGGTGATGCTGGAGTGGTTTTCTGTGACCGTGTGTCACTTGGGGGGAAGCAGAAGGTGGGCAGGGATCAGGACTCCATCTGGCTGGTTCTCATTATCTACATGGATTCTCATAGTGGAAAGTGAGATACACGACCTAGAACATACCCCCAGGGCTGATCTCAGAGACTGCTGCTAAGTGAATGGCTCAGCAGAAATGTGGTGGGGTTTTCATCTTGGATCTATTTTTCTTTATGAAAATAATTTGAGAGATGTGTCCAGCCTCGGTGGGCTGCTACTCCATGCAGGAGACGGAGCTAACACAATTGAATCTCTGAATCTACTTGGCTTTCCATGAGAAGATACCACAGACTAGGCTATTTCAAATAACAAATATTAATTTTCTTATTGTTCTGGAGTCTTGACGTCCAAGATCTGGGTGCAGAAAGGGTAAGTTTTTTGAGAGGCCTCTTCCAGGCTTGCAAAGGGCCACCTTCTCATGCAGCGCATCCCCACATGGACTCTCCTCTGTGTGCATGTGGAGAGAGAGGCCTCTGATGTCTTCCACTTCTCATAAGGACAAGAGTCCTACTGGATTAGGGTCCCACATTTATGGCCACAGTTAACTTATTTGCCCTCTTAAAATCCCTCTGTCCAATACAGAGCCACTGGGATTGGGGTTTCATCACATGAATTTAAGAGAAAGACACGATGCAGTAGATGACGCCAATCAAGGGATAGTGAGAAGCCTTAGAATATTTTGCTTGTCAAGAAGGTAAAATGGGCCTTGTGGGAATTTGTTGAAAAAAGGGTGCCAGTGACTGTTAAAACCTGCAGCAAGGATGTGAGGAAGTAGAACCACAGATAATAAAGAAAGAGGAGTCCTGGGGACAGCTGAGGTGCTGGGGAGGAGGGAGAGCACTGAGCTGATGAGGAAGCCCCGCCCTCCCTGCACCTGCTCCTGACCCGGCCTCCTGCTCTGTGGGCCCCGCGCGCCCCCTGCTCGTCCTGAGCAGCACCTGCGCCGGCTCCTCCGCCTCCCTGCAGGGAGGTTTGTGTCTGGGCTCACACTCACCTCCCCTCACTGTGTTTCTCGCACAGTAATACACGGCCGTGTCCACGGCGGTCACAGAGCTCAGCTTCAGGGAGAACTGGTTCTTGGACGTGTCTACTGACATGGTGACTCGACTCTTGAGGGACGGGTTGTAGTAGGTGCTCCCACTATAATAGATGTACCCAATCCACTCCAGTCCCTTCCCTGGGGGCTGCCGGATCCAGCCCCACCAGTTACTACTGCTGATGGAGTAACCAGAGACAGCGCAGGTGAGGGACAGGGTGTCCGAAGGCTTCACCAGTCCTGGGCCCGACTCCTGCAGCTGTACCTGGGACAGGACCCCTGTGAACAGAGAGACCCACAGTGAGCCCTGGGCTCAGAGGCACCTCCCATATCTCCATGTCTGCAGCCTTGAGACACTCACATCTGGGAGCTGCCACCAGCAGGAGGAAGAACCACAGGTGTTTCATGTTCTTGCACAGGAGGTCCAGGACTCTCAGAAAGTATTTCCCATGTGAGCAGGACCCTGAATTTAAGGAAATGTGTGATGGTTTCCCTTGGGTGCCTAAGTGAGATTTGCATGTGGGTGGTGCCTCTGTATGGAGAGGTGAAAAGGGATGAGGGAGGCCCCAGTCTTTTAGGCTCTCCCTGGAAGGAGGATGCTGGTTGTGCCCTCTGAGAATTCAGTTATCTTCCTGGGGCCTCAACTCACTATGTCCTGGCTCCTCTTTTCCCAGGTGAGGAAACAGATTGCAACAGCAGCTTAATGTAACAATCATGTGAGTTCAGACACACCAGGATTCACTTAACGTTATTTGTAGTTCAGAACCTCTATCAGGTTTAGAGGGAATCGCTCTGTGCCAGGGAGTGGGTCTTAAATAGCAAAACGGCCTCAGAAAACCCAACATAATCTATAGCGAGACCTCAGCATGGCAAGCAAGGAATCCCTAAAGCCACCAGGGAGCTCCGGATGCACTGATACGGCCCAGACACATGGCGAGTCCAGGAACTGATGGGGACTTTGGGGGAGCCTCTTTTATTATTTTTTAGGATTCTGTGGTTGAAGGTCACAACACTGGGCCTGACTGCTTCCTGAACCAAGCCCAGCACAATATGGTTCACCCCAGTGACATTTTCAGATCTTTCTTCCTGTAATGAAAGCACGGTGTGATGTGTATGCACTATTGTGTTTACCTAATGAATGTAAAGAGAAGCACATTTCATGCAGCTGTATTTTCATAAATGTCAGTCATTCATCATGTTAGTGTCTATTTTTCCATAAATCTGTACAGAACAAATTATTCATTCATTGATTTGTAATAGTCTTATTGAGACATTATTACTATACATTAAATATTGCAAAAAGTGTGCGGTTTAATAAGTACTCAAGCCAAGCCTGCTGGCAAACAACGGTAGTTCCAGCTACTTAGATGGCAGATGCAGGAGTATTGTTGGAGACCAGAAGTTGGAGGCTACATTGAACTATGATCCCACCACTACACTCCAGCCTGGGTCGCAGAGTAGGACCACATCTCTTCAGAAAAAAACAAACAAACAAACAAAACAAAATGTTATTCCACTCGTGCTCACCTGTGCATCCCCAAAAGCCATCCAAATAATGAATAAACAAATTACACTTAAAAGTTTCCTTGTGTTCCTCTACAATTCCTCCTTCCCAATTATTTTCTTCCTCCACCATATTCTGAGTCAGTCCTTCACATTTAATACCTTAGTTTTGAGTTTCAAGAATTTATTATACAGGAATTACATAGTATGTGTTTTATTTGTGTGGCTTCTCGCACATAACTACTTATGATGCACACATGTTGAGCATCAACAATGTATTGATTCTAATGATGGATGTTATTACCATAAATTAGCATGCCATTACTGTTTATCTATGTATCTTCTTGATATTTGTACCATTTCTAGTTGCTTAGTATTACACAGAGGTGCTTCTCAGCTTGGAGATGTAAGCACCCCATAAAAATATGTTACTATTCTTATAACAAATACTAAACTTACTGATCTGCAAATTAGCATATATACATCAAATTTTTGATGTTATAGGACAAACAATATATCTGAAATCTGAACAGACATAAAGACTTGCAGGGAAATAAACAGGAGCAGATGATAATCTTTTCTGGGACAGAGGCTGCCAAATGTCATTTAAGTTAGCACACGATTAAAGTAGACATATTCATTGGGTGGTTTCAATTTGAGTGTGATAGAGAAGTTATTGTTTAAATTCTCAGAGTGTATGCAGTTGAGGAATTCCTCCTGCTATTGAAGGCTTTTTCTTCAGTACTGGGGATACATCACAAAATGCTCCACCCTCTACCCCTTGGGATGGTGCTGTCTGGGAAAGCAAAACAGCAACTATAGGTGAAGTGCATCCAGACACACCTCCCCATCAGCACTACATTGCAAGAGAAATTATCTGCAGAGGTAAAGCCATCAAAACCACTGTTCTACAGACACTGGAGAAACCAATAAGAACTGGGAGGGGAGAGAGGAATGCACCAAGTCCCTGTCCAGGCCCACCTCCCATCTTCCCTCAGGAGTAACAGCCTTATTCAAAAGGAAAAGGCAGAAACTGAAGAAATCAGTGGGAAGACATAGTGGCTGCTGAAGGAATATATGAATAAAAACGAAGAGGCCAGGTGTGGTGCCTCACGCCTGTAATTCCAGCACTTTGGGAGGCTGAGGTGGAAGGATCACCTGAGGTAGGGAGTTTGAGACCAGCCTGACCAACATGGAGAAACGTCATCTCTACTAAAAATACAAAATTAGCGGGGCATGGTGTCACATGCCTGTGATCCCAGCTACTCTGGAGGCTGAGGTAGGAGAATCACCTGAACCTGGGAGGGGGAGATTGCAGTGAGCTGAGATGGCGCCATTGCACTCCGGTCTGGGCAAGAAGAGGGAAACTCCACCTAAAAAAAAAAAAAAAAAGAATGTAAAGAACCGGCCAAGTGTAGATGAAGGGCCCTGGAAACCTAGCTACTTGCTAGTCAGGAGGTTGAGGTGGGAGGATTCTATGAGCCAGGAATTTAAAATCACCGTGAGCTATGTTATGATCACACCACTGCAGTCCAACCTGCACAAGAGAGTGAGACTCCGTCTCAAAAAAAAATTAATTAATTAAGAATTTTACACAATTGTAAAGCTACTCAAATAGAGGAAGTTAAACTGCGCATCCTCACATATCATCAGGCACTTCTGATATTTTGAAGAAGACAGGTGACCTAAGACCTTCAGAATAAGCTGATGATCTCAAATCATGAGAAGCTTCCACACAAGACATTGGACCAGAATCCTCCTCCATATCCTACTCATTATTCTTTGCTTATAAACAGTCTTCTCATTTTCTGCAGACCTGGCTGTTGTCCACCCATATTGGAGTCTTGTCTCTTTTCTTACTCATCATTTGTATACTTGCTATTTAGAGTAAGTCATCAGACTCTGTGTTTAGGCCTGACTGCTGATAACTTCAGGCTCATTCCTCCATCATCTCTTTTTTTAAGCATACAAGGTAAATCTAGTTAGAAATCACAGGAGCTCCCTCATTTGATGCCAATTTGGCCTTGAAACCCCACAAAACCCTTCCTGCAAGTAGGATGCTCTGCCCCGCTCCCCACCAAACCATGATAACAACCCTGAGCCAGTCTCCTTCCCTGCCCTATCAAGCCACTTTGGACCTTAATGAGAGACCTGCCCTGCTCTCAGCAGACACCTTAAGGATGCAGGTAACTATCCTTTCCATACTCACTTGGTGTGAGTGTGTGGCATAATCAGACTCAACATCCACAGAAAATTTTAGTTGAGATCTCTTGGCATTGGCATGGTGTCGGCTACAATGGATGCTGGGAGCTTGGTGTCACGGCTCCTTCCAAAGGACATGCCTGCTCCCTGAGTTAACTCCCAGACGCAGTTGGACATGCCTCCTGGGGTCTGAGAAGCTCCTTTCATGTACTGAAATCCTGTCATTATGTTTTTGTATTCTAGTGTCTCCCTAAAAGTACAGTGAGACCCAGGGTCCATTCATGTGTGTATTCAGGACTCTCTGATTTTTATGTATTTTATTCATCTCTCTCTACTACCTTTTCTACCAAACTAGACATTTAAAAAATTGCAATATTTTAATGAGGTGAAATTAGCAAATAAGAATCTTTACATAAAGTGTACAATTTTACAAATATTGACATAATCCTCACTTTTACTAACAGAGAAAAAAATCAATTATCCTAGAAATTTCCTTTTGTTCTCCTGTAGTTTCTCCTTTCTATACCTTCTCTTCTTGTACCATGTCCCCAGTCAACTACAGATCTTTTTATGTAACTTTAAGTTCATTTTTACTTTATAGAAATTATAGAAGTGGAATCGTATGTATGCACTTTTATTTGTCTGACTTATTTTACTTATTCAAGTACTTGCTATTTTAAGCATGGTGTTGGGTGTATCCAGCATTACTTGATTGTAGCAGTGGGTATGATTCCAGTAAGTGAATTTTCCACAATTTGTTTACCAGTTAAGCTGCTGAATAACAGTTGGATCGCTTTTGGTCTCTGGGTATAATAAACAAAGATGCTACTTAGCTTAGAGAAGTGACAAGCTGAGAAAAACATGGTTCTTATTTTTACATAACATGAATAGCAGGCAAAGCAGAAAAGCTGCACACTAATCAATTTGCTTCAATACATCACATAATTAAAGTTGGGAAGCTCTGTGTGTGTGTCAGTTCACGTGTTTTTGTGTGACAGAAGAGAGAAGGCAGGAGGAGAGACCATGCCAAAAGGAGACCCTACCTGTTTTGACCATAATGTGTGAGGTACTCAAGTAAATACAGGGACTTAGTGCTTGATGGACAAGGTCCACATAAGATGGAGAAGACAACTGGATGCACCTCCATATGGGTACATATTAGTATTTACATAAATGCCATTTTCTAATCATATCAACACTCAGACACATTAGAAGAGATGTAGTGGAGGGTGTCTGGTGGTGAAATATGATGGTGAGAACAACCCACATCTACAGCCCCTTTTCTGCCCTGTTGCACTTGCCCTGATGCGAAGCCTTGATCCTGCTCATCCTGACCCCTAACAATCATCCTAAGCCCCCATACTGCCCCGAATGCCCCCTGCTGCTCCTATTCACCCCTGCAGGGAGGGTTGTGTCTAGGCTCACAATGAAGGCCCTTCATTGCGTCTTTTGCTTAAAAATGCGTAGTTGTGTGTTCACTGGGCACAGAGCTCAGCTGTAAGAACTGTTTCTTGGATCTGGATATGGACTCTTGAGCAGTGGGTTGTAATTTGTGCTCCCTTCACAACCCATGCACCTGATCCACTCCTGTCCATCTTCTAGGGGCAAGCAGATACAATTCTAGCAGGACACACTGGTTATGATGGGGAATCCAGAGACAGTGCAGGTGAGGGAGAGGGTCTGCAAGGACGTCTCAAGCCAGAAGTGTGCTGAGAAACATAGTTGTTGATGTTAACAGGTTCTGGGCAACACAGTGAAATTCCCAAAACCACACATTTTTATGAGAATAAAGAGCTCACTTTGTCCAATTTGTGAGTCTCCTAGAACAATTCAGTAGATTTCGAGGTTAGGTTAAAAAGTATTATCACATGTTCCTTTCCTCAAACTTGCAACCAAATAAAAAAGAGAAACTGCCGTTAGAAAAATGAACCTTGAATTGTTACCATGGTGTGTGATAACGATGATTTTTAGAATATGATTGACCTGTGATAACCTGAAGACTGTCCTAATTCCGAGCCACAATTAGACCTGAGCAGCAATCACAGGGAGTGAAACACCTGACTCAGTGAAGCTGCACCTGGGGGTCTCCGCAGGCCCTGAGTGGTACAGGAACAGCTCCTCCCTCAGACTCAGTCTAAGGAGAACTTCTGCTCTTTATCTGGGGAGGTGAGGGTGAGTGCGTGGAAAGTACCAAACTTGCTCTAATCAAGATCTCTGCATGTGGGGAGAACCAAAGTATACGAGAAACAACTGGTTTCAGTTTAGATCGAACAGTTTCTCATGAGAAGGGCAGTACCATGTCTGGATCCTGCACAGAATTCAGAAACAATGAACTTGGGGTAAAGTTGAAAATTATAATTGTTTGCAGATTGTGTTATTAATTATCTATGTCATCTGAGAAAATGAATTAAATCACATGGTTTTCATATAAAAATTGACAAAGCGTGCTGGCCCTGAGAATGCACCTCAAATCCCTCCAATATCCAGGAGCCCAATAGACCAGGCAGCCAGCTGCTGCACTGCACTCTAACACCCATCAACTGTGTGTGCCAAAGACACCCATCCTGGGAGCTCCTCCCAGACAATGGCTGTGCACAGTGGAGAGATTGAGGCATGGCTGCTGCTGGGACACATGGGAGATCCCTGATGGACAACTGTGCTCAGCGAGGCACCAATGGCCTTGCTGGACTTAGCTTGGACCACGGGGTCATCAGGGAAGCTCCATCAAACTCCCACCCTTCTCCAGCACTAGTTGTGGGTCTGGCATTGGGGGTGGCAGTGTCTACAGACACACCCGGCTCCTATGCATTTTTATGCCTCCAATACTTACATCTGTTTTTAGGACATATGAGAATATTTCCTCTTTCAAATTAGTTTTCTAATCCAGCGACCTCATGGTGGGCACAAAATATAAATGTACAGAGGCTCAGAGGGGAAATATTAGAAGCAGAGGAAACCACAGATCCTGAAGGAAAGCAGCCCTTACCCTCCCTCCATCTGCACCTGCCTTGGGGCTGCACCTGTTTTGTGAGTGCTGAGTGTCCCCTTTGGCCCAGACTCCTTTCTTCTTTTTGCAGGAAATTTTGTGTCTGGACTCACACCGATGTTTCCTCACTTGGAACCTTATGTACAGCCATACACAGCCATGTCCTCAGTTCTCTGACTGTTCATTTGCAGATACAGAGAGTTCTTAGCATTGTCTTTGGAGATGGAGAATCTGCCCTTCACAGAGTCTGCATGGTGTATCTGACTTCCATCATCTTTTATATCTATTACTCACTCCAGCCCCTTGCCTGCAGACTGGTGAACTGGGCTCATTCAGAAGCTACTGAAGGCGAATCTAGAGGCTACACAGGAGAGTCTCAGGAACTTCCCAGGTTGTCTCAGGTCCTCTGTGGGCTCTATCAGCTCCACCTCACACTGAACACCTGAAAATACAAACAAATCCTGGTCAGAAACTGGCAAACATATCCACTGTTTCTCTCACTCATATCCACTCACTCTCACTCACTCTAGTTCCCTATGAGTTACCTTTTAAAATACCAACAAGAAAAATTCAGCTTAATTCACACCCCATAGTGAGTTCTCTGTGTTCAGTCCTGATTACCAAATGGAAACCCCTGGGAATCCCAGGGCTGTGGCTCTTCTCCCAGAGCTGCAGGGTCAGGTCTGGGCTTGTTTTCACCAGGAGAGGGGCCCTCCCTCCTCCTCTATAGCAAGCTCCAGTGTGGGATGCCTGAGAAGAAGGCAGTGCCCAAAGCAGACGTCAGACTCCAGGAGGAGTTTAGTGGCAATGGTAGCATTTGGAAAAATATTACTTATAATGTGACTGTGCCATAAAACTCATTTAGCAATTATGATTTTTGTTTTTACACATGTGTACAAATACAAATATAACTGCATTAAGCAAACTGTAAGAGATATAAAGAAATAGAAAACAATACAAAAATAACACAAGACCTTAATACCTCATGACCATAATGTATAGCAAATCCGGAAAGAAAATTCCTAATGTGCCTCTGAACTTGAACAACACTATTGAACAAATTTATCTGAATGATATTTACAGAACCTTCCAACCAAGAGTCACGTAATACACATCCTTCTCAAGAACACATTGAACATTCTCCATGATGGGTTATATGTCACATCATAAAATGAACCTTAACATTTAAAGAAGTAATGCCAGCCCTTCTGTAACTCTTTCAAAAATTGGTGAGGAGTCCACCTTCCAAACTCTTTATATATATATAGTAAATAAACTTTATGTTTCTCAGAGATGACACTGTAAACAGTCACAGATTTGCATACAATACAATTATGTATTGGCTATTTACAATTTACAGTAGTGGTTCTTCCTCTGAGAAATATAAGTACAAAAGCTAAGTAAACAATGAGGTACTGCCATTTGGGATTTATTATGTGTCATAGCTTAAAGAACTGGCCTTTAGCAAATATTAAACAAATCAACCTGAATAAAATAGTCAATTAAATGATTTATTTTTTTCTAATTTATTAGAAAAAATTCCACCAGGTTTCACCTCAAAATGTATTGCATACGTCTAAAAACAAACTTAAAAATAAATAGGAAAGGTAAGCAGTTCTTCAAAAAGAATGGAAGAGGCCGGGCGCGGTGGCTCACGCCTGTAATCCCAGCACTTTGGGAGGCCGAGGCGGGCGGATCACGAGGTCAGGAGATCGAGACCATCCCGGCTAAAACGGTGAAACCCCGTCTCTACTAAAAATACAAAAAATTAGCCGGGCGTAGTGGCGGGCGCCTGTAGTCCCAGCTACTTGGGAGGCTGAGGCAGGAGAATGGCGTGAACCCGGGAGGCGGAGCTTGCAGTGAGCCGAGATCCCGCCACTGCACTCCAGCCTGGGCGACAGAGCGAGACTCCGTCTCAAAAAAAAAAAAAAAAAAAAAAAAAAAAAAAAAAAAAAAAGAATGGAAGAAAGGAATAGAATGAAAGCTCATAAACCAGGTTAAGTCATTCTGAATATCTTTTAAACAACATAAAATTCTTCCCAACAGAAAAGTGAAGAAAAAACTATCACCATTTCTCCACTGATAAAATCTATTTTAAAGGTAGTCTGCCATATATCTTCTAAACTCTTTCTATGAGGCTACCATGATAGTATTACCAGTAATAGACAAAGGCACCACAATAAAAGAAAACTACAGACCAATATCATTAGTAGACATGAATTAATCCCCAACAATAGTAAACTAAGCTCCAAAGTGTTTTAGAAGACATACACCATGACCAACTCAAATTTCTTCCTGAGATGCATACTTGATTCAACATTCTCAAATCAACCAATTTGGTACACCACATTAAAAAACTAAAGAAAAAATACCTCAGTAACATTTCATCAGACACAGAAAAAGACTTTGAAAAAAATCAGTTTCATTATAAAAACTATGAACAAAGTAGGAAGACAAGAAAACAACTTGAACATAATAAAAGCCGTTAAGAAAGGCCACAGCTATTATTACACTCAATAGTAAAAGGTTAGAATATTTTGGTCCAATATCTGTAACAAGGCAAGAAGAAAGCTTTAGGCATTTCACTTCCAGGCCTTAACATTTGTTAAAAACATAGAAAGTTTTGGCATAAATACCTATACAGAGCTTAGATATAAACCCACATATTGATGACGAGCTGATTTTTAGCATGAGAACCATCAATATAACATGGCTAAATTGTAGTGTCTTCCAAAGAGGGTGGTATGAAAACTGGATTTTCCCATGAAAAGAATTAAGAATTTTAGGTTAGAATAAACACAAAAATTCACTCCAAATGCCTCAAATATCTAACTTTAATACCTGTAATTGTAAAACTCTCAACCCTCAAAAAATTAGCAATCTTTTTCTGGATTTTACATTCAAATCACCTACAAAAAAAAAGCAGAATTGAACAAGTGGGAATAGATTATGAAAAAGATTCTGCAAAGCAACCAAGTAACTACAACTTACAGAATTGGATAATATGCCATATATCTCAAAAAGTTTTAATGTCCAAATGGAAAAGAAACTTCTACAACTCAACAGCAAAAAGAAAAATAGCCTCATTTTTAATAATCAGTTTTACACCTTTAACACTGTAAGAACCTAGAACTCAGGTTAATGTTTTTCTCCATGGGCAACGGTCCGTCTTTGGGTCTACTTAGCTGGACAATACTGTGTATTGATTTGACAAAACACTAATCCAGGTGGTGGTGTGAATTTTTAACAGACGTTATTGAAACTGGAATCGGTTGACTCTATGTTAGGTAGATTATCATTGATAACCTGCTTGGCCCTGATTCCATCAGAGCAGAACTGGAGAAGGTAAAACTCCACGGTGATTAAGCAGCTTCAGCTCTTTCTGAGACTTCCAGCCTGCACTTACTGATGGCCGGCCCTGAGGATATTGGATGTTCCAGCCATCTCCCAAAATTGTCATCCCCTGCATCTCACAGGGAAAACATCTTCCTTTTGCAAAAAGCAGGAAAAACAAATGGAAAAAGGAGAAAAACGACGAAAAAATAAAGTAAATGGATTAGGAACAAAAGAAGCACCAGATCGGTGCTGATACTGATTTGCATACTTTCGTGTCAGGAGAAGGATCAGACGTGAAATCTGTGAGGTTCTACATGACGCTGACCCTGGTTCAGCCTCTCTATTGTCTGTGACCAGGATCCATAAAGACTGTTCCAGTCAGGGAATCTCACGGAGGTCCCTGTCCTGGGTCTGATTGGAGAAGACTCACCAGGAAGCCCTGAGGTTACTCAGGACTCTGATCCTTGTGACCATGGTTGAGGAATTTTCATCCGTGTCAGCGTCAATCTGCATTTTGTGCCAGGGAGAAAAGGTCCTCATATGCATAGAGAAGACATTGTTAGGCACAGTTTTCTAAATTTAAGAGGTTCCCTGGGGAACTGTCAGAAGAAGACAAAGTCCCACATCCTGACAGGAAACAGCCTCCATCTGCACCTGCCTCCAGGGCTGACTCTGATCAGTGGCTCCTGAGCGCCCCCTGCCGCTGATTTCCCGCCAGCGTTCCTGCAGGGAGGTTTGTGTCTGGGCGCACAATGACTTCCCCTCACTGTGTCTTTCGCACAGTAATACACAGCCGTGTCCTCAGCTCTCAGGCTGTTCATTTGCAGATACAGCGTGTTCTTGGAATTGTCTCTGGAGATGGTGAATCGGCCCTTCACGGAGTCTGCATAGTATTTATTACTTCCATCATATGATATAACTGCCACCCACTCCAGCCCCTTGCCTGGAGCCTGGCGGACCCAGTGCATGCCATAGCTACTGAAGGTGAATCCAGAGGCTGCACAGGAGAGTCTCAGGGACCTCCCAGGCTGGACCACGCCTCCCCCAGACTCCACCAGCTGCACCTGACACTGGACACCTGCAAACAGAAGGACACCGTTATCAGAAAATGCCACACAAATCCAGTTTTTCTCACTCATGTTCACTCACACTCAGTCTCTCTATTTCTCCATGAATCACCTCTTAAAAGAGCAACGAGGAAAACCCAGCTCAGCCCAAACTCCATGGTGAGTCCTCTGTGTTCAGTGCTGATCACCGAATGGAAACACCGCCGACTTCTAGTGCTGGGCTCCTCTCCCAGAGCTGCAGGGTCAGGGCTGGGCTGGTTTTCATCAGTAGAGGGAGGGCCCTATTTGCATGTCCCCCACTATATAGCAAGCTCTGGGTGGGACATCTGAGGAGAGGCTGGGCTCAGGGCAGATGAAGTGTCCTGGGGGAGACTGGTAGTAATTCCATCATTCAGGAAAATATAGTTATATCTTATATGCTTGTGCCTTGATTAACACTTAGCTCTCATAACTTTCTTTTATTCTTACATATTTACACAATATATTTAATGCAGGCTTCAATGTTATATTTTACAGGAGATAATTTACATAGAGAACACAGCAGTTGTGCAGTGTGTCTAAGATAACACATCTAAAAATTTAGTCCTATTACCTGGGCCTGTGCTCTAACCTCTGGAGGAGGCAGCTCCCCTGAGACAACTCCAGGGCAGCATGGCCCATGCCTAGTGAAGTCTGCAGGATTCCCCATCTGTTATGACAACTTTCTGTTATTTACCTAAATACGCAGAGTGAACCACGGTTCATGTGTATGTTTTTGGAAGTCAGTTATATTCCTTGTGTTAATATCGATCTATTTATTGCTGCAATTCAGTCAAATATTATCTCATCAGTTTCTTTATTGCTTTATTCGAGTGTAATTAATAAATAATTCAAATTTATGGTGAATGATTTGAAAAATGTAGACCTATGTTTGCAACCATTTACTCAGCACTTCAATCAAGGTTTGAATAAATTAATCCCTAAATCTTTCTCTTATTCCTCTGAAATTTAACTCACATCCCCATTACTCCCAATAGCATATTCTCAGAAACATTTAAATCTTCTCCATGTTAATTTATAATAGTGGCATCTTCTAAAATTTCTACAAATGTATCATATAAAATTTACTCTTCATTCCTTAGTTTCTTTCACTCAGCACAATTCTTTGAGAATTTAGCCATGTTTTTTTCAAT
This sequence comes from Homo sapiens, assembly GCF_000001405.40. Classification (NCBI taxonomy): domain Eukaryota; kingdom Metazoa; phylum Chordata; class Mammalia; order Primates; family Hominidae; genus Homo; species Homo sapiens. The sequence continues at coordinate 106,336,548 of NC_000014.9, forward strand.
GAGTGAGGCATGACTTGATTTCAAGCTGCATTAGATTCCAGCACAGAAATATATGCCAAACTATTTAACTGTTCACCTGTAACGAAATGTGATTGTTCTCTCAGTTAATGGATTTGATAGAGAAAAGCAGCTACTCGGCATGGGAATGTAAAAATGTGTAAACTATGAGCTTATTCTGACCTCATTAACAACAAAGCTGAACAACTACAAATAAAAAAAAGAAAACCTTCAACATATCTGTGTTGATGTCAGAGAGAAAACAAACAATACACAAAACCTGAAATCTGAGGAGAGAGGCGGCTGCAGAGAGAAGCAGGACCCATGTATTAGTGTACCTGGGGCAGATGCCACTGGATGGCATTTAAGATCGGAACAGGCTGACTTGGACATATTCAGTGAGTTGCGTGAGGATGCACGTGCTCATAGTGTTAGACTGTGAAGCTCCTGGTGCTTGCAGGCTTTTCCTACAGAATTATTATTAATATTCTTGCTGCACTTTATGCAAATAATCAGGCCAAGTTTAAGACTAAAGTTTATTTTGCAAACAACTCAGTCTTATCATTATTTGCTGCTGACAAAAACCAAAACTGGAAAGAGAAACATTGTATTTCAAAACATATCATACACTTGTCTTTAAATTCTAATCTCTTCAGTTGTTTAAGTATTTGCCTGCATTTTAGACTAACTCTGCTTATTCCTGAGCGCCAATCAATGATCTCTGGCTACAGCCCAGAAGAAACAAAAAGCGATGGGGAATATAAAAAATCTGGATCAATATTTTAATTCTAAGCAATTATCCTTTAAATCATGCCAGGTGATGGGAATGAATAGGGTGCCCCTAACCTGGAGGTTTCTTTGTTTGGGAAAATAAATCCCAGGGAGCTGACAAAAGCCAAGCCCCATGCGCCCAAACCTTAGCAGGCATAACTACAGCTGCAGTTATCTAGGAATGTCAGCAGCCTTGGAATTTTCTTTCAAGCTGTCCTTGCCACCTTGTTTGGTTTTCATACATGTCTTCTAATAACCAGATTTGCCTCTTCTCATTTTCAGACCATCAAACTCCAAATGGTCATGCAACTGAAGCCTGGGATAATGGCTCCCTTTTCCTGGGGTCCCTTAGACCTCCAAGAGAGATCTTCCCCAAACAGCATCCCTCCTCAGCTGGAAGCAGTTAAGACTTGTCTTTGTCTCTATTCTAATGACAGTTAGATGTACTTCTTCAAAGAGGAAAATGCTAGAGGTAGAAGGCAGAGAACTCTCCTAGGCAGGTAGGGAAGAGTCCCCATAGAATCTCCAACGCCCCAGGGTCATAGTGCACAGGGAGTTGCCTAGACATGCCTGCAGTGAAAATTGTTAATGTTGTCTTTATCACTCTCGGAATAAATAGCCACACATAATAATCTAGCTGCATGAAGATAAAAATTAACTAGTTTGAAATTAGAACAATTCCCTATTCACAATAGCAAAGACTTGGAACCAACCCAAATGTCCAACAATGATACACTGGATTAAGAAAATGTGGCACATATGCACCATGGAATCCTATGCAGCCATAAAAAATGATGAGTTCATGTCCTTTGTAGGGACATGGATGAAGCTGGAAACCATCATTCTCAGCAAACTATCGCAAGGACAAAAAACCAAACACCACATGTTCTCAGTCCTAGGTGGGAATTGAACAATGAGAACACATGGACACAGGAAGGGGAACATCACACACCGGGGCCTGTTGTGGGGTGAGGGGAGGGGGGAGGGATAGCATTAGGAGATATACCTAATATTAAATGACGAGTTAATGGGTGCAGCACACCAACATGGCACATGTATACATATCTAACTAACCTGCACATTGTGCACATGTACCCTAAAACTTAAAGTTAAAAAAAAAAACAACCAGAGAAGTGGGAAAAAAAAAGAAATTAGAACAATTACCAATAAAATCAAAGTTAGCATGTGGTTTATAATATTAATAGACAAGAGACATGGCTGAATGCTAAGAATGTGTTCACATCTACTTTATGTCATGATCAGGAAAATATTTTATATATTCTTTAGGTAAGAGTCCCATTGAGAGGATTAACATTGATGTATAATACCTCAATAATAAAAGTAAAGGTTATTAACTAGTAATTTCTATTAAGAACACAAACTTTCATTTAGGATATATTCTTCTATGTGTTAGGAAATCAACTCAGAAGGCAGGAAACATTGAACTTATTAGAGATGTTTAATAAATTAAAAATGAGAATTAAGTACGTATGCTTTTAGAGGGTGCACAACTTTGGAATTTTTTGTGTCGTTTTGTTTGAGACGGAGTCTCGCTGTGTCGCCCAGGCTGAAGTGCAGTGGCACAATCTCGGCTCACTGCGACCCCCGCCTCCAGGGTTCAAGCAATCCTCTCACTTCAGCCTCTCAAGTAGCTGGGATTACGAGTGTACACCACCATGCCCGGCGAATTTTTGTATTTTTAGTAGAAATGAGGTTTCACCATACTGACCAGGCTGGTCTCAAACTCCCAACCTCGAGGGGTCCACCCACCTCGGCCTCCCAAAGTGCTGGGTTTACAGGCATGAGCCACAGCGCCCAGCCTGGAATATTTTTAGAAACAGAGAGGGTTCTTACGTCTTCTGGAAATCCTATTGAGATGGACAACAAGGGAAGAAACCCTCAGATGAATTTCTACCTACTAGAGGGCTGATTAATATCATTTTAAAGCAAATGCTAACACACAAAAAGCTAACATGAAGCTAAAAAAATATAGTGATTCAATACAGCAACCATTCTAGCTCAATCTAGTTTAAAATATTATCTAACCATGGAGGGCACTGTCATTGTTCACAGAAGACAGAGTCAATCCCACTCACAACCTTCTGGGAATGTTTAAAAAATGGCATCCCTACATAAAAATTATCAATTTTAATAAAATGTGAACTTCCTTGGCCAAGGGTTCTCCCACTAGCACTATGGAATCATGGTTCACTCCTCAGGGTCCATCAGTTATTACCCTATGACTTGGTAGCTAAAAGGCCCATACGTTTATAGATTTTACACCAAGGGATCATCTTTGTTCTATTGCATGCATGTGTTACAAAATACGGAAAGGGATTCCTATGTGATATCCACTCCAATCATGAAGAGTTAAAACTGCCTTTTTACTACATCTTTTCCGCAGTGTCTTCTGATCTTCAACAAGGAAACTGAAAGGAATATCGGCAGAAAATACTGCTCTTGAATCATATTGGAAGGAATCTTATCAGAAACTTTTAACTAACTCACTGCACAAAACAGTCAGGCAGTTAATTATTGGCTTCATGTTTTACAAGTAAAGAATCAATTCAGGACAGATGCAGTGGATCTTCCCTATAATCACACCACTTTCAGAAGCAAAGTGAGGGAAATCACATGAGACCAGGAAATCGAAGCCAACCTGGGCAACATAAAGAGATGCTATTTCTATGAAAAAATATTTTAAAGAATAAGCAGGTGAGGGGTGGCATTCCCCTCTAATTCTAGATACTCAGGAGGCTGATACAGGAAGATTACGTGAGTCTGGAGGTCAAAATTACAGTGAGCTATGATCACACAACTGTACTTTAAGCTGTGGAACAGTGTGAGAGCCTGCCTCTAAAAACAAACCAAAAAGAATCAATTAAGAATTCCACACAACTGTAAATCTACTCAAATAGGAGATGCTAAACTGAGCATCCTCATTGATTGCCTGGCATTTCTGATGTTTTTAAGCAGACGTGTGACCTAAGACCTGCAGAATAAGCTGATAGTCCTTGATTGTGAGAAGCTTCTACCCAAGACATTCGGCCAGGACCCTAATTCCCCATCCCCTCCTTCTTTCTCTCATTATTATTTCCTTATATTTCTAAAGTCATCTCATTTCTGTAGATCTGGGTCTTGTCCATCGATACTGAACCCTTATTTCTTTTTCATTATTTTTATTCTTGCTACCTAGAATAAGTTGTCACTCTATCTTTTGGTGCATGCCTGTTGATTACTTAAGGCTCACTCCTCCATCATCTCCTTTTTTGCCACACAAGGTGAATCTAGTTTGGACTCACAGGAGCTTCTTCATTCAATGGCAGTGGGAGTTTCAAACCTTATAAACCCCGATCTGTGAGTGGGAAGCCTCACTCTGCCGCCACCACTAAACCATTATAAAAACCCTGAGCCAGTCTCCTTTCCTCTTCTTTCAAGCCATTTTAGATTTTCCTGTGAGACCTGCCCTGCACTCAGCAGACACCTACACTGTGCAGATAATACACTTTTCCATATTCACTTGCTCTGAGCTTATGACTTCATCAGACATGACACACACACTAAATCTCAGTTGAGATCTCTTGGCTTTGCATGTTGTCAACTACAACGGATGGTGTGAGCTTGGTGTCACTGTTTCTTTTTTTTTTTCACAGACGCTTCTCAAAAGAAGACATTTATGCAGCCAAAAGACACATGAAAAAATTCTCATCATCACTGGCCATCAGAGAAATGCAAATCTAAACCACAAGGAGATACCATCTCACACCAGCTAGAATGATGATCACTGTTTCTATCAACAGTACACACTGGATCCCTGAAACAACTCCAGGACACAGCTGGACATGTGCTATAGATTTGTTTTGTGTCCCCACCTAAATATCATCTCAAATTCTAATCCCCACATGTCAAGGGAGGGACCAGGTGAGAGGTTATTGGATCATGAGGGCAGTTTTCCCATGTTGTTCTCATCATAGTGAGTGACTTCTCACAAGAGCTGATAGTTTAAAAGTATGTGTCACTTCCCCCTCTCTCTCCTGCTGCGCTGTGTGATGTGCCGTGCTTCGCCTTCACCTTCCACCATGATTATAAGTTTCCTGTGGCCTCCCTAGCCATGCAGCACTGTGAGTCAACTAAACCTCTTTTCTTTGTAAACTCCTCGTCTCAGGTAGTTCTTTATACCACTGTGAAAACGAACTAATATCACATGACTGGTGGAGTTTGATAAACTTTCTTAATGACAGTTTGTAGGGGGGTTGATAGGGTTTGAAACAACCACTGGCATTGAATGAAGCAGCTCCTATGAGTCCAAACTAGATTCAGCTTGTGTGGCAAAAAAGGAGATGATGGAGGAGTGAGACTTATAATCAGTGCTAAAGGTAGTACTAATTATACTAGGTAAAATTTGGTATCAAAGCAATTAGACAGAGATAAATAAAATACATGAAAAGTCAGAAACTCCTGAATATACACATGAATGAGTGCTGAACATTTCTGTATTTTTAGAGAAATGCTAGAATACGGCAAAATAATGGCATGGGGTTAAATAAAAAAATAATAGTCTCCACACGAAGTGTTCAATTTTACAAATATGGTCATAGACATTATCATTATCCACATAGATAACAAGTCAATTACCCTCAAAATATCCTCTTGTTCTGTAATTCCTCCTTCCTAGACCTTCCCTTCTCCTACAATATTGACAGTGAACTACTGATTTTTATGTAACTTTAGATTACTTATCAATACATCAGGTAATAAAAGTTATAGATTTATGTGTGTTGTGGGGTGGCTGTATATAAGTTTCTGTGTGAGAGAGAGAGAATGAGGGAGGAAGGAAGGCAGAAAAAGAGAGGAATCCTACATAATTGACCACAATTTATGAGGTTCTCAAGTAATTATGGGGAATTAGTCCTTACAGACAAGGCTGATATAAGATGGAGAGGACAACTTGACACACCTAGCTATGGTTATATATTTATATCAATATCATTTTCTAATCATACAAACACATGCATTAGAATAGAGGTAGTGGAGGGTGTCTGGTGGTGAAACATGATGGTGACACAAAACGCCTCATCCAGCTCCTTTTCACACCAGCTGCACATGCCCTGAGGTTGAGCCTTGAACCTGCTCTTTCTGAATCGCCACAATAATCCTGAGCCCCCCGCTGTACCAAGCACCCTTTGGTGTCCTGATTTTCCCCCATGGTTCCTGAGAGCCCCCAGCTACCTGCATGCCTCTACAATGGTCTTGAGTGCCCCTTGGTGTCCTGAGGGAGCCTGGTGTCCTGAGTAACCCTGGCTGTCCTATGCACCCCCACAGGGAGGCTTGGGTATGAGTTCACACTGTGGTTTCCTCACTGTGTCTTTTGCTCTAAAATACATGGCTATGTGTTTGTTCCTCACATAGTTCAGCTGTAAGAAGAACTACTTTTTGGACATGGATCTGGAGATGGTGACTGGACTCTTGAGAAGAGGGGAGTAATTTGTGCTCCCTCCATGACCTATGCACCCGATCCACTCCAGTACCTCCCATGGGGGCGCTGATGGATGCAGCTCCAGAAGGAAACACTGGTTGTGATGGAGAATGCAGAGATGGCACAGGTGAGGGAGAGGTTCTGTGAAGGCTTCACCAGGCCAAGAGTGCACCGAGAAATACAGTTGTTGGCAGCCACAGGTTCTGGAGAACACACTGAAATTTCCAAATACTTACATTTCTATGAGAATAACGAGCTCACTTGTGCTCAATTAGTGAGTCTCCTAGCATAATGCAGTTGATGCTGATGTTGGATTCAGACAAATATAGGGTCACATTTTTCTCCATACTTGGAACCAAGTAATAAAGAGAAACTTATGTTAGGAGAATGGCCATTGAACTATCTCTGATCATGGTGATTTTCAGAATAGGCTTGAGATGTGATCACCTAAAGAGTGTCCTAATGCTTAACCAACAATTAGGCCTGAGCAGCAGTCACAGGCACTGGAGGTCGCCCACATGGAGAAATGTCTGACTCACTGAAGCTGCACCTGGGGGTCTCTGCAGGCTCTGAGTTGTGCAGAAACAGCTCCTCCCTTAGACTCAGACTGAGGACAATCTCTGCTCATTCTCTGGGGAAGGTGAGGGTTAGTGTGTGGAAAGAACCCAACTTACTTTGCTCAAGATCTCTGTACTTGAACAGAAACAAAGAGTAGGAGAAAAAATGATTTCGGTTTTACATAGAATAAATTATCATGAGGAAGGCAATAATATGTCTGGATCTTGCACAGAATTAAGAAACAATGAATTTGGGGTAAAGTTGAAAATTACAATTTCTTTGCAGATTCTGTTTTTAGTTATCTATGTCATCTGCGAAAATGAAGTAAAATCAGAGTTTTTATATAAAAATTCACAAACAGCATGCTGGCCCCAAGAATGCACCTCCCATCTCTCCAGCATCAGGCCCAACAGACCAGGCAGCCAGCTGCTGCACTGCACTCTTAACACCCGCCACCTGGTGTGTGCCAAAGACACCCATCCTGGGAGCTCCTCCCAGACAGTGGCTGTGCACAGTGGAGACACTGAGGCATGGCTGCTGCTGGGAAGCATTGGACATCCCTGATGGACAACTGTGCTCTGGGAGGCACCAATGGTCTTGCTGGACTTATCTTGGAAGACAGAGTTGTTAGGGAAGCTCCATCAAACTCCCATGCCTCTCCAGTACTAGTGGTGAGATTGACATTCTGGGGTGACAGTATCTACAGCCCCACCTGGCCTCCTGTGCATTTTTTGCTTCCATTACTTACATCTGCTTTGGGACAAATGAAAATGTTTCCTCTTCCTATAATAAACTTTTCTAATCCAGAGATGTCAGGGGTGGCCACAGAAACATAAATGTCCAGAGGCTCCGAGGGGAACTGGTAGATGCAGAGGAAGCCACAGACCCCGAAGGAAAGCAGCCCATGATAACCATCTGTACCTGCCCTAGAGCTGCCCGTTTTCAGTGGGTCCTGAGTGCCCCTTTTAGCCCAGCCTCCTCCCTTATCATTGCAGGAAACTGTGTCTGTGTTCACACTGATGTCTTCTTACCTGGTGCCTCACATACAGTAACACACAGCTGTGCCCGCTGCTCTCAGACTGTTCATTAGCAAATACAGTGAGTTCTTGGCATTTTCTTTGGAGATGGTGAATTTGCTCTTCAAAGATTATGCATAACATATCTGACTTCCATCACACTGTATATCTACTACTCACTCCAGCCCCTTCCCTGGAGCCTGGGAAACCGAGTTCCTTCAGTAGCTACTGAAGGTTAATCCAGAGTCTGCACAGGAGAGTCTCAGGGATCCCCCAGGTTGTCTTGGGTCCTCTCCGGACTCCACGAGCTGTACCTCTCACTAGACACCTGCAAACTCGTAGACATCCTGGTCAGAAACTCCCAGACATAATCCACCATTTCTCTCAAGGGTATCCACTCACGCTCAATCTCTCTAGTTCACCTTTTAAAACAGCAACAGTGAAAACCCAGCTCAGCCCAAGCTCCATGGTGGGTCCTCTGTCTTTAGTCCTGATCACCAAATAGAAACCCCTGGGAATCCCAGGGCTGGCGCTTCTCTCCCAGAGCTGTGCGGTCAGGACTGGGCTGGTTTTCATCAGCAGAGGGAGAAACCTATTTGCATGTCTCCTACTGTATAGCAAGCTCTGGGATGGGAATCCTGAGGAGGTGCAGGGCTCAGAGCAGACAAAGTGCCCTGGGGGAGATTGGTAGTCATCTTATCACTCAGGAAAATATCATTATATTATATGATTGTGCCTTGATAATCATTTAGCAGTCATCATCTTTTTGACATATTTGTAGAATACATTTAATGCAAGTGTCAATGTCACATTTTAAGGAAGATAAATCACACAGAGAACAGAGTGTTTATACAATGCATTCAAGGTCACACAGCTGGACAGAGTTAGCCCCATTATCTCGGCCTGTGCCTCTGACCACTAGAGGAGACTGCTCCCCTGAGACAACTCCAGGGCAGTGTGAGACATGCCTAGTGAGGTCTGCAGGATTCCACCCCTGCCAGGACATCTCTGTTTTCTTTTAGTGTATTCTGCTATTGACCTGAAATACATAGAGAGAACCAGTGTTCACGCTTGTGTATTTTCAAGAGTCAGAGATGTTTCGAGTGTTCATTCCCATTTAGTTTTGGCTCCACCTCAATAAATGTATTCATTTGTTTCTTTGTTACTGCTTTATTTAAATACAATTAATAATTAATTCAAATATATACTGCATAATTTGGAAAATGGTAACATGTGTGCAACCCTTTAATCAGAGCTTCAATTAATTTGTGTACAATTCACACCTAAATCTTTGTGTCACTTCTCTGTAATTTCATCTCACCACCCCATTACTTTCAAAACCCAGTTCCCACCAATATGTAATCTTCTCTGTTGCTTTAGAATAGCTGTACCTTCTGCAGTTTATACAAATAGAAGTTTATGAAGTGCACTGTTAATTTGTTAGCTACTTTCACTCAGCACAGTTATTTGTGAATGCAGCCATGATTTTATGAGAATGAGGATGCCTGGATTCTAATCCTGTGTTGTACTTTAGTTCATAATCATACATCAAATTGTCTAACATTCACTTGTAATGGATATGGATACTTGAGTTGTTCTCTTAATTTCTGGCTTTCATAGAGAGAGAGCAGTTACTCAGTATGGGAATGTGAAAAATGAGGAAACCATGATCTTACTCTTTCCTCATTAACAACAAACCTGAAAAATTATGAATAAATGAAGAAGAAAACCTTTTAACATATCTGAGTTGCTTTCACGGAGCAAAAAAGAGGACTGAAATCTGAGGAGGCAGACGCCTACAGAGAGGACTGGGGCCCACATGTTACCGAACCCAGGGCAGGTGCCACGGTATGGTATTGAGAGAGGAACAGGCTAACCTGGAAATATTTAGTGAGGATTTTTTTTTTAATTTTGGATGCATGTGCTAATGGTGTTAGATGTGAAACTATTAGTCCTTGCAGGCTTTTTCCCGGGGATCTGAAAAATCCACAGTCAGCTCCCTTATCTGCTGTCCTGCGGTGCTGACAGGAAGAGAAGAACGGTAAGGACTGTGGAACGCCTGGATTCACCTCCACTGTCTCCAGGGGAAATCCACTAAAACCTGTGTCCTATGGCCTGTGATGTGGTCATCAGAAACCAAAGAAAACAGAGGATTCCCAGGAAACTCCATCCAGATGAAATCCTTAATCTTCAGGTTAAGTACAATGGAGGAGAAGCTGAGGACATGGCAGAGAAACCACTGTGGGTTGGAAAAGACACTCTACCCCTGGGGGAAGAGGTAAGAACAGGAAACTTGGGAAGGCCACCCTGAGAATCATGATTACTGCATATGCATAAGAAGGAGGTTGTTTTGGAAGGTTGGAGAACATCCCCGTTTGTTCGAACCCCTTCTCCACATGGTCAACTAGGTCTGCAGAATAGTGAAGTAGCTGCATCAGCTCCATTCTGGCCTCTGTCATGTGACAGTTTGGGTGGATTTGCTTTCTGCTCTCTCATAATTTGTTTCCTCTCTCAACTCCTAGCTCCATTCTTCTTTTAATTCTCACTTTATTGAAGAGATTCATATTTAGCTTAGAACATTAAAACCTTTGGAAGTAATTTTCATCTCAAACCTACCAAATCTAATGAGCTCTCTCCAGGGGTGCCCATCTGCTTTTTTTCTTCCTTTTCTATGGGGTATGGCCCTTGTTTCTCCCTGAGTCCAGCTCTTATTTTCATATGCATGAGGAGTCCAACCATCACACACCCAGGGACATCTTGGAGCAACGTAACCTATCATCCGTCTCCTCAGCCCTCATGTGCACAGTGGCCACTCTGTCAGCTGCTGTATGTGCTTTAGGGCTTTCCATGTAAAAGTGTCTCTCACTTTCCCCCCAAATAAAGTTCCTGGTCCTTAAATACCTTCAAGAGCCAGTCTTCTTTACTGCCCCTTTGTTGCTAATATTGTTTTATTCCATTAAAATACATTGGGAACCTCAGTGACTATTGTCTGACTTCTATTATCCCATTGTCTGACTTCTGCCTGACTGACCCACCCATGAGCTTTAATCCACTGCTCTGCAGCTGATGGGGCCATCTGGACCTTCATTCATAAGAGGTGTGTAATTTATTAGAGAAGACCTGAGATCAGCAGGCGCCTGAGTTCCTCAGAACACAGGTGTGTCCTGCAGTAGAGTGTGTGTGACTGAAATCACACGTGTGTATAACTTGTAGCCTCAGCCCATAAGGTGATGACACCTTCTGGCCATTCCTGGGCAACCTGATGTGGGGTGCCCACAGAAGGATGGGTACATGACAAGGATGTTAGAAACCGATGTGGTGTTGGGGGCATGGACGGCCAAATTTAATTTAAATCTATTCTGTCCTTGATACTTGGGGAAGACTGGGAGAAAGGGAACAAAACTCAGACCCTATGTAGCTCCTAATTTAGGAAGGGATTCAGTGCAAATTGAGAAAGTTGAAGGAATAGACTATACTTTAAGGGATCATTTCTATAGTTCGTTCGAGGAAGTTGAAGGAAAACAGTTATGTTGGTGATGTTGGTGTGTTTTCCTGTGACTTACTTAGGAGACAGCAGAAGATGTTCAGTGGTCAGTCTCCATGCAGCTGGTCCTCATTGTCCATTTGTTATATCCACATGAAAGATAAAAGAAAATTTTGTGGTACAGGCACCAGGGCTGGTTTCAGAGACATTGCCCCAAGAATGGCCAACAGGGGCCAGGTGCGGTGGCTCACACTTGTAATCCCAACACTTTGGGAAACCGAGGCAGGCAGATCATGCAGTGAGGAGATTTGAGACCACCCTAACACAGTGAAACCCTGTCTCTGCTAAAAATACAAAAAAAAAATAGGCTGGCATGGTGGTGGACACCTGTAGTCCCAGCTGCTCAGGAGGTTGAGGAAGGAGAATTGCCTGAACCCAGGAGACGGGGTTTGTAGTCAGCTGAGATTGCACCACTGCACTCCAGCCTGGCCACAGAGCGAGACTCCGTCAAAAAAAAATGGCCAACAGGGCCATGACACATTTTTATATGAGAACTACTATTTCTGCCTACTTCATATGGATATCTGAGAGATGTGCCCAGCCTCAGGGAGCTGCTTCTCCCTCCAGGAGCTAACAGAGTTATGTGGTATTAGTCTGTCTGGGTCTTCATAAGAAGACAACAGGAGTGGGTGGCTTAAACAACAAACATTGATTTTCTCACCATTCTGAAGTCTGAATGTCCAAGGTCCAGGTGCTGGCAGGGTTGGTTCTTGGTGCGGCTTCTTCTTGGCTTGCACCTTCTAGTCCACTATGTCTCCACATGGCCTCTTCTCTGCGTGCACGGGAAAAGTGAGAGGTCTCTGGTGACTCTTCCACTTCTTATAAAGACAACAGATCTATTGCATTAGAATCTCAGACTTATGATCACATTTAACCTTAATTCCATCCTTAAAATTCCAATATAGATCAATTGGATTTAAGGTTTCAGCATTTGAATTTCAAAGACAGCACAATTCAACTGATGACACAAATCAAGAGATGGTGAGAAGTATTAGAATATATATTTTTTTTAATTAAGAAGGAAAAATGGGACATTCAGGAACTTGTAGGAAAGTTCCTAGTAATTAGTGACACTTTGACTCTAAGAGGAAAATTTGCCTTCCTCCTTCCTTTCCTACCACAAGGATGTGAGGAAGCAGAACCACAGATAATAAAGAAAGAGGAGTCCTGGGGACAGCTGAGGTGCTGGCGAGGAGGGAGAGCACTGAGCTGATGAGGAAGCCCCGCCCTCCCTGCACCTGCTCCTGACCCGGCCTCATGCTCTGTGGGCCCCGCGCGCCCCCTGCTGGTCCTGAGCAGCACCTGCGCCCGCCCCCTCCGCCTCCCTGCAGGGAGGTTTGTGTCTGGGCTCACACTCACCTCCCCTCATTGTGTCTCTGGCACAGTAATACACGGCCGTGTCCGCGGCGGTCACAGAGCTCAGCTTCAGGGAGAACTGGTTCTTGGACCTGTCTACTGATATGGTGACTCGACTCTTGAGGGACGGGTTGTAGTAGGTGCTCCCACTATGATAGATGTACCCAATCCACTCCAGGCCCTTCCCTGGTGGCTGCCGGATCCAGCTCCAGGAGTAACCACCACTGCTGATGGAGCCACCAGAGACAGCGCAGGTGAGGGACAGGGTCTGTGAAGGCTTCACCAGTCCTGAGCCGGACTCCTGCAGCTGCAGCTGGGACAGGACCCCTGTGAACAGAGAGACCCACAGTGAGCCCTGGGCTCAGAGGCACCTCCCATATCTCCATGTCTGCAGCCTTGAGACACTCACATCTGGGAGCTGCCACCAGCAGGAGGAAGAACCACAGGTGTTTCATGTTCTTGCACAGGAGGTCCAGGACTCTCAGAAAGTATTTCCCATGTGAGCTGGACCCTGAATTTAAGGAAATGTGTGGTGGTTTCCTGTGGGTGCCTAAGTGAGATTTGCATGGGGGTGGTGCCTCTGTATGGAGAAGTGAAAAGGGATGAGGGAGGCCCCAGTCTTTTAGACTCTCCCTGGGAGGAGGATGCTGGCTGTGCCCTCTGAGAATTCAGTTATCTTCCTGGGGCCTCAACTCACTATGTCCTGGCTCCTCTTTTCCCAGGTGAGGAAACAGATTGCAACAGCAGCTTAATGTAACAATCACTTGAGTTCAGACACACCAGGATTCACTTAATGTTATTTTTAGTTCAGAACCTCTATCAGGTTTAGAGGGAATCGCTCTGTGCCAGGGAGTGGGTCTTAAATAGCAAAACGGCCTCAGAAAACCCAACATAATCTACAGGGAGACCTCAGCATGGCAAGCAAGGAATCACTAAAGCCACCAGGGAGCTCCGGATGCACTGATACGATCCAGAAACATAGCGAGTCCGGGAACTGATGGGGACTTTGGGGGAGCCTCTTTTATTATTTTTTAAGGATTCTGTGGTTGAAGGTCACAACACTGGGCCTGACTGCTCCCTGAACCAAGCCCAGCACAATGTGGTTCACCCCAGTGACATTTTCAGATCTTTCTTCCTGTAATGAAAGCACGGTGTGATGTGTATGCACTATTGTGTTTACCTAATGAATGTAAAGAGAAGCACATTTCATGCAGTTGTATTTTCATAAATGTCAGACATTCATCATGTTAGTGTCTATTTTTCCATGAATCTGTACTGAACAAATTATTCATTCATTGATTTGTAGTAGTCTTATTGAGACATTATTACTATACATTAAATATTGCAAAAAGTGTGTGGTTTAATAAGTACTCAAGCCAAGCCAAACCTCCTGGCACACAACGGTAGTTCCAGCTACTTAGATGGCAGATGCAGGAGTATTGTTGGAGACCAGAAGTTAGAGGCTACATTGAACTATGATCCCACCACTACACTCCAGCCTGGGTCGCAGAGAAGGACCACATCTCTTCAGAAAAAAAAAAGAAACAAACAAAACACAATGTAATTCCACTCGTGCTCACCTGTGCATCCCCAAAAGCCATCCAAATAATGAACAAATTACACTTAAAAGTTTCCTTGTGTTGCTCTACAATTCCTCCTTCCCAATTATTTTCTTCCCCCACCATATTCTGAGTCAGTCCTTCACATTTAATACCTTAGTTTTGAGTTTCAAGAATTTATTATACAGGAATTATATAGTATGTGTTTTATTTGTGTGGCTTCTCGCACGTAACTACTTATGATGCAAACATGTTGAGCATCAACAATGTATTGATTCTCATGATGGATGTTATTACAGTAAATTAGCATGCCATTACTTTTTATCTATGTATCTTCTTGATATTTGTATCATTTCTAGTTTCTTAGTATTACACATAGAGGTGCTTCTCAGCTTGGAGATGTAAGCACCCGATAAAAATATGTTATTATTCTTACAACAGCTACTAAACTTACTGATCTGCAAATTAGCACATATACATCAAATTTTTGATGTTATAGGACAAACAATATATCTGAAATCTGAAGAGAGATAAGGACGTGCAGGGAAATAAACAGGAGCAGATGATAATCTTTTCTGGGACAGAGGCTGCCAAATGCCATTTAAGTTAGCACACGATTAAAGTAGACATATTCATTGGATGGTTTCAATTTGAGTGTGATAGAGAAGTTATTGTTTAAATTCTCAGAGTGTATACAGTTGAGGAATTCCTCCTGCTATTGAAGCCTTTTTCTTCAGTACTGGGGATACATCACAAAATGCTCCAGCCTCTACCCTTTGGGATGGTGCTGTCTGGGAAAGCAAAACAGCAACTATAGCTGAAATGCATCCAGACACACCTCCCCATCACCACTACATTGCAAGAGAAATTATCTGCAGAGGTAAAGCCACCAAAACCACTGTTCTACAGACACTGGAGAAACCAATAAGAACTGGGACAGGAGAGAGGAATGCACCAAGTCCCTGTCCAGGCCCACCTCCCATCTTCCCTCAGGAGTAACAGCCTTATTCAAAAGGAAAAGGCAGAAACTGAAGAAATCAGTGGGAAGACATAGTGGCTGCTGAAGGAACATATGAATAAAAATGAAGAGGCCAGTTGCGGTGCCTCACGCCTATAATTCCAGCACTTTGGGAGGCTGAGGTGGAAGGATCACCTGAGGTAGGGAGTTTGAGACCAGCCTGACCAATATGGAGAAATGTCATCTCTGATAAAAATACAAGATTAGCGGGGCATGGTGTCACATGCCTGTGATCCCAGCTACTCTGGAGGCTGAGGTAGGAGAATCACCTGAACCTGGGAGGGGGAGATTGCAGTGAGCTGAGATGGCACCATTGCACTCCAGTCTGGGCAAGAAGAGGGAAAATCCACCTAAAAAAAAAAAAAAAAAAAAAAAGAATGACAAGAATGGCCAAGTGTAGATGAAGCGCCCTGGAAACCTAGCTACTTGCTAGTGAGGAGGTTGAGGTGGGAGGATTCTATGAGCCAGGAATTTGAAATCACCATGAGCTATGTTATGATCACAGCACTGTAGTCCAACCTGCACAACAGAATGAGACTCCATCTCAAAAAAAAATTAAGAATTTCACACAATTGTAAAGCTACTCAGAGGAAATTAAACTGCGCATCCTCACATATCATCTGGCACTTCTGATATTTTGAAGAAAACAGGTGACCTAAGACCTTCAGAATAAGCTGATGATCTGAAATCATGAAAAGCTTCCACAGAAGACATTGGACCAGAATCCTCCTCCATATCCTCCTCCTACTCATTATTCTTTGCTTATAAACTGTCTTCTCATTTTCTGCAGACCTGGCTGTTGTCCACCCATATTGGAGTCTTGTCTCTTTTCTTACTCATCATTTGTATACTTGCTATTTAGAGTAAGTCATCAGACTCTATGTTTAGGCCTGACTGCTGATAACTTCAGGCTCTTTCCTCCATCATCTCTTTTTTTAAGCATACAAGGTAAATCTAGTTAGAAATCACAGGAGCTCCCTCTTTTCATGCCAATTTGACCTTGAAACCCCACAAAACCCTTCCTGCAAGTACGATGCTCTGCCCCACTCCCCACCAAACCATGATAACAACCCTGAGCCAGTCTCCTTCCCTGCTCTATCAAGCCACTTTGGACCTTAATGAGAGACCTGCCCTGCTCTCAGCAGACACCTTAAGGATGCAGGTAACTATCCTTTGCATACTCACTTGGTGTGAGTGTGTGGCATAATCAGACTCAACATCCACAGAAAATTTTAGTTGAGATCTCTTGGCATTGGCATGGTGTCGGCTACAATGGATGCTGGGAGCTTGGTGTCACGGCTCCTTTCAAAGGACATGCCTGCTCCCTGAGTTAACTCCAAGATGCAGTTGGACATGCCTCCTGGGGTTTGAGAAGCTCCTTTCATGTACTGAAATCCTGTCATTATGTTTTTGTATTCTAGTGTCTCCCTCAAAGTACAGTGAGACCCAGGGTCCATTCATGTGTGTATTCAGGACTCTCTGAATTTTATGTATTTTATTCATCTCTCTCTACTACCTTTTCTACCAAACTAGACATTTAAAAAATTGCAATATTTTAATGAGATGAAATTAGCAAATAAGAATCTTTACATAAAGTGTACAATTTTACAAATAGTGACATAATCCTCACTTTTACTAACAGAGAAAAAATCAATTATCCTAGAAATTTCCTTTTGCTCTCCTGTAGTTTCTCCTTTCTATACCTTCTCTTCTTGTACCATGTCCCCAGTCAACTACAGATCTTTTCATGTAACTTTAAGTTCATTTTTACTTTATAGAAATTATAGAAGTGGAATCGTATGTATGCACTTTCATTTGTTTGACTTATTTTACTTATTCAGGTGCTTGTTATTTTAAGCATGGTGTTGAGTGTATCCAGCAGTACTTGATTGTAACAGTGGGTATTATTCCAGTAAATGAATTTTCCACAATTTGTTTACCAGTTAAGCTGCTGAATAACAGTTGGATCGCTTTTGGTCTCTGGGTATAATAAACAAAGATGCTACTTAGCTTAGAGAAGTGACAAGCTGAGAAAAACATGGTTCTTATTTTTACATAACATGAATAGCAGGCAAAGCAGAAAAGCTGCACACTAATCAATTTGCTTCAATACATCACATAATTAAAGTTGGGAAGCTCTGTGTGTGTGTCAGTTCACGTGTTTTTGTGTGACAGAGAGAGAAGGCAGGAGGAGAGACCATGTCAAAAGGAGACCCTACATCTTTTGACCATAATGTGTGAGGTACTCAAGTAATTACAGGGACTTAGTGCTTGATGGACAAGGTCCACATAAGATGGAGAGGACAACTGGATGCACCTCCATATGGGTACATAGTAGTATTTACATAAATGCCATTTTCTAATCATATCAACACTCAGACACATTAGAAGAGATGTAGTGGAGGGTGTCTGGTGGTGAAATATGATGGTGAGAACAACCCACATCTACAGCCCCTTTTCTGCCCTGTTGCACTTGCCCTGATGCGAAGCCTTGGTCCTGCTCATCCTGACCCCTAACAATCATCCTAAGCCCCCATACTGCCCCGAATGCCCCCTGCTGCTCCTATTCACCCCTGCAGGGAGGTTTGTGTCTAGGCTCACAATGAAGGCCCTTCATTGCATCTTTTGCTTCAAAATGCGTAGTTGTGTGTTCACTGGGCACAGAGCTCAGCTGTAAGAACTGTTTCTTGGATCCGGATATGGACTCTTGAGAAGTGGGTTGTAATTTGTGCTCCCTTCACAACCCATGCACCTGATCCACTCCTGTCCATCTTCTAGGGGCAAGCAGATACAATTCTAGAAGGAAACACTGGTTATGATGGGGAATCCAGAGACAGTGCAGGTGAGGGAGAGGGTCTGTGAGGATGTCTCAAGCCAGAAGTGCACTGCGAAACACAGTTGTCCATGTTAACGGGTCCTGGACAACACGGTGAAATTCCCAAATACATGCATTTTTTTATGAGCATAAAGAGCTCACTTTGTCCGATTTGTGAGTCTCCTAGAACAATTCAGTAGATTTAGAGGTTAGATTAAAAAGTATTATCACATGTTCCTTTCCTCAGACTTGCAACCAAATAAAAAAGAGAAACTGCTGTTTAGAAAAATGAACATTGAATTATTACCACGGTGTGTGATAATGATGATTTTTAGAATATGATTGACCTGTGATAACCTGAAGACTGTCCTAATTCTGAGCCCACAATTAGACCTGAGCAGCAATCACAGGGAGTGAAACACCTGACTCAGTGAAGCTGCACCTGGGGGTCTCCGCAGGCCCTGAGTGGTACAGGAACAGCTCCTCCCTCAGACTCAGTCTAAGGAGAACTTCTGCTCTTTATCTGGGGAGGTGAGGGTGAGTGCGTGGAAAGTACCAAACTTGCTCTAATCAAGATCTCTGCATGTGGGGAGAACCAAAGTATACGAGAAACAACTGGTTTCAGTTTAGGTCGAACAATTTCTCATGAGAAGGGCAATACCATGTCTGGATCCTGCACAGAATTAAGAAACAATGAACTTGGGGTAAAGTTGAAAATTACAATTGTTTGCAGATTGTGTTATTAATTATCTATGTCATCTGAGAAAATGAATTAAATCACATGGTTTTTATACAAAAATTAACAAACAGCGTGCTGGCCTTGAGAATGCACCTCCAATCCCTCCAATATCCAGGAGCCCAATAGACCAGGCAGCCAGCTGCTGCACTGCACTCTAACACCCATCACCTGTGTGTGCCAAAGACACCCATCCTGGGAGCTCCTCCCAGACGATGGCTGTGCACAGTGGAGATACTGAGGCATGGCTGCTGCTGGGACACATGGGAGATCCCTGATGGACAACTGTGCTCAGCGAGGCACCAATGGCCTTGCTGGACTTAGCTTGGACCACGGGGTCATCAGGGAAGCTCCATCAAACTCCCACCCTTCTCCAGCACTAGTTTTGGGTCTGGCATTGTGGGGTGGCAGTGTCTACAGACTCACGCGGCTCCTATGCATTTTTATGCCTCCAAAACTTACATCTGTTTTTGGGACATATGAGAATATTTCCTCTTTTAAATTAGTTTTCTAATCCAGGGACCTCATGGTGGGCACAAAACATAAATATACAGAGGTTCAGAGGGGAAATATTAGAAGCAGAGGAAACCACAGACCCTGAAGGAAAGCAGCCCTTACCCTCCCTCCATCTGCACCTGCCTTGGGGCTGCACCTGTTTTGTGAGTGCTGAGTGTCCCCTTCGGCCCAGACTCCTTTCTTCTTTTTGCAGGAAATGTTGTGTCTGGACTCACACCGATATTTCCTCACTTGGGACCTTATGTATAGCCATACACGGCCACGTCCTCAGCTCTCTGAGTGTTCATTTGCAGATACAGAGAGTTCTTAGCATTGTCTTTGGAGATGGAGAATCTGCCCTTCACAGAGTCTGCATGGTGTATCTGACTTCCATCATCTTTTATATCTATTACTCACTCCAGCCCCTTGCCTGGAGACTGGTGAACTCGGCTCATTCAGAAGCTACTGAAGGCGAATCTAGAGGCTACACAGGAGAGTCTCAGGAACTTCCCAGGTTGTCTCAGGTCCTCTATGGACTCTATCAGCTCCACCTCACACTGAACACCTGAAAATACACACACATCCTGGTCAGAAACTGGCAAACATATCCACTGTTTCTCTCACTCATATCCACTCACTCTCACTCACTCTAGTTCCCTAGGAGTCACCTTTTAAAATACCAACAAGAAAAATTCAGCTTAATTCACACCCCATAGTGAGTTCTCTGTGTTCAGTCCTGATTACCAAATGGAAACCCCTGGGAATCCCAGGGCTGTGGCTGTTCTCCCAGAGCTGCAGGGTCAGGTCTGGGCTTGATTTCACCAGGAGAGGGAGGGCCCTGTTTTCATGCCTCCTCCTCTATAGCAAGCTCCAGTGTGGGACGCCTGAGAAGAAGGCAGTGCCCAGAGCAGACGTCAGACTCCAGGAGGACTTTAGTGGCAATGGTAGCATTTGGAAAAATATTACTTATAATGTGACTGTGCCATAAAACTCATTTAGCAATTATGATTTTTGTTTTTACACATGTGTACAAATACAAATATAACTGCATTAAGCAAACTGTAAGAGATATAAAGAAATAGAAAACAATACAAAAATAACACAAGACCTTAATACCTCATGACCATAATGTTTAGCAAATCCAGAAAGAAAATTCTCAATGTGCCTCTGAACTTGAACAACACTATTGAACAAATTTATCTGAATGATATTTACAGAACCTTCCAACCAAGAGTCACGTAATACACATCCTTCTCAAGAACACATTGAACATTCTCCATGATAGGTTATCTGTTACATCATAAAATGAACCTTAACATTTAAAGAAGTAATAGCAGCCCTTCTGTAACTCTTTCAAAAATTGGTGGAGTCCACCTTCCAAACTCTTTATATATATATAGTAAATAAACTTTATGTTTCTCAGAGATGACACTGTAAACAGTCACAGATTTGCATACAATACAATTATGTATTGGCTATTTACAATTTACAGTAGTGGTTCTTCCTCTGAAAAATATAAGTACAAAAGCTAAGTAAACAATGAGGTACTGCCATTTGGGATTTATTATGTGTCATAGCTTAAAGAACTGGCCTTTAGCAAATATTAAACAAATCAACCTGAATAAAATAGTCAATTAAATGATTTATTTTTACTAATTTATTGGAAAAAATTCCACCAGGTTTCACCTCAAAATGTATTGCATATGTCTAAAAACAAACTTAAAAATAAATAGGAAAGGTAAGCAGTTCTTCAAAAAGAATGGAAGAAAGGAATAGAATGAAAGCTCATAAACCAGGTTAAGTCATTCTGAATATCTTTTAAACAACATAAAATTCTTCCCAACAGAAAAGTGAAGAAAAAACTATCACCATTTCTCCACTGATAAAATCTATTTTAAAGGTAGTCTGCCATACACCTTCTAAACTCTTTCTATGAGACTACCATGATAGTATTACCAGTAATAGACAAAGGCACCACAATAAAGGAAACTACAGACCAATATCATTAGTAGACATGAATTAATCCCCAACAATAGTAAACTAAGCTCCAAAGTGTTTTAGAAGACATACACCATGACCAACTCAAATTTCTTCCTGAGATGCATACTTGATTCAACATTCTCAAATCAATCAGTTTGGTACACATTAAAAAACTAAAGAAAAAATATCTCAGTAACATTTCATCAGACACAGAAAAAGACTTTGAAAAAAATCAGTTTCATTATTAAAACTATGAACAAAGTAGGAAGACAAGAAAACAACTTGAACATAATAAAAGCCGTTAAGAAAGGCCACAGCTATTATTACACTCAATAGTAAAAGGTTAGAATATTTTGGTACAATATCTGTAACAAGGCAAGAAGAAAGCTTTAGGCATTTCACTTCCAGGCCTCAACATTTATTAAAAACATAGAAAGTTTTGGCTTAAATACCTATATAGAGCTTAGATATAAACCCACATATTGATGACAAGCTGATTTTTAGCATGAGAACCATCAATATAACATGGCTAAATTGTAGTGTCTTCCAAAGAGGGTGGTATGAAAACTGGATTTTCCCATGAAAAGAATTAAGAATTTTAGGTTAGAATAAACACAAAAATTCACTCCAAATGCCTCAAATATCTAACTGTAATACCTCTAATTGTAAAACTCTCAACACTCAAAAAATTAGCAATCTTTTTCAGGATTTTACATTCAAATCACCTACAAAAAAAAGCAGAATTGAACAAGTGGGAATAGATTATGAAAAAGATTCTGCAAAGCAACAAAATAACTACAACTTACAGAATTGGATAATATGCCATATATCTGAAAAAGTTTTCATGTCAAAATGGAAAAGAAACTTCTACAACTCAACAGCAAAAAGAAAAATAGCCTCATTTTTAATAATCAGTTTTACACCTTTAACACTGTAAGAACCTAGAACTCAGGTTAATGTTTTTCTCCATGGGCAACGGTCCGTCTTTGGGTCTACTTAGCTGGACAATACTGTGTATTGATTTGACAAAACAGTAATCCAGGTGGTGGTGTGAATTTTTAACAGACGTTATTGAAACTGGAATCAGTTGACTCTATGTTAGGTAGATTATCATTGATAACCTGCTTGGCCCTGATTCCATCAGAGCAGAACTGGAGAAGGTAAAACTCCACGGTGATTAAGCAGCTTCAGCTCTTTCTGAGACTTCTAGCCTGCACTTACTGATGGTCGGCCCTGAGGATATTGGATGTTCCAGCCATCTCCCAAAATTGTCATCCCCTGCATCTCACAGGGAAAACATCTTCCTTTTGCAAAAAGCAGGAAAAACAAATGGAAAAAGGAGAAAAACGACGAAAAAAGAAAGTAAATGGATTAGGAACAAAAGAAGCACCAGATCGGTGCTGATACTGATTTGCATACTTTCGTGTCAGGAGAAGGATCAGACGTGAAATCTGTGACGTTCTACATGACGCTGACCCTGGTTCAGCCTCTCTATTGTCTGTGACCAGGATCCATAAAGACTGTTCCAGTCAGGGAATCTCACGGAGGTCCCTGTCCTGGGTCTGATTGGAGAAGAATCACCAGGAAGCCCTGAGGTTACTCAGGACTCTGATCCTTGTGACCATGGTTGAGGAATTTTCATCCGTGTCAGCGTCAATCTGCATTTTGTGCCAGGGAGAAAAGGTCCTCATATGCATAGAGAAGACATTGTTAGGCACAGTTTTCTAAATTTAAGAGGTTCCCTGGGGAACTGTCAGAAGAAGACAAAGTCCCACATCCTGACAGGAAACAGCCTCCATCTGCACCTGCCTCCAGGGCTGACTCTGATCAGTGGCTCCTGAGCGCCCCCTGCAGCTGATTTCCCCCCAGCGTTCCTGCAGGGAGGTTTGTGTCTGGGCGCACAATGACCTCCCCTCACTGTGTCTCTCGCACAGTAATACACAGCCGTGTCCTCGGCTCTCAGGCTGTTCATTTGCAGATACAGCGTGTTCTTGGAATTGTCTCTGGAGATGGTGAATCGGCCCTTCACGGAGTCTGCATAGTATTTATTACTTCCATCATACCATATAACTGCCACCCACTCCAGCCCCTTGCCTGGAGCCTGGCGGACCCAGTGCATGCCATAGCTACTGAAGGTGAATCCAGACGCTGCACAGGAGAGTCTCAGGGACCTCCCAGGCTGGACCACGCCTCCCCCAGACTCCACCAGCTGCACCTGACACTGGACACCTGCAAACAGAAGGACACCGTTATCAGAAAATGCCACACAAATCCAGTTTTTCTCACTCATGTTCACTCACACTCAGTCTCTCTATTTCTCCATGAATCACCTCTTAAAAGAGCAACGAGGAAAACCCAGCTCAGCCCAAACTCCATGGTGAGTCCTCTGTGTTCAGTGCTGATCACCGAATGGAAACACCGCCGACTTCTAGTGCTGGGCTCCTCTCCCAGAGCTGCAGGGTCAGGGCTGGGCTGGTTTTCATCAGTAGAGGGAGGGCCCTATTTGCATGTCCCCCACTATATAGCAAGCTCTGGGTGGGACATCTGAGGAGAGGCTGGGCTCAGGGCAGATGAAGTGTCCTGGGGGAGACTGGTAGTAATTCCATCATTCAGGAAAATATAGTTATATCTTATATGCTTGTGCCTTGATTAACACTTAGCTCTCATAACTTTCTTTTATTCTTACATATTTACACAATATATTTAATGCAGGCTTCAATGTTATATTTTACAGGAGATAATTTACATAGAGAACACAGCAGTTGTGCAGTGTGTCTAAGATAACACATCTAAAAATTTAGTCCTATTACCTGGGCCTGTGCTCTAACCTCTGGAGGAGGCAGCTCCCCTGAGACAACTCCAGGGCAGCATGGCCCATGCCTAGTGAAGTCTGCAGGATTCCCCATCTGTTATGACAACTTTCTGTAATTTATCTAAATACGCAGAGTGAACCATGGTTCATGTGTATGTTTTTGGAAATCAGTTATATTCCTTGTGTTAATATCGATCTATTTATTGATGCAATTCAGTCAAATATTATCTCATCAGTTTCTTTATTGCTTTATTCGAGTGTAATTAATAAATAATTCAAATTTATGGTGAATGATTTGAAAAATGTAGACCTATGTTTGCAACCATTTACTCAGCACTTCAATCAAGGTTTGAAAAAATTAATCCCTAAATCTTTCTCTTATTCCTCTGAAATTTAACTCACATCCCCATTACTCCCAATAGCATATTCTCAGAAACATTTAAATCTTCTCCATGTTAATTTATAATAGTGGCATCTTCTAAAATTTCTACAAATGTATCATGTAAAATTTACTCTTAATTCCTTAGTTTCTTTCACTCAGCACAATTCTTTGAGAATTTAGCCATGTTTTTTTCAATGAGTGAGGCATGACTTGATTTCAAGCTGCATTAGATTCCAGCACAGAAATATATGCCAAACTATTTAACTGTTCACCTGTAACGAAATGTGATTGTTCTCTCAGTTAATGGATTTGATAGAGAAAAGCAGCTACTCGGCATGGGAATGTAAAAATGTGTAAACTATGAGCTTATTCTGACCTCATTAACAACAAAGCTGAACAACTACAAATAAAAAAAAGAAAACCTTCAACATATCTGTGTTGATGTCAGAGAGAAAACAAACAATAAACAAAACCTGAAATCTGAGGAGAGAGGAGGCTGCAGAGAGAAGCAGGACCCATGTATTAGTGTACCTGGGGCAGATGCCACTGGATGGCATTTAAGATCGGAACAGGCTGGCTTGGAAATATTCAGTGAGTTGCGTGAGGATGCACGTGCTCATAGTGTTAGACTGTGAAGCTCCTGGTGCTTGCAGGCTTTTCCTACAGAATTATTATTAATATTCTTGCTGCACTTTATGCAAATAATCAGGCCAAGTTTAAGACTAAAGTTTATTTTGCAAACAACTCAGTCTTATCATTATTTGCTGCCGACAAAAACCAAAACTGGAAAGAGAAACATTGTATTTCAAAACATATCATACACTTGTCTTTAAATTCTAATCTCTTCAGTTGTTTAAGTATTTGCCTGCATTTTAGACTAACTCTGCTTATTCCTGAGCGCCAATCAATGATCTCTGGCTACAGCCCAGAAGAAACAAAAAGCGATGGGGAATATAAAAAATCTGGATCAATATTTTAATTCTAAGCAATTATCCTTTAAATCATGCCAGGTGATGGGAATGAATAGGGTGCCCCTAACCTGGAGGTTTCTTTGTTTGGGAAAATAAATCCCAGGGAGCTGACAAAAGCCAAGCCCCATGCGCCCAAACCTTAGCAGGCATAACTACAGCTGCAGTTATCTAGGAATGTCAGCAGCCTTGGAATTTTCTTTCAAGCTGTCCTTGCCACCTTGTTTGGTTTTCATACATGTCTTCTAATAACCAGATTTGCCTCTTCTCATTTTCAGACCATCAAACTCCAAATGGTCATGCAACTGAAGCCTGGGATAATGGCTCCCTTTTCCTGGGGTCCCTTAGACCTCCAAGAGAGATCTTCCCCAAACAGCATCCCTCCTCAGCTGGAAGCAGTTAAGACTTGTCTTTGTCTCTATTCTAATGACAGTTAGATGTACTTCTTCAAAGAGGAAAATGCTAGAGGTAGAAGGCAGAGAACTCTCCTAGGCAGGTAGGGAAGAGTCCCCATAGAATCTCCAACGCCCCAGGGTCATAGTGCACAGGGAGTTGCCTAGACATGCCTGCAGTGAAAATTGTTAATGTTGTCTTTATCCCTCTCGGAATAAATAGCCACACATAATAATCTAGCTGCATGAAGATAAAAATTAACTAGTTTGAAATTAGAACAATTCCCTATTCACAATAGCAAAGACTTGGAACCAACCCAAATGTCCAACAATGATACACTGGATTAAGAAAATGTGGCACATATGCATCATGGAATCCTATGCAGCCATAAAAAATGATGAGTTCATGTCCTTTGTAGGGACATGGATGAAGCTGGAAACCATCATTCTCAGCAAACTATCGCAAGGACAAAAAACCAAACAACACATGTTCTCACTCCTAGGTGGGAATTGAACAATGAGAACACATGGACACAGGAAGGGGAACATCACACACTGGGGCCTGTTGTGGGGTGGGGGGAGGGGGGAGGGATAGCTTTAGGAGATATACCTAATGTTAAATGACGAGTTAATGGGTGCAGCACACCAACATGGCACATGTATACATATGTAACTAACCTGCACATTGTGCACATGTACCCTAAAACTTAAAGTTAAAAAAAAAACAACCAGAGAAGTGGGAAAAAAAAGAAATTAGAACAATTACCAATAAAATCAAAGTTAGCATGTGGTTTATAATATTAATAGACAAGAGACATGGCTGAATGCTAAGAATGTGTTCACATCTATTATATGTCATGATCAGGAAAATATTTTATATATTCTTTAGGTAAGAGTCCCATTGAGAGGATTGATTAACATTGATGTATAATACCTCAATAATAAAAGTAAAGGTTATTAACTAGTAATTTGTATTAAGAACACAAACTTTCATTTAGGATATATTCTTCTATGTGTTAGGAAATCAACTCAGAAGGCAGGAAACATTGAACTTATTAGAGATGTTTAATAAATTAAAAATGAGAATTAAGTACATATGCTTTTAGAGGGTGCACAACTTTGGAATTTTTTGTGTCGTTTTGTTTGAGACGGAGTCTCGCTGTGTCGCCCAGGCTGAAGTGCAGTGGCACAATCTCGGCTCACTGCAACCCCCGCCTCCAGGGTTCAAGCAATCCTCTCACCTCAGCCTCTCAAGTAGCTGGGATTACGAGTGTACACCACCATGCCCGGCGAATTTTTGTATTTTTAGTAGAGATGAGGTTTCACCATACTGACCAGGCTGGTCTCAAACTCCCAACCTCGAGGGGTCCACCCACCTCGGCCTCCCAAAGTGCTAGGTTTACAGGCATGAGCCACAGCGCCCAGCCTGGAATATTTTTAGAAACAGAGAGGGTTCTTACGTCTTCTGGAAATCCTATTGAGATGGACAACAAGGGAAGAAACCCTCAGATGAATTTCTACCTACTAGAGGGCTGATTAATATCATTTTAAAGCAAATGCTAACACACAAAAAGCTAACATGAAGCTAAAAAAATATAGTGATTCAATACAGAAACCACTCTAGCTCAATCTAGTTTAAAATATTATCTAACCATGGAGGGCACTGTCATTGTTCACAGAAGACAGAGTCAATCCCACTCACAACCTTCTGGGAATGTTTAAAAAATGGCATCGCTACATAAAAATTATCAATTTTAATAAAATGTAAACTTCCTTGGCCAAGGGTTCTCCCACTAGCACTATGGAATCATGGTTCACTCCTCAGGGTCCATCAGTTATTACCCTATGACTTGGTAGCTAAAAGGCCCATACGTTTATAGATTTTACACCAAGGGATCATCTTTGTTCTATTGCATGCATGTGTTACAAAATACGGAAAGGGATTCCTATGTGATATCCACTCCAATCATGAAGAGTTAAAACTGCCTTTTTACTACATCTTTTCCGCAGTGTCTTCTGATCTTCAACAAGGAAACTGAAAGGAACATCAGCAGAAAATACTGCTCTTGAATCATATTGGAAGGAATCTTATCAGAAACTTTTAACTAACTCACTGCACAAAACAGTCAGGCAGTTAATTATTGGCTTCATGTTTTACAACTGAAGAATCAATTCAGGACAGATGCAGTGGATCTTCCCTATAATCACACCACTTTCAGAAGCAAAGTGAGGGAAATCACATGAGACCAGGAAATCGAAGCCAACCTGGGCAACATAAAGAGATGCTATTTCTATGAAAAAATATTTTAAAGAATAAGCAGGTGAGGGGTGGCGTTCCCCTCTAATTCTAGATATTCAGGAGGCTAATACAGGAAGATTACGTGAGTCCGGAGCTCAAAATTACAGTGAGCTATGATCACACAACTGTACTTTAAGCTGTGGAACAGTGTGAGAGCCTGCCTCTAAAAACAAACCAAAAAGAATCAATTAAGAATTCCACACAACTGTAAATCTACTCAAATAGGAGATGCTAAACTGAGCATCCTCATTGATTGCCTGGCATTTCTGATGTTTTTAAGCAGACGTGTGACCCAAGACCTGCAGAATAAGCTGATAGTCCTTGATTGTGAGAAGCTTCTACCCAAGACATTAGGCCAGGACCCTAATTCCCCATCCCCTCCTTCTTTTTCTCATTATTATTTCCTTATATTTCTAAAGTCATCTCATTTCTGTAGATCTGGGTCTTGTCCACCCATACTGAACCCTTATTTCTTTTTCATTATTTTTATTCTTGCTACCTAGAATAAGTTGTCGCTCTATCTTTTGGTGCATGCCTGTTGATTACTTAAGGCTCACTCCTCCATCATCTCCTTTTTTGCCACACAAGGTGAATCTAGTTTGGACTCACAGGAGCTTCTTCATTCAATGGCAGTGGGAGTTTCAAACCTTATAAACCCCGATCTGTGAGTGGGAAGCCTCACTGTGCCACCACCACTAAACCATTATAAAAACCCTGAGCCAGTCTCCTTTCCTCTTCTTTCAAGCCATTTTAGATTTTCCTGCGAGACCTGCCCTGCACTCAGCAGACACCTACACTGTGCAGATAATACACTTTTCCATATTCACTTGCTCTGAGCTTATGACTTCATCAGACATGACACACACACTAAATCTCAGTTGAGATCTCTTGGCTTTGCATGTTGTCAACTACAACGGATGGTGTGAGCTTGGTGTCACTGTTTCTTTTTTTTTTTCACAGACGCTTCTCAAAAGAAGACATTTATGCAGCCAAAAGACACATGAAAAAATTCTCATCATCACTGGCCATCAGAGAAATGCAAATCTAAACCACAAGGAGATACCATCTCACACCGGCTAGAATGATGATCACTGTTTCTATCAACAGTACACACTGGATCCCTGAAACAACTCCAGGACACAGCTGGACATGTGCTATAGATTTGTTTTGTGTCCCCACCTAAATATCATCTCAAATTCTAATCCCCACATGTCAAGGGAGGGACCAGGTGAGAGGTTATTGGATCATGAGGGCAGTTTTCCCATGTTGTTCTCATCATAGTGAGTGAGTTCTCACAAGAGCTGATAGTTTAAAACTATGTGTCACTTCCCCCTCTCTCTCCTGCTGCGCTGTGTGATGTGCCGTGCTTCGCCTTCACCTTCCACCATGATTATAAGTTTCCTGTGGCCTCCCCAGCCATGCAGAACTGTGAGTCAACTAAACCTCTTTTCTTTGTAAACTCCTCGTCTCAGGTAGTTCTTTATACCACTGTGAAAACGAACTAATATCACATGACTGGTGGAGTTTGATAAACTTTCTTAATGACAGTTTATAGGGGGGTTGATAGGGTTTGAAACTCCCACTGGCATTGAATGAAGCAGCTCCTATGAGTCCAAACTAGATTCAGCTTGTGTGGCAAAAAAGGAGATGATGGAGGAGTGAGACTTATAATCAGTGCTAAAGGTAGTACTAATTATACTAGGTAAAATTTGGTATCAAAGCAATTAGACAGAGATAAATAAAATACATGAAAAGTCAGAAACTCCTGAATATACACATGAATGAGTGCTGAACATTTCTGTATTTTTAGAGAAATGCTAGAATACGGCAAAATAATGGCATGGGGTTAAATAAAAAAATAATAGTCTCCACACGAAGTGTTCAATTTTACAAATATGGTCATAGACATTATCATTATCCACATAGATAACAAGTCAATTACCCTCAAAATATCCTCTTGTTCTGTAATTCCTCCTTCCTAGACCTTCCCTTCTCCTACAATATTGACAGTGAACTACTGATTTTTATGTAACTTTAGATTACTTATCAATACATCAGGTAATAAAAGTTATAGATTTATGTGTGTTGTGGGGTGGCTGTATATAAGTTTCTGTGTGAGAGAGAGAAGGAGGGAGGAAGGAAGGCAGAAAAAGAGAGGAATCCTACATAATTGACCACAATTTATGAGGTTCTCAAGTAATTATGGGGAATTAGTCCTTACAGACAAGGCTGATATAAGATGGAGAGGACAACTTGACACACCTAGCTATGGTTATATATTTATATCAATATCATTTTCTAATCATACAAACACATGCATTAGAATAGAGGTAGTGGAGGGTGTCTGGTGGTGAAACATGATGGTGACACAAAACGCCTCATCCAGCCCCTTTTCACACCAGCTGCACATGCCCTGAGGTTGAGCCTTGAACCTGCTCTTTCTGAATCCCCACAATAATCCTGAGCCCCCTGCTGTACCAAGCACCCTTTGGTGTCCTGATTTTCCCCCATGGTTCCTGAGAGCCCCCAGCTACCTGCATGCCTCTACAATGGTCTTGAGTGCCCCTTGGTGTCCTGAGGGAGCCTGGTGTCCTGAGTAACCCTGGCTGTCCTATGCACCCCCACAGGGAGGCTTGGGTATGAGTTCACACTGTGGTTTCCTCACTGTGTCTTTTGCTCTAAAATACATGGCTATGTGTTTGTTGCTCACATAGTTCACCTGTAAGAAGAAGTACTTTTTGGACATGGATCTGGAGATGGTGACTGGACTCTTGAGAAGAGGGGAGTAATCTGTGCTCCCTCCATGACCTATGCACCCGATCCACTCCAGTACCTCCCATGGGGGCGCTGATGGATGCAGCTCCAGAAGGAAACACTGGTTGTGATGGAGAATGCAGAGATGGCACAGGTGAGGGAGAGGTTCTGTGAAGGCTTCACCAGGCCAAGAGTGCACCGAGAAATACAGTTGTTGGCAGCCACAGGTTCTGGAGAACACGCTGAAATTTCCAAATACTTACATTTCTATGAGAATAACGAGCTCACTTGTGCTCAATTAGTGAGTCTCCTAGCGTAATGCCGTGGATGCTGATGTTGGATTCAGACAAATATAGGGTCACATTTTTCTCCATACTTGGAACCAAGTAATAAAGAGAAACTTATGTCAGGAGAATGGCCATTGAACTATCTCTGTTCATGGTGATTTTCAGAATAGGCTTGAGATGTGATCACCTAAAGGGTGTCGTAATACTTAACCAACAATTAGGCCTGAGCAGCAGTCACAGGCACTGGAGGTCGCCCACATGGAGAAATGTCTGACTCACTGAAGCTGCACCTGGGGGTCTCTGCAGGCTCTGAGTTGTGCAGAAACAGCTCCTCCCTTAGACTCAGACTGAGGACAATCTCTGCTCATTCTCTGGGGAAGGTGAGGGTTAGTGTGTGGAAAGAACCCAACTTACTTTGCTCAAGATCTCTGTACTTGAACAGAAACAAAGAGTAGGAGAAAAAATGATTTCGGTTTTACATAGAATAAATTATCATGAGGAAGGCAATAATATGTCTGGATCTTGCACAGAATTAAGAAACAATGAATTTGGGGTAAAGTTGAAAATTACAATTTCTTTGCAGATTCTGTTTTTAGTTATCTATGTCATCTGCAAAAATGAAGTAAAATCAGGGTTTTTATATAAAAATTCACAAACAGGGTGCTGGCCCTGCGAATGCACCTCCCATCTCTCCAGCATCAGGGAGCCCAATAGAACAGGCAGCCAGCTGCTGCACTGCACTCTAACACCCGCCACCTGGTGTGTGCCAAAGACACCCATCCTGGGAGCTCCTCCCAGACAGTGGCTGTGCACAGTGGAGACACTGAGGCATGGCTGCTGCTGGGACGCATTGGACATCCCTGATGGACAACTGTGCTCTGGGAGGCACCAATGGTCTTCCTGGACTTATCTTGGACCACAGGGTTGTTAGGGAAGGTCCATCAAACTCCCTTCCCTCTCCAGTACTAGTGGTGAGATTGACATTCTGGGGTGACAGTATCTACAGCCCCGCCTGGCCTCCTGTGCATTTTTTGCTTCCATTACTTACATCTGCTTTGGGACAAATGAGAATGTTTCCTCTTCCTATAATAAACTTTTCTAATCCAGAGATGTCAGGGGTGGCCACAGAAACATAAATGTCCAGAGGCTCCGAGGGGAACTGGTAGATGCAGAGGAGGCCACAGACCCTGAAGGAAAGCAGCCCATGATAACCATCTGTACCTGCCCTAGAGCTGCCCGTTTTCAGTGGGTCCTGAGTGCCCCTTTTAGCCCAGCCTCCTCCCTTGTCATTGCAGGAAACTGTGTCTGTGTTCACACTGATGTCCTCTTACCTGGTGCCTCACATACAGTAACACACAGCTGTGCCCTCTGCTCTCAGACTGTTCATTTGCAAATACAGTGAGTTCTTGGCATTTTCTTTGGAGATGGTGAATTTGCTCTTCACAGATTGGGCATAACATATCTGACTTCCATCACACTGTATATCTACTACTCACTCCAGCCCCTTCCCTGGAGCCTGGGAAACCGAGCTCATTCAGTAGCTACTGAAGGTTAATCCAGAGTCTGCACAGGAGAGTCTCAAGGATCCCCCAGGTTGTCTTGGGTCCTCTCCGGACTCCACGAGCTGTACCTCTCACTAGACACCTGCAAACTCGTAGACATCCTGGTCAGAAACTCCCAGACATAATCCACCATTTCTCTCAAGGGTATCCACTCACGCTCAATCTCTCTAGTTCACCTTTTAAAACAGCAACAGTGAAAACCCAGCTCAGCCCAAGCTCCATGGTGGGTCCTCTGTCTTTAGTCCTGATCACCAAATAGAAACCCCTGGGAATCCCAGGGCTGGCGCTTCTCTCCCAGAGCTGTGGGGTCAG
Source organism: Homo sapiens (assembly GCF_000001405.40). Classification (NCBI taxonomy): domain Eukaryota; kingdom Metazoa; phylum Chordata; class Mammalia; order Primates; family Hominidae; genus Homo; species Homo sapiens. The sequence continues at coordinate 106,369,637 of NC_000014.9, forward strand.
GACTGGGCTGGTTTTCATCAGCAGAGGGAGAAACCTATTTGCATGTCTCCTACTGTATAGCAAGCTCTGGGATGGGAATCCTGAGGAGGCGCAGGGCTCAGAGCAGACAAAGTGCCCTGGGGGAGATTGGTAGTCATCTTATCACTCAGGAAAATATCATTATATTATATGATTGTGCCTTGATAATCATTTAGCAGTCGTCATCTTCTTTTTGACATATTTGTAGAATACATTTAATGCAAGTGTCAATGTTACATTTTAAGGAAGATAAATTACATATGGAACAGTGTTTATACAATGTGTTCAAGGTCACACAGCTGGACAGTATTAGCCCCATTATCCATGCCTGTGTCTCTGACCACTAGAGGAGACTGCTCCCCTGAGACAACTCCAGGGCAGTGTGGGACACGCCTAGTGAGGTTTGCAGGATTCCACCCCCGCCAGGACATCTCTGTTTTCTTTTAATGTATTCTGCTCTTTACCTAAAGTATACAGAGAAAACCAGTGTTCAAGCATGTGTACTTTCAAGAGTCTGAGATGTTTTGAGTGTTCATACCCATCTATTTTTTGCTCCTCCTCAACCAACATATTCATTTGTTTCTTTGTTACTGCTTTAAGTACAATTAATAATTAATTCAAATCTACACTGCACCATTTGGAAAATGGTAACGTATGTGTGCAAACTTTAATCAGGTTGTGTACAATTAAGTTAACCCCTAAATCTTTCTGTCACTTCTCTGTAATTTCATCTCACCACCCAATTACTTTCAACACCCATTTCTCCCAAATTTCAAATCTGCTCTGTTACTTTAGAATAGTTGTACCTTCTGCAGTTTATACAATTAGAAGTTTATGAAGTGCACTCTTAATTCTTCAGCTACTTTCACTCAGCAGAGTTATTTGAGAATGTAGACATGCTTTTATGAGAATGAGGATGCCTTGATTCTAATTCTGCATTGTACTTTAGTCCATAATCATATGTCAAATTTTTTAACGTTCACCTGTAGTGGATATGGATATTTGATTTGTTCCCTTAGTTTCTGGCTTTTATATAGAAAGTGGCTACTCAGCGTGCAAATGTGAAAAATGAGGAAACTATGATCTTATTCTGACCTCCTTAACAGTAAACCTGAAAAACTGAATAAATGAAGAAGAAAACCTTTTAACATATCTGAGCTGCTTTCACAGAGCTAACGAGAAGACTGAAATGTGAGGAGAGAGATGCCAGCAGAGAGGACTGGGGCCCACATGTTCGTGAACCCAGGGCAGGTGCCACTGGATGGCACTGAGAGAGGAACAGGCTAACCTGGAAATATTTAGTGAGGTTTCTTTTTGGATACATGTGCTAATGGTATTAGAGTGTGAATCTACTAGTCCTTGCAGGCTTTTCCCAGGAATTTGAAAAATCCACAGTCAACTCCCTTATCTGCTGTCCTGTGGTGCTGACAGGAAGGGAAGAACAGCGAGGACTGTTGAACGCCTGGATCCACCCCCACTATTTCCAGGGGAAATCCAATAAAACCTGTATCCTATGGGGGTGTGGTGGAGTCAACAGAAACTAAAGAAAACAGAAAATTCCCAAAGAACTCCATCTAGAAGAAATTCTTAATCTGCAGGGTAAGTACAATGGAGGAGAAGCTGAGAACACTGGTGAGAAACCATTGTGGTTGGGAAGACACTCTACCCCTGGGGGAAGAGGTATGGACAGGAAAATTGGGAAGGTCACCCCCAGAACTATGATTTCTACTCATGCATAAGAAGGAGGCTGATTCAGAAGGTTGGAGAACGTCTCCATTTGTTCAAGCCCCTTCTCCACATGGTCAATAAGTCTGCAGAATAGTGAAGTAGCTACATCAGCTCCATTCTGACCTCTGTCATGTGACAGTTTTTGTGGATTTGCTTTCTGCTCTCTCAAGATTTGTTTCCTCTCTCAAGTCCTAGCTCCATTCTCCTATTCTCAGTTTATTGAAGAGATTCATATTTAGCTTAGAACATTACAATTTTTGGAAGAAATTTTCATCTTAAACACACCAAATCTAATGAGCTCTCTCCAGGGGTGCCCATCTGTTTTTTTTTCTTCCTTTCCTATGGGATATGGCCCTTTTTTTCTCCATGAGTCCAGCTCTTATATTCATATGCATGAGGAGTCTAACCATCACACACCCAGAGACATGTTGCAGGAATGGACTCTACCATCCATCTCCTCAGCCCTCATGTGCACAGTGGCCACTCTGTCAGCTGCTGTATGTGCTTTAGGGATTTCCATTTAGAAGTGTCTTTCACTTTCCCCCCAAATAAAGTTCCTTGTCCTTAAATATCTTGACGAGCCAGTCTTCTTTTCTGTCTCTTTGTAGTTAATATTGTTTTATTCCATTAAAATTCATTGCGAACATCAGTGAAAATGGAAGTGACCAGCCATCCCTTCCATTGTCTGACTTCTGCCTGATGGACCCACCCATGAGCTTTACTCCACTGCTCTGCAGCTGATGGGGCCATCTGGACCTTTATTAATAAGAGGTGTGTGATTTATTAGAGAATTACTGAGATCAGCAGGTGCCTGAGCTCCTCAGAACACAGGTGTGGTCCTGAAGTAGAGTGTGTGTGACTGAAATCACACATGTGTATAACTCGTGGCCTCAGCCCATAAGCTGATACCAGATTCTGGCCATTCCTGGGTAGCCTGATGAGGGGTGTCCAGAGAAGGATGGATGCAGGATGTGGATTTTAGAAAGTGATGTGGTGTTTGGGGGCATTGATGGCCAAATTTTAAGTCTATTCTGTCCTTGGTACTTGGGGAAGACTGGGAAGAAAGGAACAAAACTCAGACCCCATGTAGCTCCCCATTTAGGAAGAGATTCAGTGCAAATTTCGAAAGCCGAAGAAATAGACCATACTGCAGGGATCATTTCTGTAGTCCGTTTGAGGTGGTAGAAGAAAAACAGTGATGCTGGTGATGTTGGTGTGGTTTTCTGTGACATACTAAGGAGAACAGAAGATGATCAGTGGCCAATCTCCATCCAGCTGGTACCTATCGTCTATTTGTTATGTCCAAATAAAAGATAAGGGACATTTGTTACACACACACACCAGGGCTGGTTTCAGAGACCATGCTCAAAAATGGCCAACAGAGCCATGACACATTTTTATATGAGAACTACTATTTTTGCCTACTTCACGTGGAAATCTGAGAGATGCAGTGCCCAGCCTCAGGGGGCTGCTTCTCCCTCCAGGAGACAGAGCTAACAGAGTTAGGTGGTATTAGTCAGTTTGGGTCTTCGTAAGAAGACAACAGGATTGGGTGGCTTAAACAACAAATATTGATTTTCTTACAATTCTACAGTCTGAATGTCGAAGATCAAGGAGCTGGCAAAATTGGTTCTTAGTATGGCTTCTTCCTGGCTTGCACAGGGCCACCTTCTAGTGCACTACGTCTCCACATGGCCTCTTCTCTGTGTGCACGTGAAAAGTGAGAGGTCTCTGGTGTCTCTTCCTCTTCTTATAAAGACAACGGTTTATTGCATTAGGGTCTCACACTTTGACCACATTTAACCTCAATTACATCATTAAAATTCCAGTATAGATCCATTGGATTTAAGGTTTCAGTAAGTTAATTTCAAATAGGGCACAATTCGATTGATGAAACAAATCAAGAGATGGTGAGAATCCATATATGGCAAAATGAGTCATGCAGGAACTTGTAGGAAAGTTTCTAGTAATTGGTGAAACCTCAACAGTAAACAGAAAAATTGTCTTCCTCCTTTCTTCCCTGCCACAAGGATGTGAGGAAGCAGAACCACAGATAATAAAGAAAGAGAGTCCTGGGGACATCTGAGGTGCTGGCGAGGAGACAGACCACTGAGCTGTTGAGGAAGCCCCGCCCTCCTTGCACCTGCTCCGGACCCGGCCTCGGGATCTGTGGGCGCCGCGCGCCACCTGCTGGTCTTGAGCAGTACCTGCGCCCGCCCCCTCTGCCTACCTGCAGGGAGGTTTTTGTCTGGGCTCACACTCACCTCCCCTCACTGTGCCTCTCGCACAGTAATACACAGCCGTGTCCGCGGCGGTCACAGAGCTCAGCTTCAGGGAGAACTGGTTCTTGGACGTGTCTACTGATATGGTGACTCGACTCTTGAGGGACGGGTTGTAGTTGGTGCTTCCACTATGATTGATTTCCCCAATCCACTCCAGCCCCTTCCCTGGGGGCTGGCGGATCCAGCTCCAGTAGTAACCACTGAAGGACCCACCATAGACAGCGCAGGTGAGGGACAGGGTCTCCGAAGGCTTCAACAGTCCTGCGCCCCACTGCTGTAGCTGCACCTGGGACAGGACCCCTGTGAACAGAGAAACCCACAGTGAGCCCTGGGATCAGAGGCAGCATCTCATATCTTCATATCCGCATTCCTGAGACACTCACATCTGGGAGCTGCCACCAGGAGGAGGAAGAACCACAGGTGTTTCATGTTCTTGTGCAGGAGGTCCATGACTCTCAGAAAGCACTTCCCATGTGAGCTGGACCCTGAATTTAAGGAAATGTGTAGTCATTTCCTGTGGGTGCCTAAGTGAGGATTTGCATGTGGGTGGTGCCTTTGTATGGATAGGTAAAAAGGGATGAGGGAGGCCCCAGTCTTTTGGGCTCACCCTGGGAGGTGTATGCTGGCTGTGCCCTCTGAGAACTCAGTTCTCTTCCTGTGGCCTCCCCTCACCAAACCCAGAGTCCTCTTCTTCCAGGTAGGAAATGTGCTGAAGGAGCTGGTCTGGGAGACAAGTGTGATCATGGATCAAAGACAGATTTTGGAATACAGTTAATACTGTTCTACATTTAAAGATTCATATAACACCAACCATACACCCAGGTCACCTAAATTGTCATTTACCCCTTCAGACATATTGAAACAGCTGCTGAGTGTAATAATCACAGTGAATTGAGACAAACCTGGATCCATGCAATGTGTACTGTAGTTCAGAACATCCATCATGGTTAGAAGGATGCTACCTGTCCCAGGAAGTGGGTTATTTTTAAATAGTACCTGAGAGCTGCCCTTCTGAGACCTTTTGAAATTTGAGATTGTGTGTGAGATCTCAGGAGAAGGTAGTAGAATATATCTCCATCCTTCTCAATGTGTAACCCTGAGAATATGGCCTGACCTCTAAACATTTCTGTGTGAAAAGATGTACATTGGGGATAGCAGTGACAGCTTCAGATGAAAACTCTATAGTACATCAGCACTGGAGGATAGTCTCATCACCAAGATTAGTGAAATTACCTTTCCTGGGAACCAGAGAGGACCTCTGTGAGCTCTACCCTCTGAGAGAACAAGGAACTCTGGTTCTTCCCTGACAGGTCACACCTGTGAAACATGGCTGGACAATGACACTCAAGCCCAGAATTCGTACCCACATATTTACCAATTCAGATCCATCTGTCTCTGAAAGAATTTCTCCTCCGCTGAATTGCAAGAACATACCCTAGGGTGTGCAGTATTGCAACTTGGGCATTTCACATTAGTTTGGTGAATTATATAATACACAAAATATCTCCATGGATGTTGTAACAGGAGAGTCATCAGAAGCTGGTTGTGTTGTATAATCTGGATAAACCTGGGCTCTCTTCTTAGGAGCTGAACAAGTGGGCTGGCCTTCTATGAGACGACAGAGGGAAAGAGACAGACTCAATATCCAGAGCGAGGTGAGCTCCTTACCTACCTACCAGGTGGTCTCTGGGCCATTTGTTTGAGCAGACCCAGAAGTACCTTCCTCACCCTCAGGAGAATTATGAACATTGAGAGAAACTGAGATACTTTTTTTATTTACAGGGAATATTTCATCGGCGTGTAGACATCTACGTGGGTGTGTACAGGGATGCTAGGATGTGCTCATACACAGAAGAGCAAGAATTATATTTCGTGGAAAGAAAACCAAAGAGCTTCTGAATTTGTAGGTATTGTTTGCTGCAAATGTGTCAGGTCACTAGATCATGTTATGCTGCTAGAAGAAAAACTTCCCAACATTGTCATGGAGACAAAATGCAAAACAGTAAAGATTCAACTGAGATTCCCTTGAAAATCACCAGTAATGAACAGGCCAAAAGAAATCAACCATTGTGGAAAGAGTGGTCATTAAGTGAAATAGCAAATTCCATGTTGCAGTGAGAAGGAAGATCCATCTGACAGCTCATTTTCACCTCTACAAAGACTTCAGAACATAGACTAAGAGCAGAGCGTGAACTTAGGGCAAACAGAGGCCAGATGTTTGAGGAGGTTGGAGAGTGAGCTGGAGTCATTGTGAGCCATTCAGAAAAGCAGAGTGTTCCAGGGTGTATTGAGTCCTCCTGAGTTAAGAGGTGCTGAATATACGCAAGTTTCACTGCCCTCATTGCGTTTTATTCTCTAGACTCTCTTGGATGTCCAGATTTGAACATGTGGAGTGTTGATGGAACTCAACATAACTAGGAACTTTTCAGTGAAGGTGTAGGTAACAATGTGGGTATAATTAAATTCGGTTTATGAAAATATTATTATCCGAAATGTCAAAGTCAGTATCTATTAATTTATCTTTCTTTTGTATTTTACAGACAAGATTATTCTGTTGCCCAGGCTGGAGTGCAGACTCACCTATTAATTTAACAGCATAAAAACGATCAGTCCAATTTACGTAGTCCTGTAATCTCCATCAAGGATTTAGGTCCATGTGGCCTGTGACAGAGCTCTAGTCACAGAGGGAAGAGAGTGGTTTGTTGGGTTGATGCTGCTTCTTCAGAGGGGAATTTAAACAACTCCTCACCTCATCAAGTCTATTTTTATAACTGTGCAAGACCCTTGGGAATGCACTCACCATTTCTTACATAATGGGAGTTGACTGTGTCATGAAGGTAACACGAAGATGTGCAAATTTAAAGCCTGGTTACATAACCTGTTGAATTTAAAATGCCTGGAGCCAATCACATTCTGGCATCTTGTTTAATTAGTTCTGAATGTATTTTCAGTTGGTTAGTTCAAGTTCCCATAATTCACTTTCTGCTAAAATAGTCACATACAATAATCTTGAGATATTAAAATAAAAAAACTAATTTGAAAATGAACCCAACTTCCAGGAGAGATGAAAGTTCCTTTGTGGTGAAGGGTTGAAATATGGTTGAACACTGAGGTTGTCTTCACAATTGTTTTAATTAGGGGAACTTCTATACATCCCTTATATTTATTAGAAACTCCCATTGAGAACCTTGAACTAACGTAATTAGTTGATGGAGCACACAACAACAATGCTGAAGGTTATTAAGCAGGAATTGCTATTACAACGTTAGCCTTGCTTTAAAGCACATATTTCTACCTGATGTGAAATTAGCCCAGGTGCGCTGATGAGAGTTTGTCAGTTAATCAAAGACCAGGAAATGGATACACGTGTTTCTGGAGCAGGGCATGGCTTTGGGATGCTTTGCGAAAAAAGTGGCTTCTCACGTCTTTGGGAAAACCCATCAAAATGGGCAAGTTAAGGATCTCTTAGGAGCACCCGTCTATCCCATATTCTTGGCTAATATTAAAGCGGAACTCAATGCAAAATGAGATACTATGGAAGTTCAGAAAACTGCTGTACCACTGCCTCAGCTCAGCACAGCTGCCTCCTTCCTCAGGCTTTCTGAAACTCTCGGGATGTGGGTTTCCACACTGTGTACTTCGCACAGTAATACTCGGCCGTGTCCTCAGCCTTTAGGCTGCTGATCTGAAGACACGCCGTGCTGACAGACGTGTCCATGGAGAAGACAAACCATCCTGTGAAGCCGTGGGTATACGTTGGGTTCCCAGTGTAGGTGATGATCCATCACATCCACTCAAAGCCCTGTCCAGGGGTCTATCATACCCAATTCATACCATAGATGGTGAAGGTGTAACCAGAAGACTTATAGGAGACCTTCACTGAGGCCCCAGGCTTCTTCACCTCAGGCCCAGACTGCACCAGCTGCAGGGAGTGGGCACCTGTGGAGTGGACACAAGAGTGGGTGAAGTCTCACATGACTGGCCTGGTTTCTTCCTCAGCCCTGAGACTGGGGAGCCCCTTACCTGTTGCTGCTGCCATCAAGAAGAGGATCCTTCAGGTCCAGTCCATGGTGAGGAGCTGTGATCTAGGGGCTTCTCCAGAGGAGGGGTGTGGTTGTTGGGTGAGGCTCTCAGGGAACGGAGATACTATAGTCACCTCAGTTAATTGCATATTCATGAAGGATGCTATTTAATAGCCCAATTCCTGACCCAGTATGAGAAACAGACACATGGGTGACACAACTGTAGAAGCTGAGGGTTCAAGCCGTAATCCTGTTAGAGGCCATGTGTCCCCTACACATCCCTGAACTCTGTGTTGACAGAGCTTCCCCCACTGGAGAACAAGCTCCTCAAGGACAGCACCTCACTTTGAAACCACATTTGACTGTCTCAGGGTCAACTTGCATCATTTCTAGACCATAATATGTGAATGCGTTATTTAGGGAATGACTGTGTTTATCCAAAAATTGCATTTATTTATAAGAAAGGATCTCTTCCTGACCTCCAGCAGAGTTTGAAATCCCCATTGTAAAAGTGGTTCTCATTACAACATCCAGTTTGATAAATGCTCACAATTGAATAGATATTTATACAAACTTCAGCAGTCTTTGTGAAATACTTATTTTAGATATTTTTAAAGGAAGTCCCAGGCCCTGGGAGGAACCTCTCCCCAGCCTCCTGTGCACCTGCTCTGGGGCGGGAGCCTGTGCTGGGTGTATCCGGAGCGCCCCCTGCAGCCCAGCCCCAACCATGCAGGGAGGTTTCTATCTGAGCTGACAGAGTATATTCCTACCAGTGTATCCAGCTCAGTATAAAGTGGTTGTGCCCTGGCTCAGAATTCTCCTTTAGGGACACCACATGCTCCTCACACCATCTTTTGAAATAGTGAATTGCCTTTAGGAAACCCAGTGAACTCTGCAGAGAGACTCCAAGAAAAGATCTCATGCATCACCAGGGAGCCCTTTCCTGGAGCTCAAGAGGCACAGAATCATTGGACACACGGTGAACCCAAACACTCTTCAGGGGTTGAGGGGAGACTCTTATTTCCTTTAGGGTCCTACAGTTGATTATGGCACCTGAGAATACCTGCAGGTGCAGGTACATGTGGATAGAAACCCACTCCAACTCTGCTATTCAACTCACACATGCGCGCGCGTGTGTACACACACACACACACACACACACATATATATATATACATCGTGGCTAATTTTTATATTAACGGATCCCATGTTTGCCATTTTTTTCTGGTATCCATCTCATGGAAAGCGCTCCCTACACTGGTACTAAGACTGAATATGTGTCTACTTTCTGTAAACAGAAGTAAAGAAACAGAATACAAGTGGACACTTGGGAAGTGCATGCACATTGAATTCACCTGGTCTCACTTTGGAACCCTGCAGATGCCCCGTGAAAACTAAATTTGAGGCCAATGAGGGTTACATCATTTCATTAGTGGTGAAGTTGCTGAAGTCAGAGGCTTCAAATTGCTTTATTTTTCATAACATTTTTTATCCGATTTTCCTCCTCAGATAGAGTTTGCGAATTGCCACACTCTCATATTTAATCCATATTGACTAAACTGGTGAGACGTAATGCGTGGAACATGGAAGCATTACATGTTCTTACAGTTGCATTTTAATGCTATGGTGATCTTCTTTCTCTGGGCTGTGACCGATGCAAGAAGTCTCCAGGTGTGAAGCTGATTTTTGCTGTTTTCTGGCTGGAACATCACAGGAAAATTTTCTTAAATGTAATCCTATTGGCTAATTTTACCCATTTTCATGACAAAGGAAGGTTGCTGGTAAGGCTTGTAATGGGGATAGATTGCCTTTCGCCACATAGATAAGGATCTAAAAATGTCCTTCGCCTGTTTGTCTGTATGAACAAGGTCAGAGATTTTGGTCTCCTGGTAATAGAGCCATGAATGGATCTTGTGGATTCTCACCCTGAGAACCTAGAGGTTCCTGGAGGAAGGGAGATAAGAGTATGGGGGGCTGGGGCTCCCAGGATCTCTCACCCTCACGCTAGTCCAGACAGGCCCTTTATGTTTATTTAGTTCAGATATATAACAAACCACATAGCCAGGCTCATTTAAATTATCCATCCTCAGTCTATATTGGGGCAGCAGCTGAGTATAATAATTACACTGAACTCAGACAAATCGGGCCCAATCCAATTTTTACTGTAGCTCAGAGCAGCTTTACTGACTCACTTAACTTGGAGATTATTTCTTCCCGGAAAGAACTGTAAAGGTTGCTGTGGAGCCTCTGTAGGGTTGGATTTTTTGCATCAGCCTGTCATGCAGGGTGTTCTGAATGATGCAGACCTTTATACTTAGATGGTAATTATTCCTAGTGATGTGGAAATGGCTGGCAGCCCTCAATTCTGTTTCTTTCTTTTGTTCCCCTGAGTGTCTACAAGAATCCCATGAACCTCAGGACTCTCCTTCAACGGATGACTCTGAAGATTGACAATCAACTCAGTGCTACAAACAGAGGGAGCTAAGTGAGGATTCTCAATTAACTGATATGTTGAGCCAGCAACATAGGACGCATCCAAGAATGAACCATTTTGTCAATGCCTATCAACATTAAATTCGAGATTTATGATTTTCAGTACATTGGAGTTAAAATTTTTATGATTCTTGACAATGAGGTCTCAAACTTGATGGTTTGCAGATGAAACCAACTTGTCATGGTTAGACAGAATCTTCTTTTTCTAGGAAGCTAGTCTTTTAAACTAAAGCACCTGAGAGGTGGTTTCCTGAGATCTTGTGAACATGTATCTATTGGAGAAAAAAATCAGGAAATCTGGTCTCAAATAATTGACAGAAAGCTTATGAAAAATTTTTATCAACACAGCCATGAAACTCCGGTTAGTCATTTTTTTGGTTCTTTTGTTACAACTCAAGAAACAATTAAGAAATCAACACAATCGCAAGCCTACTCCAAAAGAGATCATCTTTCCATACTTCAAAAACAGACCAGTATTCATAGACACTTCTCCATTAGATCTACAACTTACACAGATTTCTGTAACCTGAAGAAGTTTCTCTAAGAAGATTCTTCTCTAGACATCTATGTATGCTAAAATACATTGTGTTTATTTATGATTAATCTGTGCGAGCCCTTGGCACATTAAACAAACTTCATGTAAATGTGATAACTTTATCACTTACTGTGCTCTCACACTTTACTGGTTTCAAAAGTTCATCACCCTTGTGATGGAGCAATAGGTGCCTTTGAGAATATGCTGTTGCTTCAAGCGAACACATTCTAGATCCTCACTTGATTTCATCATTTCATATTGAGTGTAGGTGTGTCTATGACTGAAAACCCAACAGTTTTATCCAACAGATTCTCCTCTTATGAGATCATCCTGAAACCTGCCAACCACCTCCATCATGCATGCTTCCAATCTTTTGCTTTTAGGAAATAAGAGGCATAATCCATCCCTGCTTTAAGGTGAGAGACCTTCCTGACCTTCCATCATATTTAGTAGAAACTCTCATTGAGAGCCATAACAAACATTATTTGTTTACAGATCATACCTCAAAACTGAAACTGTTTTTCATAATGGCTATACCATTCTACATTTTCACAATTATGGAAAGCAGTATAAAGGCTCCTAAATGAATTAAAGCCAGAAATATTGTATGACCAGGAATCCTGTTTCTGGGAGTATATCCAAAGGAGATGAAATTACCACCTTGTGAAGATATCTGCATCCTATGTTTATTGAAACACTATTAATAACAGCAAACATATGGAAAAAATCTGTCAGTAGATAGACAAATGAATAAAGACAATGTGGTATATATGCACAATAGAATATAATGTTATCAAAGAAAGATGCTGCCATTTGCCACGATGGATCGATTTCCATAACCACCAACAGTGCACCCCATCCATTATAGCTTCTCCCTAGAGGATGGCAGGTCCTTATTCAGTAGTAACCACTGGCTGTGGTGGGAAGGCAACTTTTATGAACTGTTGAATTTTTCAGCATATCAATGTCTTAAAATATTCTGCTACATCTGCATTGATAAAGTGGAGTCTAACATTGGAGGTAAAATTAAAAGTGCTGAAGCCATCTAGACACCAAGTCATCAGATGATCCTGGCTGTGTCCTTGAGGGAGTGGAGCATATGTAGTACCATTTGGATTGGGGATTGGTGTGTTTCCAGTTGTAAGAAGAATAATTGTATTATTAGGCATAATTATGACTTTATTCTTGTCTTTATTTGAAGATTATGTATAATCTCAGGAGATGTGTATGGGTTCAAGTTGACAAAGGGTGGACTTGTAATGCTAAATACTGAGTGCCAACTTGATCTCACTGAAGGATGCAGAGTATTGATCCCGGGTGTGTCTGTGTCGGTGTCGCCGAAGGAGATTAACCTTTGAGCCAGTGGGCTGAAAAAGGCAGATACACCCTTAATCTGGGTGGCACAATCTAATCAGCTGCAAGTGTGGCCAGAATAAAAAGTAAACAGAAGAACATGAAAAGATTAGACTGGCTTCGCCTTCCAGCCTACATCTTTCTCCCCTGCTGGATGCTTCCTCATCTCAAACATCGGATTCCAAGTTCTTCAGCTTTGGGACTTGGACTGGCTTGTTTGCTCCTCAGCTTGCAAATGGCTTATTGTGGACCTTGTGATAGTGTGAGTTAATACTCCTTAATAAACTCCGTGTGTGTGTGTGTGTGTATGTGTATCTTACTTGTTCTGTCCCTCTAGGGGACACTGACTAATACAATCTTAATCCACAAGAAATTTTAAAAAAATAGGTGATTAGGAATTCCAGGATGGAATGCAGACTATATAGAAAATATCTTATGCCATTATACTAATGTATGAAATCAAAAGAGGTACTAAGTAGGTTCAGAAATAGTGTAGTCCATAAGATTAAAGAAAAAAGAAACTGCACGTCAGCACTGGACTCCACTTGATGATGTTCCACAAAAGAGCACAACTTACACAATCGGGTTCCACTCTACAGGAATCCTGGAAATGGACTACAAAGGGAATGGATGGTGTGTGGTGGGAGGGGGTTCCCCACGGTTGGAGTGCTAGGTTAGGGAAAGGCATAGAAGGAAGGTGAAAATCATTCATGTGGTATTAACTTAGGGTATCTCAGTGGATTTGCAAGTTTAGCATAATATAGGAACATAAATAAAAACCGTTTAGATGTGGGTATATATATATATGGGTTAATACACAACAAATACTTCCTGTATTGATTACTTGAGATGTTCTACAAGAAATTAACAAAAAGTACATCAAGAATCAAGATATGAGTTTTTAATACTATTCTTCTGTAAAAGGAACCAGCGGCTGGGTGCAGTGGCTCACACCCATAATTCCAACACTTTAGGAGACTGAGGTGGGCAGATCATTTGAGGTCAGGAGTTCAAGACCAGCCTGGCCAATATAGCAAAACCTCATCTCTACTAAAAATACAAAAATTAGCCAGGTGTGGTGTTGCACGTCTGTAATCCCAGCTACTTGGGAGGCTGAGACAGGAGAATCGCTTGAACTTGGGAGGTGGACGTTGCAGACTCTGTCTAAAAAAAATGAAAGAAAATAAAAGAAAAAAGGAACCAGAATTTCTTTGAGAAATGGCTAATGGTAGCACTTCAGAAAAGAATATAGGACGATAGTCTACAATTTCTTATGGTACCAGAAAATGAGAAAGGGTTACAAAACAAAGAATTGCTACTTTTGCATTTTTCTTGTTTGTTGGTCAATCTAGCTAGCAGTCTAACAATTCTGTTCATGTTTTCTGTTTTTATTTTCATAGAATCAGGGTGCACATGTGCAGAGTTGTAACATGAATATATTTCATAAAGGTGAGGTTTGTGCTTCTGATGTAACTGTTACCCCATAGTGAACATTGGAGCCAATAGCTGATTTTTTAACCCTCACTTTCCTCTCACCTTGCCTTCTTTTGCAGTACCCAGTGTCTATTGTTTTTCTCTATGTACATGTGTACCCATTGTTTGCTTTCCAATTATAAAAGAGAATTTGAGTTATTTTATTTAGGAAATGTCCTTCAACTCTATTCATGTTGCTGTGAAAGACACAATTTCATTTTTTATGGCTGCATAGTATTCCATGATTTACATCTATCATATTTTATTTAATCATCCACTGATTGACACTTAGAGAGATTACTTGACTTTTCTATTGAAAATAGTGTTGCAATAAAAATAGGAATGCAGGTGACTTTTTCTTATATAGAAGTTTCCTTTTGGGAGAAACATACCCACCAGGAGGGGTTACTGGGTCAAATGGTAATTCTAATTTTAGTTCTTTGAGAAATTTCTGTATTGTTTTTCATAGAGGTTGTACCAATTTGTATTCTCATCAAGCATATAAAAAGCATTATTTTTCCTATGCTTCTCTGCAAACATCTGTTTTATTTTTAATAGCCATTCTGACTGGTGGAAGATGCTATATCATGTTGTCTGTAATTTACATTTATCAGATGATTTGTGATGCTGAGCATGTTTTATTTCTGTTGAACACTTGTATGTCTTCTTTTGAGAAATATCTCGTTTTTGCTCACTCTTTTATGAAGTTGTTATTTCTAGTTGACTTATTTGAGTTACTTGTAGATTCTATATATTTGATGAATAGACTGCACATTTTTTTTTTTTTACCATTCACAGGTTGTCTGTTCACCATATTGGTTCTTTCTTTTGATGTGTAGATGATCTTTGGTTCAATTAATCCTGTTTGTCTAATTTTGTTTTCATTGCATTTGCTTTTGAAGTCTTAGTCATATTTTATTTGCTTAGGCCAATGTCCAGAGGATTATTTTTAGATTTTTTCAAGTATTTTTATGAGTTTATAAACATTGAATCCATATTCACAGTTAATTTGTGTCTATGATGATACAGAAGTCTCATTTTATTCTTCTACATAAGGCTATCTAATTCTCCCAGCACTACTTATTGAATAGAGGGTTGTTTCTCCAGTGTATATTTTTGTCAGTTTTGTCAAAGAACTGTTGGTTGTAGATATTTGGCTATATATCTGGGCTCTTGATTTTTTTTCTACCACTACCATGCTGCCTTTCTTATTATCTTTGTGCTGTGTAATTTGAAGTCAGGGAATGTGGTACTTCCAGCTTTGTTCGTTTTGGTTAGGACTGCTTTTGCTATTCAGAGTGTTTTTCGGTTCTATATAAATTTTAGGATTTTTAAAAATACATAATTAATTAGTTACTTGATAGAAATTGCATGGACTCTGTATATTGCTTTGGGCAGTGTATTAGTCTATTTTACACTGCTATAAATTAATACCTGAGGCCAAGTGATTTACAAAGACAAGAGGCTTATTTGGCTTACAGATCTGCAGGTTGTGTGAGAAGCATGGCACCAGCATCTGCTTCTTGTGAGGGCCTCAGGAAGCTTACAGTCATGGTGGAAGGCAAAGGGGGAGAAGGCTGTGTCATATTGTGAGGAGGGGTTACATGAGAGGGTAGCAGGATTGCAAGACTCTTTTGAACAATCAGATCTCACAGTAGCTAATACAGCAAGAATTCACTAATTACCATGGGGTGGATGCCAAGCCAGTCCTGAAAAATCTTTCCCCATGACCCAAACCACCCAGTTGGCCCCACCTCCAACATTGTGGGTCACATTTCACCATGATATTTGGAGGGGAAAACCCCTAAATTATATCATTGCACTCTCGGACCCAAAGTTCTCATATTCTTCTTACATTGCAAAATATAATCACCTTTTTTCAATAGTGCCCAAAATCTTAACTTCATCAACGTCCAACTCAAATTTTCAAAGTCTCATCTGAGTCTTAAGGCAATGTCCCTCCAGCTGTGAGCTTGCAAATTTAAAAAATAAAAGTTGTTTACTTCCAAGGTGCAATGATGATGCAGGCATTGGGTAAATAATTCCAATCCCAAAGGGATAAATTGGCCAAAGGAACAACCAACAGGCCCCACACACATATAAAACCCAGCACTGCAGATATTAAATCCTAACGCTACAAAATAATCTCTCTTGACTTTATGTACTTCAACCAGGGCACACTGGAACAAGGATTGGGTCCCCAAAACCTCAGGCAGCCAATCCCTATAGGTTTGCTAGGCACAGACCACGGGGCTGCCTTCACAAGTGAGAGTCAAGTGCTGGAAGCTTTTCTAGGCTGAGGGTGCAAGCTGCCCGTAGCTCTACCATTCTGGGGTCTTGAGGGTTGTGGCCACATTCCCACAACTTTACTATGAAGTGCCCTAGTGGGGACTCTGAATGGGGGCTCCAACTCCATCTTTCCCCATCTTTGGCACTGCTCTAGTAGAGGCTTTCTGTGGTGGATCCACTCCTGCAGCAGGCTTCTTCCTGGGCATGCAGGGCTCTCTACACATCTGAAATCTAGGTAGAAGCTGCACAGGCTCCTTCACTCTTGCATTTTGCATACCTGCCAGAATCCAGTTATCCCAGAACCATTTACTGAACACAGAGTTTTTTTTTTCCATTGCTTGTTTTTGTCAGCTTTGTCAAAGATCAAAGGGTTGCAGGTGTGCAACTTTATTTCTGTCTTCTATTTTGATCTATTTTTTTTCCTGCAGGTCTGCTTTCGTACCAGTACAGGCTGTTTTTGTTAGCAAGACGTTATGGTGTAGTTTAAGGTCAGTATCATGATGCCTCTGGCATTATTCTTTTTCCTTAGGATTGCTTTGGATATTCAGGGTCTTTTTTGGTTCCATATAAATTTTAGAATAGATTTTTTTCTGATTCTGTGAAGAATGATGATGATAGTTTTATGTAAATAGCATTGAATCTGAATTCCTTTGGGCATTATGACAATGTTTACAATATTGATTCTTCCAATCCATGAGCATGAAATGTTTTCCCATTTATTTGTATCATTTATGATTTATGTATGCTGTGTTTCATAGTTCTCCTTGTAGGGATCTTTCACTTTGTTATCTGTATTCCCGGGCATTTCATTTTCTTTGTGGATACTGTAAGTCGAATAGGATTGTGTTCTTGATTATACTCTCAGCTCGGATGTGGTTGGCTTATAGAAATGCTGGTAATTTTTGTCCATTGATTTTGTATCCTGACACTTTACTAAAGTTGTTTATTCTAGAATTATTTTGGCAGAGTTTTTAGGATTTTCTAGATATAGAATTATATCATCAGTGAAGATGGACGGATTGACTTCCTTTCCTATTTGGATGCTGTCTTAGTCCATTCTCGCACTGTAAAGAAACACCCGAGACTGGGTCATTTATAAAGATAAGTGTTTTAATTGGCTCATTTAGTATGATGTTAACTGTGGGTTTGTTGTAGATGGCTCTTATTCTGAAGTATGTTTCTTTGATGTCTAGTCTGTTGAGGGTTTTTATCATGAGTAGATGTTAGATCCTATCGGAAGCTTTCTCAGCATCTATTGACATAATCATATGCTTTTTGCTTTTATTCTGTTTACATTGTGAATCAGAGTTACTGTGGATATTGAACGAGCCTTGCATCCCAGGGGTAAAGCCCACCTGACCATGATGTATCACATTTTAAAGTGCTTCTGGATTCAATTTGATGGTATTTTGTTGAGGACTTTCAGGTCTATGTTCATCAGGACTATTGATCTCATATTTTTTTTGTCATTATGTCTCTCCTGATTTTGTGTGCCAAGAGCACACAGTAGAGAAAGGACAGTCTTTTCAATAATGGTGTAAAACTGGCATTCATATGCAAAAGAAATAAAATTAGGCCTTCTCTAACTCCATATAAAAAAATCAACTAATAGGCCGCGCGCGGTGGCTCACGCCTGTAATCCCAGCACTTTGGGAGGCCGAGGCGGGCGGATCACGAGGTCAGGAGATGGAGACCACAGTGAAACCCCGTCTCTACTAAAAATACAAAAAAAAATTAGCTAGGCGCGGTGGCCAGCGCCTGTAGTCCCAGCTACTCGGAGGCTGAGGCAGGAGAATGGCGTGAACTCGGGAGGCGGAGCTTGCAGTGAGCCGAGATCGCGCCACTGCACTCCAGCCTGGGCTACAGAGCAAGACTCCGTCTCCCAAAAAAAAAAAAAATCAACTAAAAATGGACATAATACCTGAAGCCATAAACTCATAAATGACATGGAGCAAAAAAAATTCCTGCCATTAATTCGGAACTGATTTCTTTGAATTTAATAACAAAGCACAGGAAAAACTATGTGCAATTATGGATCTGACAAGAAGTTCTGTCCAAATGTATAAATAACCCATACACCTCAACAGCAAATAACAAATGAACTGATAAAAAAGGGCAAAAACCTGGATAATTTTTTTCAGAAGATACATGCATGGCAAACAGAAAACGAAAAAGTTCTCAACATTCCTAATTATCAGAGGAATTCAAATGAGAAGCACAATGCAATATCAACTCACACTAGTTAATATGGCTATTATCAGAAATGTAACAGATGACAAATGTTGGCAAGAATGTGGGGGAAAGGGAAATATCCTGTGGTAGGATTGGTTACTTGATAAGTTAAAAATAAAGCTATCATATAATCTGGTGATCCCACTTCTTGTTATATATGCAAAGGAAATAAAATTACTTTGCCAAAGACATGTTCATTGCAAGATTATTAATAATAGTGTAGATTTGTAAAATAATTTAATGACTGTAAATGGATGAATGTATAAAGAAAATGTGTATACATACATCTGTATTTTGTTTGGCTTTGAAAAGAGGGAAATTCTGACATTTGCAACAACACGGATGGGCCTGGAGGACATGATGCTGAGTTGAATAAGCCAGATGCAGAAAGACAAATGCTGCATGATCTCATTTACATGTGGGATCTAAAATATTCAAGCTCTTGAAAGCAGAGAGTAGAATAGTGGGTCCCAGGACCTGGGAGGTGAGGGAAATTGGGTGATGTGTGTTAAATTGTACAGAGTTTCAGTTGTGCAGGTTGGATGAGTTCTGGAGATCTAACGTACAGCAATGGTCCTATAGTTAATACTGTATTGTAAAAATGATTGTTGCTGAAAGGGTAGATCTTAGGTGTTCTCATCAGACACTCACTCATGCAGTAAATTAAAAAAAATAATAAAATGGTAGCGCTGTGAGGTGATAGAAATACAAATTACCTGACCACCATGCGTATTTCACAATGTGTATCTGATATGGTTTGGATTTGTGTCCTGCCCCAAATCTCATGTTGTATTATAATCCCCAGTTGTGAAGGGGTGACCTGGTGGGAGGTGACTGGGTCATGGAGTGGGTCTTTCATGAATGGTTTAGAACTGACTCCTGGTGCTGTTCTCATGAAAATGTGTGAGTTCTCACAAGGGAATCCCCTTGAGGTTACTGTCCTGAGTCTGACTGGAGAAGACTCACCAGGCACCCCTGAGCTTCCTCACGACTCTGATGCTGGTGACCATGGTTGAGGACCTTTCATTCCCATAGGTGGCAATATACATATTGTGCATGTGAGAACGAGTCCTCATATACAATGATTAAAAAAATGTAGAGATGACATTGGTGGGCACAGAAATCTAAAATTAAAGAGTTTCCCTAGAGAAACTGTCAGAAGCAGAGGAAGTCCCAAATCCTGACAGGAAACAAACCCCAGCCTCCATGTGCACCTGCTCTGGGGTTGACTCTGATGAGTGGGTCCTGAGCGCCCCCTGCAGCTGATTTCCCCCAACGTTCCTGCAGGAGGTTTGTGTCTGGGCTCACACTTCCGACCTCTCACAGTGTTTCTCACACAGTAATACACAGCCGTGTCCTCGGCCCTCAGGCTATTCGTTTGCAGATACAGGGTGTTCCTGGAATTGTCTCTGGAGATGATGAATCGGCCCTTCACAGAGTCTGCATAGTGCGTCCTACTGCCATTCCAACTAACACCCGATACCCACTCCAGCCCCTTTCCTGGAGCCTGATGGACCCAGTTCATGTCACTGTTACTGAAGGTGAATCCAGAGGCTGCACAGGAGAGTCTCAGGGATCCCCCAGGCTGTACCAAGCCTCCCCCAGACTCCACCAGCTGCACCTCACACTGGACACCTGCAAACACAGAGACACCCTGGTCAGAAACTGCCACACAAATCCACTGTTTCTCTCACTCATGTCCACTCACTCAATATCCTTAGTTCTTCATGAATCACCTTTTAAAATAGCAGCAAGAAAAACCCAGCTCAGCCCAAATTCCATGGTAATTTGTTTGTTGCTGATGACAAAGTGGAAACACCTGAGAATCCCAGGGCTGGTGCTTCTCTCCCAGGGCTGCAGGGTCAGGACTGGGCTGCTTTTTATCAGGAAAGGGGGGGCCCTATTTGCATGTCTCCTATTTCACAGCGAGCTCTGAAGTGGGACACCTGAGGAGAGGACTGAGCCCAGAGTAATGAGAGTGAAACAACAAGCCTGAACAACTACAAATAAAGAAAAAAAAACACACTTGAACATATCAGAGTTGATGTCACAGAGCAAACATAAACTGTAAATTTGAGGAGATATAGCTTGGCAGGGAGACCCAGGATGCATATATGAGTGTGCCTGGGGAAGGTGCCGCTCCATGGCATTTAAGCTAACCTCAAAACATTTAGAGTTCCTTGAGGATGTACGCATTAATGGTGCTAGAGTGTGAAGCTTCTAATGCCATGTGTTGTTGCAGGCTTTCCTTACGAAGTTGGGAAATATCCCAGATGACCACACACTCACCCAAGGTGACCTCACACATCCCCAAGGTCACCTCACATATGCCCTGAATCACCTCACGCATCCCCAATTTCACCTCACATGTGCCCTGAGTCACCTCACACATCCCCAGTGTCACCTTACACATCCTGCAGGTCACCTCACACATCCACCAGGTCACCTCAAACATTTCCCAGGTCACCGCACATATACCCCACATCACCTCAGACACACCCTGGTCACCTCATACATACGTCAGGTCACCTCACGCTCACCCAAGGTCACCTCACACATCCCGCAGGTCACCTCGTAAATCCCCCAGGTCACCACATACATGCACCAGTTCACCTCACACATTCCTCAGGCACTTCACACCTGCCCCTGTTCACCTCACACATCCCCCAGGTAACCTAACACATGCACCAGGTCACCTCACATGCACCCAGGTCACTGCACACATGCCCTTTGTCACCTCACACATGCCCCAGGTCACCTCACGCATTCCCCATGTCACCTCAAACGGTCCCAGGTCACCATACACATTCCACAGGTCACCTCACATGTGCCCTAGGTGACTTCACCTGTACCCACCTCACACATTTCCAGGTCCCCACAGATGCCCCAGGTGACCTCATACCTCCTTAGGTCACCTCACACACACCCACATCACCACCAATCCCCGATGTCACCTGACATGTGCCCAAGTCACCTCACACACACCCCCAGGTCACCTCACATCCATCCTGGATCACCTCACACTCACCCGAGGTCAGCTCACACATATCCCCCACGTCACCTCACATGTGCCCCAAATCACCTTACATGCATCCACGTCACCTCACACTTGCTCTGTGTCACCTCACAAATCCCCCTGGCTTACCCGACATATCTCCCATGTCCCCTCACATGTGTCTCTGGTCACCTCATATGTGCCGTGTTCACCTCACACATACCCCCAGGTAATCTTACACAGCCCCCAGGTCACTTCACCTTCATACAGGTCACCTCACACATGCTATGATACATGTATATATTATGGAATTGTTAATCAAGCTATTTGACATATCCATCACCTCACACAGCTATCATTTCATTCTTTTTTTTTTTTTTGAGTTGGAGTCTCACTGTCACCCAGGCTGGAGTGCAGTGGCATGATCTCAGCTCACTGCAACCTCTGTCTCCCGGGTTCAAGCAATTCTCCTGCATCAGCCTCCCGAGTAGCTGGCATTACAACCGCGTGCCACCACACCTGGCTATTTTTTGTGTTTTTAGTGGAGACGGGGTTTTGCCATCTGGCCAGGCTGGTCTTGAACTCCAAACCTTGTGATTCGCCCGCCTCAGCCTCCCAAAGTGCCGGGATTACAGGTGTGAGCCACCGCGCCCAGGCTGTATCATTTCTTAGTGAGAAAATTTTTAACATTTGCATTTTTAGCCATTTTGAAATATATAATGCATTATTAGCCATATTTTCCATCTTGTGCATTAGAACACTGTAACTTTCTCCTTCTGTCTAACTGGAACATTTCACCCTTTGACCAAAATCTCGCCTTTTCCAGTCCACCCCTCCAGCCCCTGGTAACCAACACTCCACTCTACTTCTGTGAGTCTACCATTTAAACAAACTACAGTGAAATCGCGAATTACTTGTCTTCTGCGCCTGCCTGTGGAACTTCACATATGGTCCTCTAGAGTCATGCCTGCTGTTGCAAATGCAGGATTCCCTTCTTATTTTAGGATGAACATTACTCCATTGGGTACATACTACATTTTCTTTAGTAATTCATCCATTTATGGTAATTTAGGATGTTCCCACATCATTACTATCATAAATATTCCTGCAATGAACGTGGGGGCACAGATGTCTCTTTGACATACTGATTGCACTTCCTGTGGATACATAGCCAGTAGTGGGCTTGTTGGAAACTATGGTAGTTCTATTTTTATTTTTTGAGGAACCTCCATAGTATTCTCCATAATGTCTGTACTAATTGACATTTTCAGTAACAATATATATAGGCTCCCTTTACTCCACTTCTGCCCCAATACTGGTTATCTTTCATCTTCTTTAAAAATAGCTATTCTAACAGGTATGGGGTGATAATTTATTGTAGATTACATTTGAATTTTAAAAATTATTACTCATATTTAACATTTTATATATCTATATGTCATTTGTATGTATTTTTTGAAAAATGTGTATTCAAGTCATTTGCCTATTTATTAATAGGATCGTTTTGTAGTTGTTCTTGTCCTCACAAGATACGGCATCAGCTGCATGTATCCTGGACTCATTGCCACTGCACACCCCAGACCCAATGCCACCATGAACGTACTGGACTCAAGGATACTGCAAACTCCAAAATTGGTGTCCCCAAAACAGGAGCCCCTGAACACACCAAAGCAGCATCTCTGCATGTACCTAAACAAGGGATGCACACAATGCCACCACAGTAATACACAGACCTATCCTCGGCTCTGACGCTGTTCATTTGCAGATACAGTGATTTCTTGGCATCATCTCTGGAGAGGGTGAATCGACCCTTCACAGAGTCTGCATAGCTTGTGCTACCTACACAACAACTCATAAATGAGACCTACTCCAGCCCTTTCCCAGGAGCCTGATGGACCCAGCTCATCCAGTACCTAATAAAGGTACTAAAGGTGAATCCAGAGGCTGCAAAAGAAAGTCTCAGGGACCCCCAGGCTATAACAAGCCTCCCAAAGACTCCACCAGCTGCACCTCACACTGGACACCTGCAAACACACACAGACACCCTGGTCAGAACCTGCCACACATATCCACTGTTTCTCTCACTTGTGTCCACTCACACTCAATATCTCTAGTTCTCCATGAGTCACCTTTTACATTAGCAACAAGGAAAACCCAGCTCAGCCCAAACTCCATAGTGAGTCCTCTGTGTTCAGAGACCTGACCACCAAATGGAAACCCCTGGTACTTCTGGACTGGGGCTCTTCTCCCGTAGACGCAGGCAAGGCTGGTTTTCATCAGGACAGTGAGGGCCCTATTTGCATGTCTCCTCCTCTATAGCAAGCTCTGGGGTAGGACACCAGGAGAGCCGTGTCCAGAGCAGATGTGAGATTCCTGGAGGAGCTTAGTGTCAATGACAGCATTTGGGAAAATATAATTTCTTATTATGTGATTTTGCCATTAAAATTACTTAGCAATTATTATTTCATTTATTTTTTACATATTTGTACAAAAATAAATATAACTGCATTAAGCAAACCTTAAGAGATATGGAGAGATAAATAGAAAATAATAAAAATTAGGAGAAGACTTTAGCACCTCACTTTCAATGATGGATAGAACATCATTAAGAGAATTCTTAAGAAGACAGTGGACTTGAACAACACTATTGAACAAATTGACCTAATAGACATCTACAGAACCTTCCAACCAAGAGCAGTGTAATATGTATGCTTCCGAAGCAAAGACTAAATATTCTCCATGATAGGTCACATGTTAAGTAAAAAAAGGACTCTCAACATTTAAAGAAGTAATGCCAACCATTCTCTAACTTTTTCAAAAATTGGTGAGATGCCAACCTTCCAGTCTTTCTATAAGGCCCAAATTACCGTATTTTCAGTAATAGACAAGGTCACAAAAAAGTAAACTACAGACCAATATTCCTAGTAGACATAAATGAGCCCCCTCCACACACCAAATAATAGTCAACTAAGTTCCACAGGACTTTAGAAGGATCATACACCATGACCAACTCAAATTTATTTTTGAGATGCACAGATGATTCAAAATCCTCAAATCAATACATTTGGTATGCCAAATTAAATACGAAGAAGGTCCCATTAACTTCTCAGACAGAAAATAACATTAAAAAAATTCAAGGTTTCACCATAAAAACTCTACCCAAAATAGAAATACAAGAAAATAACCTAAACACAATAAAATTCATTATGAAAAGCCATAGCTGTTATCATACTTCATGGTGAAATGTTAAAATATTTTGTCTAATATCTGCAAAAGGGCAAGAATAAACTTGGAGGCATTTTACTCTCAGACTTCAAAATTAATTACAAACATAATCAAAACAGGATGGTACTGGCATAAATACATATAGAGAGCTCAGAAATAAACCCACGTATTGATGGCAAACTCATTTTCAAGTTGAGAACCAATATGAAGGCAAAGTGATTTATAACATTTTCTACACAACGGCTAAATCATACTCTCCCCTAAAGAGGGTGTTAAACAAACTGGGTTTTCACTTGCAAATAGTTAAGAATATTAGGTTAGAATAAACACAAAAAATCAACTCTAGATGGGTTAAACAGTTAAATGTATAGCCTGCAATTGTAAAATTCTCTCCCACCAAAAGGTTAGCAATGATTTCCTAAATTTAAGATTAAAAGCACAGACAACAAAAGCAGAATTGAAGGACTGGAACTACATCAAAATATAAAGATTTTGCAAAGCATGGAAAAAATTCCAAATCTACAGAATGGGAGAATATAGTTGCAAACCAGGCATCTGAAAAAACTGTTAATATTTAAAACATACATGTAACTTCTACAACTCATTAGCAAAATCATGACAGCCTGATTGTAAAACCATCAGTTTTATACGTAAAAAAAATTAAGAATTGTAGATGTCATGTTAAAGATTCTCCATGTATAATAGTCTGCTTTACGATATACTTGGCTCGGCTATACTTTGTAGTTATTCAAACACTAATCTAAGTGGTGTTGCAAATTTGCTGTCTAGATATTTAACCTGTCATCAGTTGACTCTAGGTTAGGTAGAGTGTCATTCATTACACAGGTGGGCCTGATTCCATCAGAGCAGAACTAAAGATGAAATTCTATGGTGATTCAGCAGCTTCAGCTCTGAGACTTACAGCCTGCACTTATTGAGGGTCAATCTTATGGACATTGTACTTCCCCAGCCATGCCTCAAAACTGTCATCCCCTAAGTCTTACAGAAACGTGATGTGTCCATCTGCAGCTTGTCAAATCTGAATAACAGACAAAAAGAGACTCTAAAGTAAAATGATAATTATTTGAAGATGGACATTGCAATGGGAACATGCATGGGTTCACTCAGGCAGGTAAAGAAAGATAAAGGTTTAAAGAAAAATGAGGAGGGTTACATAAGCTGTTTTGAGACAACTTCTCCGGGATAGAAGAATCAATAACAAGGGTGGCATCAGTCCAATCTTACACAGAGAGCTGCTGGGAAGATTACTCAGAGAAGTAATTCTTTTAAGGTTGTGGGCACCTTTGTGCAAGATTGTGGTTTTAAGAGTCTATTTACGATAGTTCTTGGTATCAGGGATATGAGCATGAGAACATTCCGTCACGGCCTTTCCCAGCTTCATTCAGCAGAGTTTTAACACAAGTGACCCAATTTTGATTCTGACAACTTTCTCAAGTTCTTTCTAACACTATTGTTTCAGAAAGTGACTCTGTGACAGTTTGTACAGCACAGGGTGAATTCCATATTTGTATCTCATTTTGACCAAACAAGCTTGTCCCCTTCAGCTCCCACTGGCCACATCTATTCTGAGATGAGTCTCCACACAATATAGTGGAGGGCCCTGAGCAATGGGAGAGAAGAAAGTCCCATCAGCCTCCCCAGCGTGGCTGCAGGAGCCACAACCTGAGACCCACCTGAGCTCCAAGAAAAGGGCTTGAGCCCTGGAATTTAGACCACAGAGACAACATCTTTCTTTTTTCAGGGAGCAGGAAAAGCAAATGAAAAAGGGACAACTCAAGAAAGAACACAGATTGGGAGCAAAAGCAGCACCAGATCAGTATTGATGCTGATTTGCACACTTTAGTGTCAGGAGAAGGGTCAGATGTGAAACCTGTGAGGTTCTACATGACACTGACCCTGGCTCAGTCTATTTTTTTTAAAATCCATAAAGCCTGTTCTAGTCATGGAATCTCACTGAGGTGTCTGTCCTGGGTCTGATTGGAGAAGACTCACCAGGAACGCCTGAGATTCCTCAGGACTCTGATCCTAGTGACCACAGTTGAGGACTTTTCATCTCTGTGAGTGTGAATCTGCATTTTGTGCATGTGAGAATAGTTAGTTCCTCACATTAAAATGATCTTTTTTAAATACATAGAGATGACACAGAATTCTAAACTTAGAGCGGTTCCCTGGGGAAACTGTCAGAAGAAGTTGAAGTCCCACATCCTGGAAGGAATCCAGCCCCTAATCTCCATGTGCACCTCCTTCTGGGGTTGATTCTGATCAGTGGGTCCTGAGTGCCCCCTGCAGCTGATTTCCCCCCACCCCAGGGTTCCTGCAGGGAGGTTTCTGGCTGGGCTCATACTGATTTCCCCTCACCATGTCTCTCACACAGCCGAGTCCTCATCTCTCAGACTGTTCATTTGCAAGTACAGCATGTTCTTGCCATTGTCTCTAGAGATGGTGAATCTACCCTTCAGTGTCTGCATAGTATAGGCTACCACCACTAGCACTAATGTATGAGACCCATTCCAGCCCCTTTCTTGAAGCCCGGTGGGCCCAGTTCATGTCATTGCTTCTCAAGATGAATCCGCAGGCTGCACATGAGAGTCTCAGGACACCCCCAACCCCACCACAGCTGTACCAAGTCTCCCCCAGACTCTACCAGCTGCACCTCATACTGCACACCTGCAAACACAGAGACATCCTGGTCAGAAACTGCCACACATATCCACTGTTTCTCTAATATCCACTCACGAACAATATCTGTAGTTCTTCATGTATCACCTCTTAAAATAGTAAAAAGGAAAGCCCAGCTCAGCCCAAACAACATGGTGATTCCTCTGTGTTAAGTTCTGATCACCAAGTGAAAACACTTGGGAATCCTGGCACTTGAGCTCGTCTCCCAGAGCTGCACGGTCACGGCTGGGCTGGTTTTCATCATCAGCAGAGGGAGGGAACTATTTGCATATCTCCTACTATATAAAAGTCTCTTGGGCTGGATGTCTGAGGACAGGGCAGGGCACAGAGCATATTAAGTTTTCTGGTGGGTGGTGGGGCTTGAAGACAATGATAGTATTTGGAAAAAAATGTAATTTCTTATTAAAAGATTGTGCTATAGTAAACACTTAACATACATCATCTTAACACATGAAAATACATTGTTAGAGGCAGATGCCCATTGGTCCTCCATTTACAGATGAGAATGTAAACGCAGAAGCATGAGGGAGCTATGAGATGTGTCCAGGAGCTCACATGTGACAAGAATGGGCTCCAGGATCGAGGCCTGTGCTCCTCTCCACCGGATCCCACTGCTCCCTTAACCAACTTTAGCCCAGAGTTACACACACCTGGTGTGGTTTGAAGAAACCCTTCTTGTAATAAAAACATTAAAAAAATCTGCTGCATTTTAGAATTACCAAAAAATAAAGATAGAGCTAAGGGTTATTCATTGTACATTCAGAAATATCTGACTTTTTATGTGATTTATCCATCTCCCTTAAACCGTCCCTAAGAAATTTATACAGGTATTTATTTGTAATAGCTTGAATAATATAAAATTATAATTAACACACAAAATGTACAATTTAGAAATTATTGATGTAACCATAACCATTATTAAGATAGAAAACAGATCAATTACCCTCAACATTTTCTCTTGTTCTCTTGCAACTCCTCCGTCCTCCCTCTTTTCGCTCACCTTTTCTCCATTCAACTCCCAACCTTCATATCACTTTAGTTTCTATTCTGTAGAATGTATAAAAGTGTCATCATACGGGATGTAGTTTTTTTTTTTTGGCTTATTTTACTTATATGTACTTGTGAATTTAGTTCGTTTATGCGTCTATCAAACGTTCATTAATTGTAATGAACAACAGTATTCCAATGATTGATTTTTTTTTGTTTTTTTGAGACGAAGTCTCGCTCTGTCGCCCAGGCTGAGTGCAGTGGCGCAATCTCGGCGATTCTCCTGCCTCAGCCTCCTGAGTAGCTGGGATTACAGGCGCGCACAACCACGCCCGGCTAATTTTTGTATTTTTAGTAGAGACGGAGTTTCACTATGTTGGTCAGGCTGTTCTCAAACTCCTGACCTCATCATCCACCCGCCTCGGCCTCTCAAAGTGCTGGGATTACAGGCGTGAGCCACCGTGCCCGGCTGAATTTGTTAAATTCGGTGTTTAATCTGACATCCTTCTGGATTTGCTCACACTGGAACGTAAAAGAAAATAATTTCCAACACTTACGTGTAGCCAAAACAAAACCAAAAATTTCCCGTCTCTAAGCTACACCTACCACTGGATTTTTAACTGACAAAAGATGAGCCTGAGAGAAATCACAAAAGCAGCCAATTCAAGGAAAAGCCATTTATCGTTCTCAGCTGAACTTAAGACCACAGTTACCACGAAGGCAGCTTCTCCACCTCCGGAGCTCAAGCGATCCGCCCGCCTCAGCCTCCCAAAGTGCTGGGATTCCAGGCCTGAGCCCCGCGCCAGGCCAGCGAAGGCAACGTCTAAAAAAACTTCTCACCTCCTGTCACCATTTCAGTGACAAATTCCCGAGTTTTCAGAGGACATGCCGAATCCAGCACAAAACACTGACTCTGAGGAGCTCCCGACGCCGCTGGCGCCTCAGCTGGCAGCAGCTGCTCCAAGTTCGAACCCCCGGGCGGTGGCGGAAGGGCCTTCCCGCGGGCGTCGGGCAGCAGCTGCAGCCCTGGGATCGGCCGCGGCGGCTCCGCGTCCTTCCCGGAGGCGCCGGCGCGAGGTCCTCACACCCAGGCGGCTCAGTGGAGGCGCAGCAGCCCAAGGAGCGCCGCCCCCAGCGCCCGCGCCCATCCTGGAGAACTGCATCTGCGCAGGCCCAGAGCGTCCTCCTGGAGCAGGCGAGCCAGGATGGCGCCTCCTCGCTCCCAGCAGGCGCCCCCACGCGGCCCGTGCGGAGCCCAGCAACCAGAGCCGCGCGAGCCTGTGGGGAGCCTGTGGGGAGCCTGTGGAGGCCTGGGCTCCACCGCCTTCCCCACAGCCAGCAGCAGCTTCTGCCGCCCGCCTTCCCCTGGCCAGGTCTTCCTGCAGCTGGCGCCGGAGGCTGCGGAGGGAGGGCCCAAGGGTTCTTTTCAGAAGACTGGCTTTTTATGAATTTTAACACAATATGTACAAGCTGCATTCGTTTAATAATGCTACTTCCGTCATACGCTGGCAACTTAACACCTGAAAAGATTAGATGTTATAAATAGGACTTGTTCATCCTTTATACACAGGATATCCATAGATAAATAAAACAAACACACAGACAGAAGAGATGATCATTAATCTCTCCTCCCGGTGCGCACAGAGGCCTGGAAGTCTGCACTTTCTCCTCCTCTCTCCTCCCCTGAACCAGAGCACAAACGCAATGTGTGTTGATCAAGCAGGGATTTGGCCATCCTCCCCACCCCCCACCAACATCAAAATAAAATAAAACACTGCATATGAATTTTAACAAAAAGACATTTACAAAATTTATTATTTTACCACCTGTAATTTTAACATACATCAGGCACTTCAGAACATCTAGAAAGACTAGATATTTCAAAAGAATACTTAGAATTTCCAATGATGTATACAATAGCGAGGAATAAAATGCACACAAGAAAACAATGACAACGATATGAAAATGTCTTTTATTTTTCTTTTTTTTTTTTAATTATACTTTAAGTTTTAGGGTACATGTGCACATTGTGCAGGTTAGTTACATATGTATACATGTGCCATGCTGGTGTGCTGCACCCACTAACGCATCGTCTAGCATTAGGTATATCTCCCAATGCTATCCCTCCCCCCTCCCCCCACCCCACCACAGTCCCCAGAGTGTGATATTCCCCTTCCTGTGTCCATGTCATCTCATTGTTCAATTCCCACCTATGAGTGAGAATATGCGGTGTTTGGTTTTTTGTTCTTGCGATAGTTTACTGAGAATGATGGTTTCCAATTTCATCCATGTCCCTACAATGAAAATGTCTTTTAAATATGAGCAGCCTGGCATGGAACCCTCTTCCCTTCCTGCCCAGGTCTCCCCTCCATGTCCTCTCACCCACTGAACGAACGTGGACGTGTGGTTACTGTGTCCCTTCCAGGGGTGGTCTAGTAACTCCATTTCAAAATGTCATTTCCAGAAGACACCCCTTTGCTATGATTTGTTTAAAAAGCACACGGTAACTTACGGCCAGGCACGGTGGCTCACACCTGTAATCCCAGCACTTTGAGAGGCCAAGGTGGGTGGCTCACCTGAGGTCAGGAGTTCAAGACCAGCCTGGCCAACGTGGCAAAACCCCATCTCTACTAAAAACTACAAAAATTAGCCAGGCGTGGTGGTGCACACTTGTAATCCAAGCTACTCGGGAGGCTGAGGCAGCACAATTGTTGAAACTCAGGAAGCAGAGGTTGCAGTGAGCCAAGATCCTGCCACTGCACTCCAGCCTGGGCGACAGAGTGAGACTCCGTCTCAAAAACAAAAAACAAAAAAACGAAAAAAAACGGAAAACAAAAGACAAGCACATGGTAACTTACAAGACATGTAATTGTCTGACTCTGTCATACATTTGGGAACCTCCTTACATCTAGGCGGATTAGATGCAGCAAATGTTTTCTTTTAAAAGGTCAGGGAAAGGTCGAGAGCAGCTTTTTCATGTGTTACGCACAGGCCTTCTAGAAAGGGCTGGTAAAGTGTGGTGGGCATGTCCAGTGGGACAAACTTGGAAGGTTCTTCTCTGTTTCTCCCCATCCATGTCAAGGTCTTGTAGAAGAACGATCACCATCCGGTGGCCGCTACCCGTTCCCCACATCGTCTTCCAGGACTCTACTAACATTTCTTGCCCTAAGGCCGTTGAACCTTGCCAGGACTGGCAGGGTCCCTTCCAACATGGACAGGAGTCATCCCAGGATTCGGAGCTTCGGGGCTGCATGGCCTGAAGAGAAGGCGGATCTAAGTCCTAGACCCCGCTTCCTGGCGACCCCACGCGTCCCCGGAACTCCCACGTCCCAGCTGCCCCCTCGCATCCCTGGACCTCCCACAACCCGCCAGCCCCCGCGCGTCCCGGACCACCTGCATCTCAGCTGCCCCCGCGCCTCTCCAGACCGCCCACGTCCCAGCTGCCCCCTGGCATCTCCGGATCGCCGACGTCCCGCCATCCCCCGCGCGTCCCCGGACCGCCCACGTCCCATCAGCCCCGCGCCTCCCGGACCGCCCACTTCCCGACAGTCCCCGCGCATCTCTGTGGCAGCTGCCCCGGTGCTTCCCGCCGCGCCGCGCCCGCCCACCCAACGGCGCTGTGTCCCGGTAGCTCAGCGCGGACTTCCTTTATGTGGTACAGGGTTGGGCCTGGAGACGCGGAGGCCGGCGAGGTCCTGGCTGGGAGAGGCCGCCGCTGCCTTCAGGTTTCCGAGGTGGGTAGAGAGGTTCCCGCTGCTTTGAGGTCAAGGCTCCTCGGTGGCGGCCACAGCAAAGGCTCCAGTGTCCGCCGCAGGGCAGAGGCCGGGCCTGTCTGGGGACCCCCGACTCATCTGAGGCTCAGGGCGGAGGGTCCAGTGAACTGACCTTGCCCCGCTTCTCACCACGCGCCCAGTGTCACTGTATTCAGCCACCACTGCACAAAGGCGTTACAGCTCTGTGCCCTGAGAAGCCCCTCATTCCCTCAGTGACTCCACAGGGAACACCGGGTGGGCCCCTGGATTCACAGCCCTGTAGCACGCTGCCCAAGGGGCCCCCTTGCTCTCCCACCACCCAGAACACCGAGCCCGTTGTCAAGGCTGAACCATCCGCGGGCAGCTGGGACCAGGGAACATGGTGAGGGGCTCACGGCACCTGGCGTGCAGATCCCAGTAGCTGGATGCGGTTCTGCTAATCACTAACAGGCTTGCAGGCTTCCCCAGGAATCCACCCATAAACTTCACAGAACACTGTGTCTGTGAACCACCCAGTATGTGCATTCAGTTTCTAACGTCACTCTGGTCCGGAATCTGCCACCTGCAGGATCCAATTAACAAGAGAGAGATCTGGTACAAAAATTATTGTATTAACCATAATGGTAAAGGGGAAGTGAACGCATTCCCATCCCAAGCAACCACTTCAATTTTGAAGGAAAGGCAGGGGTTTAAAAAAGGGAAAGTTGGTAAGAAAGGCATGCAAGATTTGGGCTGAGAACCAGGTCTGTGCGTCTTGTTCTGGCAGCTCTCTGGCATCCCAGTCCACCTGGATCTTGGGCTGGCATCATCTGGGCAATGCCTGGGTTGTTAACTAGCAACATTGAAGTCACCTCTGGAATTCTGCATCAGGGTCTCCCGACTTTGTCTATCTGTCTCAAATTAGCTTCCGGAACTTCCAAAAAGGCACATAGTTCGATGCAAACATAAAGTTAGATTAATGTGAAGGGAATATTTATGGTGAAAGGGAGAATTTCAAGGCATAAGAAAATTGATTCTGCTGTTTGCCTCAAGATTGTATCTTTACACCCAAGAGAGACTGAAAAGTTTAACCTCTCTCTTCTGCCACCATGTATGACTGCCTTGCTTCCCCTTTTTCTTCTGCCATGATTATAAGTTTCCTGAGGCGTCCCAAGCCATGCAGAACTGTTTGGTGTGGAGATTCCTGAAGAAGGGTTTTACTTACTACTTGACAGAATTCCCGTTGGTGACGAGGAAATGTCAGAGATCTTTAATTCATGATGATGTTGGATTATTGGCAGTTGGCTCACTAAGGATCCCATGTCCAAGAGCAGGATTCTCCTTCCAAAGTGTGTGTGTGGACTTGAGGAGCAGCCTTTGAAAGATGGGGCTCCTAGACTTTATAGAACCTCCTTTGATTCCTTGGAGGTTTGCAATCTCCAGGTTGTCCGTCATCCAGGACTTTGACTGTTTGTGAGAAAGAGTGCTTCCTTTTGGGTGAAGAACTCTGTATGAATATCGTAGGGCTGCCAAAATGAAATACTACAAACTGGGTGGCTTAAAAATGACAGGACTGTATTGTCTCACAGTTCTAGAGACTAGAAGTCCAAAATCAAGTGTGAGCTGGGCTGCACTCCCTCTGAGACTCAGGAGACTTCTTCCTTGCCCTTTCCTCACTTGTGGAGGTGACTGGTAATCCTGGACATGCATTGGTTTACTGCTGCACCACTCTGATCTTTGCCTCTGCTGTCATATGGCACACTGTATGTCTCTGTCTCTGTGTCCAAATTTCCTTGTACTTAGAAAGACACCCATCTTCCCACATTGAGGGCCTGCCCTGCTCAAGTAAGACCTCATCTTCACTAATAACATCTCCAGCTACCATATTTCCAAATAAGGACGTGTTCTGAAGTGCTGGTTGTCAGGACTTTGACATATCATTTGGGTACACAGTTTAATACATGACGAACCCCGTTACAGAGCTACCATGTCTAGTGTCTTACACATTTTGTTTGGAGGGGGAGGGTAAAAATAACAATGGACTCCTGTGTGTTCTCTGACGATAGCAATACGAATAGCTACCACGTAATGCCTACTAGTTGTTAGGTACTAAATATTAACTAATTTCATTCTTACAACAACCCTACTTTACATATGACAAAACTGGGGTACAGGAAGTAACTGGCCCATTGTCCTTCAGTTAGCAGTGGCAGAGACAGTATACAAAGCCAGACTTCCCAGCTCCAGAGGCCGCATACTTAATACCACCCTGCCTTCTGGACAGTCAGGACAAGCAATTATGCCTATGGTAAACATACTGTGCTGACAAGTAAGGTTACACTTGAAATGTGGCTTACAATACAAGGTATAGAGATTACAGGCAATTCATGTGTTCTGGTTATTTGTTATTAAGTCTCAATTAGAATGTAAGTGTGAAATTTCAGGTTTCAAGGAGTATGAAAATAATATTAAAACCTCAAAAAATAAGTTTAAAATGCATTTTGAAATTAAGCTGCCTGTATATCATTCCCCACTGTCAAATTCCATTTTGTTTCTATGGAAAACGTGTGTCATAGTCAATCTGGCTACTTCTTAGAAAGGGCATAGCTTGTATATATTGGAAGGGAATCCATTAAACTGGAGTTGGAAATATTCTGGAGTCTCCGGAATTACAGTAGGTGTTTGTTGGAGCATTATGGTGCAAGGACCTAGGAGTTTTTGAGAAGGTCAGTATTACATTCTCACTTAAAGTGCAAGGTACCAATAAAATCCACAGCAACTGAAGATAGCAATGAAGAGTATACCAGCTCTACTATATATGAAAGTCTTCCATGTGTTAGGAAGTCAACTAAACCATGCTGTCGCAGGGTCCTGAGAGAGGGCATCCATCTCTAGCAGAAATATGGGTATCTAATGCTTGCATAGCTTGAGTTATATTGTGGGACTAATCTTGTATATATATGCAACATTCAGGGTTCATTAATACACAAGTGTTACCTTTGGCTGTAGTTGCAATACCTAGGGTCATATAGCTTCATAGTGTCACTTGTCAAATCTGTGAGGTTTCTTCAGTAAGAATGATGATGGTATGGTAGGTGTTGTTAAAGGGACTGGTGGTATGCTTAGCCAGGGCCTCTACTTGCAATTCTAAATCTATGACTGCCACCTGGGGGGAAGAGCTGGCTAGTGGGTGGAATAACTAGGATATCCGTTTATGAGAATAGTGTCTGTCTTTCACACTTTTCCAGTTGACATAAAGAGAAGGCACTTTGGACAGTTACATCCTGGGATAGAAGTTCATATCCAGTTGCTTCGCTTCGTCCAGTTGTAAGGAAAGTAGGGTCAGCCATGAGTGCCACCGGCCTTTGGCTAATCCCAGAAGGAAGAACAGGTTCCACTCTGCAGGCTGGCATTGCTTTGTCATCCCAGCCACATATTAAGGGCTCAGTTACATTGCTGAGGAGGCAACAATTCCATATCATGAGTGACAGTGTAGAGTATGCTGTGGTGTTTCTTCACACATAGCAGTGCTTGACCAATTACTTGGATTCTCACCACTGTCAGCCATCCTACCTCACTGGATATGACATAGCCTATTTTGGGAGTGATATTAATGAAGTGTCTTCTGTTTTTATAATAGATGGAAAAGATGGCTTCTCCCATGGATGGAAAATCATAAGTTCTTAAGTTGGGAGCTTGTATTATGCCAGGGCAGGCCTATAGTGGAAGAAATGGGTGAACTCTTTACAGAACCAACTATGTTTTCTTTTGGAGGGAAGCCACCATCTTCCACCCATTCAGCAAAAAAGATTAGTTTTAATAAGGAGAAATAATGTACTTATAACTATAGAACTCATTAAGAATTTCATATTAGATCGCATTTGTCAATTTGGGCTTTTGTTGCCCTTGATTTTCGTGTTTTAGACATGAAGTCCTTGCCCATGCCTATGTCCTGAATGGTATTGCCTAGGTTTTCTTCTAGGGTTTTTATGGTTTTAGGTCTAACACGTAAGTCTTTAATCCATCTTGAATTAATTTTTGTATAAGGTGTAAGGAAGGGATCCAGTTTCAGCTTTCTACATATGGCTAGCCAGTTTTCCCAGCACCATTTATTAAATAGGGAATCCTTTCCCCATTTATTGTTTTTGTCAGGTTTGTCAAAGATCATATGGTTGTAGATAGGCGGCATTATTTCTGAGGGCTCTGTTCTGTTTCATTGGTCTATATCTCTGTTTTGGTACCGGTACCATGCTGTTTTGGTTACTGTAGCGTTGTGGTATAGTTTGAAATCAGGTAGCGTGATGCCTCCAGCTTTGTTCTTTTGGCTTAGGATTGACTTGGCAATACGGGCTCTTTTTGATTCCATATGAACTTTAAAGTAGGTTTTTCCAATTCTGTGAAGAAAGTCATTGGTAGCTTGATGGGGATGGCATTGAATCTATAAATTACCTTGGGCAGTATGGCCATTTTCACGATATTGATTCTTCCTACCCATGAGCATGGAATATTCTTCCATTTGTTTTTATCCTCTTTTATTTCATTGAGCAGTGGTTTGTAGTTCTCCTTGAAGAGGTCCTTCACATCCCTTGTAAGTTGGATTCCTAGGTATTTTATTCTCTTTGAAGCACTTGTGAATGGGAGTTCACTCATGATTTGGCTGTTTGTCTGTGATTGGTGTGTAAGAATGCTTGTGATTTTTGCACATTGATTTTGTATCCTGAGACTATGCTGAAGTTGCCTATCAGCTTAAGGAGATTTTGGGCTGAGACAATGGGGTTTTCTAGATATAAAATCATGTCATCTGCAAACAGGGACAATATGACTTCTTCTTTTCCTAATTGAATACCCTTTATTTCCTTCTACTGTCTCATTGCCCTGGCCAGAACTTCCAACACTATGTTGAATAGGAGTGGTGAGAGAGGGCAACCCTTTCTTGTGCCAGTTTTCAAAGGGAATGCTTCCAGTTTTTGTCCATTCAGTATGATATTGGCTGTGGGTTTGTCATAGATAGCTCTTATTATTTTAAGATACGTCCCATCAATACCTAATTTTTTGAGAGTTTTTAGCATGAAGGTTGTTGAATTTTGTCAAAGGCCTTTTCTGCATCTATTGAGATAATCATATGATTTTTGTCATTGGTTCTGTTTATATGCTGGATTTTGTTTATTGATTTGAGTATGTTGAACCAAAGAGCTTCTGCACAGCAAAAGAAACTACCATCAGAGTGAACAGGCAACCTACAGAATAGGACAAAATTTTTGCAATCTACTCATCTGACAAAGGGCTAATGTCCAGAATCTACAATGAACTCAAACAAATTTACAAGAAAAAAGCAAACAACCCCATCAAAAAGTGGGCGAAGGATATGAACAGGCACTTCTCAAAAGAAGACATTTATGCAGCCAAAAGACACGTGAAAAAATGCTCATCATCACTGGTCATCAGAGAAATGCAAATCAAAACAACAATGAGATACCATCTCACACCAGTTAGAATGGCAATCATTAAAAAGTCAGGAAACAACAGGTGCTGGAGAGGATGTGGAGAAATAGGAACAGTTTTACACTGTTGGTGGGACTGTAAACTAGTTCAACTATTGTGGAAGGCAGTGTGGCGATTCCTCAGGGATCTAGAACTAGAAATACCATTTGACCCAGCCATCCCATTACTGGGTATATACCCAAAGGATTATAAATCATGCTGCTGTAAAGACACATGCACACGTATGTTTATTGCGGCACTATTCACAATAGCAAAGACTTGGAACCAACCCAAATGTCCAACAATGATAGACTGGATTAGGAAAATGTGGCACATATACACCATGGAATACTATGCAGCCATAAAAAATGATGAGATCATGCCCTTTGTAGGGACATGGATGAAGCTGGAAATCATCATTCTCAGAAGTCTATCACAAGGACAAAAAACCAAACACCGCATGTTCTCACTCATAGGTGGGAATTGAACAATGAGAACACATGGACACAGTAAGTGGAACATCACACACCGGGGCCTGTTGTGGGTTGGGGGGAGGGGAGAGGGATAGCATTAGGAGATATACCTAGTGTTAAATGACAAGTTACTGGGTGCAGCACACCAACATGGCACATGTATACATATGTAACAAACCTGCATGTTGTGCACATGTACTCTAAAATTTAAAGTATATAAAAAAGGATGATTTTCTATATTTCAAATTAAAGTCACAGATAATAAAAGCAGAATTGAACAAGCAGAACTACATCACAACAAAAAGATGCCGCAAAGTGTGGAAAAAATTGCAACCTACAGAATGAGAGAATATAATTATAAGGTGTGCATCTGAAAAAGTGTTAATATCCAAAATATACATGCAGTTTCTACAACTCATTAGCAAAATCATAATTGGGTGATTGTACTGTGGTCAGTTTTACACCTTAAAACATTTAAGAATATAGATCTCATGTTAAAGATTCTTTCCTCTGGGTAATGGTAAGTTTGATGGTACACTTGGTTAGGGTAGACTTTGTAGTTATTCAATCCAACATTAATATAGGTGGTGTTGGCCGGGCACAGTAGCTCACATCTTTAATCCCAGCACTTTGGGAGGCTGAGATCAGGAGTTTGAGACCAGCCTGACCAATATCGTGAAACCTGGTCTCTACTAAAAATACAAAAATTAGCTGGACTTGGTGGCCTGCCCCTGTAATCCCAGCACTTTGGGAGGCTAAGGCAGGTGGGTCACCTGAGGTCAGTAGTTTGAGACCAGCCTGACCAATGTGGTGAAACACCATCTCTACTAAAAATACAAAAATTGGCCGGACATGGTGGTGTGTGCCTGTATTCCCAGATACTGGGAGGAGGCTGAGACAGGAGAACTGCTCGAACTCCGGAGACAGAGGTTGCAGTGAGCCAAGATCACGACATTGCACTCCACCCTGGGTGACAGAGCGAGACTCCGTCTCTCTCTCTCTCCCTCTCTCACTATATATATAGTTATGACTTTACTTAATAGATGATATTAATACTGTCATCAGCTGACTCTAGGTTAGGTAGATTGTCATTGATAAAATGGGTGGGCCTGATTCCATCAGAGCAGAACTGGAGAAAATGAAATTCCACGATGATTCAGCAGCTTCGCCTCTCTCTGGGACCTCCAGTCTGCACTTATTGATGGCTGATCTTATGGACATTGGATATTCCTAGACATCTCCAAAAACTGTCATCCTCTATGTCTCACAGAAAAGTGGCATGTCCGTCTGTAGCTTGTCATGTCAACCTGAATAACAGACAGAGACTCTAAAGTATAATAATATTTTTTCTAGGATGTGCGTTTCAATTAAAATATGTATGGGTACATTCAGGTAGGAAAAGGAAGATAAAGAATTAAGGAGAACATGTGGACACAGGGTGGGAAACATCACACACCGGGGCCTGTAGTGGGGTTGGGGGAAGGGGGATGGACAGCATTAGGAGAAATACCTAATGTAAATGATGAGTTAATGGGGGCAGCAAACCAACATGGCACATGTATACATATGTAACAAACCTGCACTTTGTGCACATGTACCCTAGAACTTAAAGTATAATTTAAAAAATAATAAAAAAGAGAATTAAGGAAAAATGAGGAGGGTGACAGCAGCTATTTTGAGATAGCGGTGTAAGGTTGAATAGGCAGTTGCGGGGCAGATTTACTTGGAGAAATAAAGCTTTTAAGGCTGTGGTGGCCTCTGTGTAAAAGGTTGTGGCTGTGCAGGGTCTATTTATGATAGTTCTTCTTATCAGGAATATGTGTGTTAGAACCCTCCTTCATGGCCTTCCCCAGCTTCATTCATTAGGGTTTTAACACAAGTGGATCCATTTTGATTCTGATAAAGTTCACAAGCTCTTTCTAACACTACTTCTGAAGAAGATGACTCTGACAGTGTGCATAGAACAGGGTTAATTCCACATCCACATCCCATTTTGATCAAATGAGTTTATCCCCTTCACTATTAACGGCCAATTGCATTCCCAGATGAGTCTACACACAACACAGAGGAGGGCCCTGAGAATATGGGGAGAGAAGGAAATCCCATCAGCCTCTCCCACGTGGGCTGGAGTAGCCAAGCCTGAGCCTTGCCTGAGTTCTAAGAAAATGCCTTGAGCCCTGGAGTGTAGAGCATAGAGACCATGTGTTTCTTTTTCAGGAAGAAAGAAAAGCAAATAAAAAAGGGAGAACAAACACTCCAAAGAAAGAACATGTATTGGGAGCAAAAGGAGCACCAGATCAGTGCTGATGCGGATTGGCTTTAGGGTCAGGAGAAGGGTCAGATGTGAACCCTGTGAGCTTCTACAGGACACTGACCCTGGCCCAGGCTCTCTATTGGCTGTGATCAGAATCCCTGCCGTTCTAGTCCAGGAGTCTCCCTGAGGTTTCTGTCCTGGGCCTGAATGGAGGAGACTCATCAGACACCCGTGAGCTTCCTCAGGACTGCGATCCTGGTGACAATGGTTGAGAACTTTTCATCTTTGTAAGCATCAATGTGCATTTGGTACATGAGAGGTTATGTCCTCATATTAAAATGATCTTTTGAAAATATGTAGAGATGACATTAGGAACCACAGAATTCTAAAATTAGGGAGGTTCATTAGAGAAACTGTTGGAAGAAGATGAAGTCCCACATCCTGACAGGAAATCAGCCTCCATCTGCACCTGCCTCCGGGACTGACTCTGATCAGTGGCTCCTGAGCGCCCCCTGCCGCTGATTTCCCCCCAGCGTTCCTGCAGGGAGGTTTGTGTCTGGGCGCACAATGACTTCCCCTCTGTGTATATCTGGCACAGTAATACACGGCCGTGCCCTCAGCTCTCAGGTTGTTCATTTGAAGATACAGCGTGTTCTTGGAATTGTCTCTGGAGATGGTGAATCTGCCCTTCCTGGAGTCTGCGTAGTATGTGCTACCACCACTAATGGATGAGACCCACTCCAGCCCCTTCCCTGGAGCCTGGCGGATCCAGCTCATCTCATTGCTACTGACGGTGAATCCAGAGGCTGCACAGGAGAGTCTCAGGGACCCCCTAGGCTGTACCAAGCCTCCCCCAGACTCCACCAGCTGCACCTCACACTGGACACCTGCAAACACAGAGACACCAAGGTCAGAAACTGCCACACAAACCCACTGTTTTGCTCACTCATGTCCACTCACACTCAACATCTGTAGTTCTCCATGAATCACCTTTTAAAATACCAACAAGGAAAACCCAGCTCAGCACAAACTGCATGATGAGTTGTGTGTGTTCAGTCCTGATCACTGAAGGGAAACACCTGGGAATCCCAAGGCTGGGGCTCCACTCCCAGAGTGCTAAAAAGGGGAAGAGGATTTTCCATGCTAGGTCCCAGGTACCTCCTTGCAAGTGCAGGCATCCTAAACTTGTGCAAGTTTCCAGCTTTCTGATGTTATAGTGCCCCCAGAAAAGGAAAGGAATGTGCTCATTAAGGCCCACTGTTTTTACTAGGGCCCAGTGTATGTATGTGAAGTTTGGTGATTACACCCAGAAACACCCTCTCTGTGGCAGAGTTGCTTATATGTTTTACAGCCTGATCTTTCAGGCTGCTTTTTGTTAGAAGTGATTTCTTTGAACTCTGTGTGAATAGAAAATAAGTAATTGCCAAGCTGATTTTTGTTAGAAGAAATGTTTTTGCCAGAAATTCTGTCATCCTAACTATCTACCAAAATAATTTCTTTCTATCTCCTGTAACACCAGTTTGACTCTTCCATTTAGCTTGGTGATTTTGCGGTCTCAAGACTTATTTTCCTTTCACAGTAGGCAGGTATAAAAGAGTTTTTGTATATAATTAAGTTGCTTACATTTGTCCGTTTTCATGCTGCTATAAGGACATACCTGAGGCTGGGTAAATTATAAAGAAAAAAGGTTTAATTGTCTTACAGTTCTGCGTGGCTGAGAAAGCCACAAGAAATTTACAATCATGATGGAAGGGGTAGCAAACACGTGCTTCTTCACATGGCTGCAAGAGAGAAGTGCCAAGGGAAGAGGGAGGCCCCTTATACAACCATCAGATCTTGTGAGAATAACAGGAGAACAGCATGGAGAAAACAGCCTCCATGATTCAATTATTCCCACCTTTTTCCACTTGACATGTGGGAATTATTACAATCCAAGATGAGATTGGGGTGGGGACACAGAGCCAAATCATGTCATTGATTTTATTTTCTTTAGAGTATAAGATGTCTAGCTATAAGAAAGCACAGTTTAACTTCTGGTAATTTTAAATCAGGAAAAATATTTTGGAGGCTTCTGCAAATATAAATTTTTATAGAAACTAATATAAATTGTAGAAACTAATATAAATTGTAGAAAATAATATAAATTGAAAAACAAGTGGACAAGGTTAGAATCTAATAACAGATGCACTGTTGTTTATTTTGAAACAGTATTTCTCTCTATAATTCCCCAAAGTTATTAGAGACACAATCATAGTAGGGCAAATTTATTTGTAATATAAGTTTTAGGCTTAATTTTTTTGTATAAGATGAGGCAAAAATAGTAATTTAACATATTAGCTCTCTTTTTTTCTATTTTTTGTACATAGGCTATTTAATTCATAAATTGACCTTGCTGGAAATTTTTTATAAGAAATCTAAGGGTAGAATCTTTAAAAGCATCAAGCCCAGACATTGTTTCATCTGTGCCTTCAGACAGCTATATGAATTGGGTTACTTCTTCTTTTTTCAATTTTCCAAGACAACTTGGGATTCCTGGGTCTGTCAGAAAGTAAAATTATTGACTTACTACAGCTCAGGGCCCTGAACAAAACAGGTTACATGCCAGTTTTCCCAAGGGGCTTTTATCAGCTATCCAGCTTAAATTCATTTTATAAAGTAAATATGAAAATATGTCATTCAAGTTAAAGTCTTGGTAAAATGATCATTGTCTCCAATTGTGCCCTGTTACGGAAGAAAGCAGATTTATATTGAACCTATGTGAATTAATATTTTGATATAACAATACTCACAGTTTCCAAATTTTGGAGAAATTATGTAGAGAAGAAGAAATTGTGTTTTTGAATTTTCTCACTAGAATATACTATACTCAATTGTTAAAAACAATGAATAGCTTAAGAGAATTTTTTTTTTGATTCTGAAAAACAAAATGTAAGTAATTAGCAAATGCTTTAAAGAATAAGCCATAAAATTTATTTCAGGCTCCTGTTAGTTCAGTTCATGCAATTAAGTCCTGTCCTGTTTGACATTATATTAACAACCATCATAAATGCATCAGGTCTCCATGAGAGTCTTGGAAGTTTTTCTCTGTATATAAATGGCACAATTTATAAAATTGTCACAATTGTGTATTTAAGAGTACCCCTCAAAATTCTATAGATTATTATAAGCCACCTGATAAAGAATCAAAGGAAAACAATTGTGGATGGCTGAAGTTTTAGAATAGCCACGGTTAAAGACAGAATTGAGGAGAAAGTTTGGTTATTTCTGTGATGAACAAAAATTTTATATAATAATCATAAGTACTACTGACAAAATATACTGACATATCAAAGT
The DNA here is from genome assembly GCF_000001405.40 of Homo sapiens. NCBI lineage: Eukaryota > Metazoa > Chordata > Mammalia > Primates > Hominidae > Homo > Homo sapiens. The sequence goes on from NC_000014.9 coordinate 106,413,241, forward strand.
CAATTGAACCTCATACCATTTTAGAACATGTACTCTTTAATTTATATGAATATACTCCAATTATATAGTCCACATTTATATAAATATAGTCCAAAGTTAAACACCATTTCAAATTTGACATTGCTTCCAGTATAATTTAATTGTACCAAAGAAGCTAAATATGTTTCTTTTTGGCTTCAGGAGATCAAATATCAAAAAAGAATAATGAGGTCAAATGACTGAATTTAGACTTTTATTTTGTGAAGGAGGTCAAATATCAAAGGTTTATTTAGAACACTTGATATTACAAAATGGAATTACAGATTATTGTAAAGTAAGTTATTTATTTAGCCAAGTGAAAACTCAGTGATTTCTTAAAAAAGCAAAAACTTTTATTTTTGAAAGAATTAATTTTCTAAACAATAACCCCTTATAAGAACATCATGAGAAAAATTAAAACTATCTCTCAATTCTGAGAAATAAGTCTATTAAATTATAACTACTTTTACCATAAAATATAATTTTCATAGGTCTTTTATAAATTTTAATAATTTTTTAAGCTAAAGAGTGGATTACTTCTTCAAGAAACCCTTGTCAATCTGTCACAGGGGCCCAGATGCTAGACTTCCATTAGTGTGCATTTAATATTAATGCTTAACTTATAAAGAAACTCTCAAGTAATATTATATCTCAAAATTAGCTTTTACAATCTTACAAATCCACTTCTGTAATAGTCCCTGGGCCTGGAGTTGTTGAGTAGTTTCAATTTCTGGCCTTATGTCTTAAGAGTATGATGAATTTTTATTGTCATTTTCTTCCAGGTCTGTAGATGGGGCTTTAATTACTGTCAGTGTTTAAGATTTAGCAGGACTTAGTGTCCTTTTTCTCTTATTTATATATTTTTTCTGAGATGGAATATTGCTCTATCACCCAGGCTGGAGTTCAGTGGCACAATCTTGGCTCACTGCAATCTCTGTCTCCCAGGTTCAAGCAATTCTCCCTGCCTCAGGCTTCCAAGTAGCTGGGATTACAGGCATCCACCACCATGCCTGGGTAATTTTTGTATTTCTTATAAAGACAGGGTTTCGCCATGTTGGCCAGGCTGGTCTCAAACTCCTGACCTCAGGTGATCTGCCTGCCTTAGTCTCCCAAAATGCTGTGTGTCCTTTTTAGACCTAGGAGTCAAAGGTCAGTAATGTGGCAGCACAAGGCCTTTAAAAGTAATGTAGATAGCTACATGAATGTAATAACATTAATTTATATTTTCTTAAAATCTCAGTAAGTTGGAAACCTTAATAACAGTAACATAGGAATTATTTCAATAAAATATAAAATTTGTTTTATGCCAGTTACCAAATAGCAAAGCAAAACCTTTTACAGTGTGATTGCTTTTCCCTATTGGAAAATGCATGTAGATAACCTGCAGGTCAACTCTAATGAAAAAAGCATTTGAATTAATTAGACATACCAAGAATGTGACTCAGATTACACGTGAAGACTTTGGTTTCATAGAAAAATGTAGACATTTAAAGATAAGCCAAGAGTGTAGAATGTTATATTGAAAGAAAACATTTTATTTAGAACTTAAAGATAAAATGTTTTTAGCATCAGACAATAATAGCAGTTAAAAGCTAACAACAGTTAGAAGTTAAGTCAGTAAGAAGCTAATCGCTGTAAGAAAAAAAATGTTAAAGGACGTGATGAAAAAATGGAGAGCCTCTCAAGTCTTCTCAAAGGGAAAAAATCAAAATGGCAAGATGCAATAAAAGTTAAATTTGGGGGTTAAAAAATTAAAATATCTTATAATTTTATTTAGTAAATCAACACTTTAAGACAATTTTGTCATTCTAACCAGTCTTCAGTGTATTACTATATTTTATATAAAAGCCAGATCTCTATAAAGACTATTATAAATACTTCCCTTTCAATTATAGTCAACTTGATAATATGAAGGTTTTTTAATAAATTAACTTTTTATAAATCTTATTTTCACTTACACAAACCATTTATGGCATAGTTGAACATCTTGTTTTATTCTAAACGTCATTCTTTCTTAGTCATTTTATTTTAGGATAAAAAATTACCATGCAAGATTATTTCTCATATAAAATTTTTTTATTTTAACCTTTCTTACCAAAAGTACTTCTCTATGTCAATAAATTTCTTTAAAACTCTCTTACTTTTTATGATGTTATATAAATAACTTTGAATTACATTATTTTTCTAAGAATAATTTTTTAAGAAAAATATTTTCTTATATATTTTTTAAAACAATTAGTAATGACCTAAACATTTAGTCAATATCTATTATTTAATTAAACTTTAGATTTTTAAATTGTAGAACAAGTTTATTTAAAAGGTTTATTTGATTACATTTCCCTATTTTATTTAAGTAGCTTATCTAGATTACTTATGAAAATTGTAATTCATCCTTTAAAGTTTTTTCTCTGTTAACCATGTTATAACCCATGAATTTCAGGTGCTTGCCTGAGTAAAAACCTTATAATTAAGCAAATAATTGTTTTTCTAATAACTATTTACCTGTTTTTTATTAAAACAACAATATTAAACATCATATTTGTCAAAAAATTACAAAGATCATTCTGGTTTTAATGAGGTTTATAATTTTTTTTTTTGAGACGGAGTCTCGCTCTGTCATCCAGGCTGCAGTACAGTGGTGCGATCTCAGCTCACTGCAAGCTCCACCTCTGGGGTTCAAGCATTCTCCTGCCTCAGCCTCCAGAGTAGCTGGGATTACAGGCGCCTGCCAGCATGCCCAGCTAATTTTTTTTTTCTTTTTGTATTTTTAGTAGAGATGGGGTTTCACCATGTTAGCCAGGATGGTCTCAATCTCCTCACCTCGTGATCCACCCACCTCAGCCTTCCAAAGAGCTGGGATTACAGGTGTGAGCCACCGCATATGGCCAACGAGGTTAATAATTTTATAATCATCATAAAAAATTTTGACACCATATAATATCTAGCTGTGATTTTAAATATAAAATCACTTGATGAATTAATATAAACTATAAGGTATGCTGATAATTGTTAAAATATCTCTAATTTGTTTTTACCAATAATTTTAAAGCCAACTTATTTATTAAATATTTATTTAAGTCACATGTACTTCAAATGCATTGGGCTCATTTACTTAATTTGAAAATATTTATTTCAAAGCCAATTTTGTACCTAGTAGCCACAACACACACACACACACACACACACACACACACACATATATATACATGCACATATTAACACATCTACGCATACACACACTAATACAAAGATACTAGAGCTTTTACTTTGAAACTCTAGCTATGGAATATGTATAGAAACTCAGCAGTCATTTACAAAAAAAAGTTTAGATGTAAACAGTGGTTATCTTAAAACCAGTTGAAAAGCCCTGTAAACTGGAAAACAGAATATTTTTAAGCAAAAAAAAAAAAAAATCCTCATCTTTCTTTATAAACCTCACCAAAAGCTAATTATACTCTTTTACTATTCTAATTCTTAGTAACCCTAATTCAAGTGAGAAACCTAGGATTACTTAATTTAACATGACATGACTAAGATTTTAAATTACTGAAGATAGTTATGAGACTAAATTTGACAAATCAATATTTGTAAAGTAATGTAAAATTTAAAGCTGACTCTAAAAAACAGATGTACATTTTCTTTACAAAGTGTTGCATTAAACAGAATTAACTTGATTGGTGGTCTTTGAAACACAGCTTAATTAGATTACTGGACTTAGAGTGGAGCCATTTAAGAAAAAGGGCCAAGAAAACATGCAGTTTTTAGGGCATAAACTACAATTGTTTATGCAAATGTGCAAAGAAATGAGTAGCCTTCTATAGTGATGATCATTTTCTGCTAACTGCCCTCAGCCACCCCTAACGTAGCTTTCAAAGCCACCCCTAACATTGGAGCTTTCATTCACTATTGCACACACCACGAATGAATCCTCTCACAGTACAACGTAATTCTGGTAGCATCCAAAGCCAAAAACATTACATAATCCAAGAAAGCAGAGCTTTGTACATGAGAAGAATCTGCAAATGATTCTTGAAACCACAAAGGAAGCAGGAAAACTCCCAAAAGGTTAGTGGCAAGATCCAAAAGGAACCGCCCTCCCTGCCCGGATCCAGGGACCTGATGTGGAGCTGCCTCCTAAGGGAGCGGTGGTGTCCTCAGTGCTCCCTGGTGGTTCTGAGCGAACACTGGTTTACTGAGCTCACCCTGGTGTCCTGAGAGCTCCCTGTTGTCCTGAGTGCCCCCTGGAGGATCTGAGTGCCCCCTGGTGTTCTGATCGCTCTCTGGTGTCCTGAGTGCTTCCTGGTGTTCTGAACATCCCCTGGTGGTCCTGAGGGCCGGTCATGTCCTGAGCACCCCCTGGTGGTTCTCAGCGCCCCCTGGTGGTTCTGAAGTCCCTCTGGTGTCCTGATTGCCCCCTGATGGTTCTGAGCGCCCCCTAGTGTCCTGAGTGCGCCCTCCTGTCTTGAGAGACCTGGTGGTCCTGGGCGCCCCCTAGTGGTTCTGAGCCCCCTAGTGTCCTGAGCGCCCCCTGGTGGTTATGAGCTCCCGCTGGGATCTTGAGCGCCCCTTGGTGGTTCTGAGCACCTGCCAGTTTCCTGAGTGCCCCCTGGTGATTCTGAGCTCTCCTTGGTGGTTCTGAGTGCCTACTGGTGTCCTGAATGCCCCCTGGTGGTTCTGAGCAGCAACTAACATGCAGTCCCCTCCTGTCTCCCTGCAGGGACTTTTGTGTCTGTGCTCACATAGATGTCCCCACACTGTGTCCCTCACAGTAATACACAGACTTGTCTTGGGCTCTCAGTTTTATTATCTTAAAAGAGAATCTTCTGAACAGTGTCTCTGAGGACTGTTAATCTTCTTTGTACTGAAGGCGAGTCCCATTGAGAACTTCCACTTGAATTACTGTTATCTCCCTCACCAACACTTGCCATGAATCCTGCTGGACCAAACTTGTTCTTTTTTCAGTGAATCCAGGGGCTTTGCAGAACAGTCTGAGAATTCTTGGTCTGTAGTATTTTCCTGTCTGACTCCACTAGTTAACTTCACAGAGGACTTCTGCACACACAGAGGCAACAGACTGAGAACAGCCCCACGTGGAGCAGCCACAGCTGAGCCTGATCCACGGGGAAGTTGAATATTGAGAGTGATGACAAGAGAAGCTCAGATCAGCACAGACCCCATGGTCATGAGTACATAGTTTCTACCTCCCTTACCTGTGAGTCCTGGCACAATCTATCATCCTCTAAAACCTAGGGGCCACTAAGAACAGACAGAAGTTTGAATCCTATCAAGTTTTGAGAGACCCACAATTACTGTCTGGGCTGATTGGTGAGGGTGATCTCTATGAGCCTAGTCTTTGAAGAAGTATATGATGGCTTTTGTTATAAAGAACAGATAACAACAAAGACAGTCAAGGAAAATGAAGAAGCAGGGGAACATGGTCCAAACAGAAGAACAACCAAAAGGTCCATAAACTGACATCAATGAAAAGGAAGAACATGGATTACCTGACAGAAACTTTAAAGTAAATGTTAGAAACATGTTCAATGAGCTAGTGGCAGCATGCAAGAACAATGTGAGAATTTTAATAAAGATAAAACATTTAAAAGATGACTAAACAAAAATATTGATCCTGAAGAATACAGCCAAAAATTTTAACAAGATTTTAGACCAAACTAGATCAAGTAATAGAAGAAACAGTAAACTCAAAGAAAGATCATTTGAAATAGTAGAGACAGAGAAGAAAAATTTAAGTGAAAGAAATAAAAAAGAGTTCAAGACTTATGGGCCAGGAAAGACACTAAACACTCAACTACGCATTTGAGGAGTTATACAAAGACAAGACAAAAGGGGTAGTGAAGGGAGAGAGGGGGAGAGAGAGAGAGAGAGAGAGAGAGAGAGAGAGAGAGAGAGAGGGAGAGAGAGAGAGAGAGAGAGAGAGAGAGAGAGAGAGAGAGAGAAGAGATAAATTATTCAAAATAATAGCAAAAAATATTTCCAAATTTGGAGAAGGGAAGCAAATATTCATCCACAATGAAGAAGCTCTATAAATTTTACGTAAGATAAACCCAATGACAAAAAATGTGACACAGTTTAAAACCACATTGCTGGAAATAAAAGAGGCTTTAGAAAACAGAAAGAAAAGGAACAGATTTCTCAGCAGAAGGTTTTCAGTTCAGAAGGCACAGGGATTGTATTCAATGGTGTGTGGTTTATTGACAGAGGTTCTTTTTGAGAAATGTGTCCCTGGGCAATTTCATCATTGTGCAAGCATCAAGGGTGAATTTTCACAAACCTACAAGGAATACCCTACTACACACAGGGTATGTGGATTAGCGCAGGGTTCCCAGACAACTAACCTGTACAGCGTGTTACTGCACTGAACACTGCAGGAAATGGAAACACCATGGTAAGTATCTCTCTATCTAAACACATCAAAACATGGAAAAAGTTTAGTGAAAATATGGTATTACAACATTATGTGGCCACAAACATATATGTGGTCTACTGTTGACTGCAGCATTGTTACGTAACACATGACTTTACTCAAATTGACGTGGGTTGGGGGGGACTAAAAATAAATAAAACCCTGCCAAGACGAATCTTTACCATGTAAATCCTTTTCAGAAATGAAGATTAGATTAGAACTTTCCCAGACAAAAACTAAAGGAGTTCTTCACTGCTGGACCTGCCTTAAACACCAAAGGGTCTCAACTAGGTCTGCAGAATAATGATGTAGCTGCATCAGCTCCATTCTGGCCTCTGCCATGTGACAGTTTTTTGTGGATTTGCTTTCTACACCCTCATGGCTTTTTTCTGTCTAAACTTCTAAATTCATTCTCCTTTTAATTTGCAGTTTATTGAAAATATTCATATTTAGCTTAGAACATTAAAAAACTTTGGAAAAAATTTCATCTTAAACCCACCAAGTCTAATTAACTCTCTTCAGGGATGCCCCTTTTTTTCTTGTTTTCCTATAGGATATGGCCCTTGTTTCTATCTCAGTTCAGTCCTTGTTTTCGTATGCATGAGGTATCCAACCATCACATGCCCAGGAACACCTTGGAGGAACGTACCCTATCATCCACCCCTTCAGCCTTCATGTGCACAGGGGCCATTCTTTCAGCTGTTGTATGCTTTAGGATTTTCCATTCAAAAGTGTTTTTCAATAGCCCCCCAAAGAAAGTCCTTGGACCTTAAAACATGATGTGGTGTTGGGGGCATTGACAGCTAAATTTCACTGAAAGTATCTTCTATGCTTGGTAATTGGGGAAGACTGGGAAGAAGGTAACAAAACTCAGACCCCATGTAGCTCCTCATTTAGCAATAGATTCAGTACAAATTTAGAAAGTTGAAGACATAGAGTAATGTTGCTGTGGTTTTCTGTGATATAATAAGGAGACAGCAGAAGATGGTCAGTGGTCAGTTTCCATCCAGCTGGTACTCATTGTCAATTAATTAAGTCCTAATAAAGGATAAAATGCAACATTTGTGACAAAGCCCCAGGGCTTGTTTAAAAGACCTTGTCCCAACAGGGACGTGACAGTTTTTATATGAGAGCTACTGTTTTTGCCTAATTCATGTGAAAATCTGAGCGATGTGCCCAGCTTCAGGGGGCTGCTTCTCCCTCCAGGAGATGGAGCTAACAGAGTTGTGTGGTATTAGCCTGTCTGGGTCTTCGTAAGAAGACAAAAGGAGTGGGTGGCTTAAACAACAAATATTGATTTTCTTACAATTCTGCAGTCTGAATGTAGAAGATCAAGGTGCTGGCAGGGTTGGTTCTTGGTGCGGCTTCTTCCTGGCTTGCAGAGGCCCACCTTCTAGTGCACTATGTCTCCACGTGGCCTCTTCTCTGAGTGCATGTGAGAAGTGAGAGGTATCTGGTGTCTCTTCCTCTTCTTATAAAGACAACAGCTCTATTGCATTAGGGTCTCATTTATGACCACATTTAACATTAATTATACCATTAAAATTCCGATATAGATCCATTGGATTTAAAGTTTCAGCATATGAATTTCAAAAAGGGCACAATTAAATTGATGACACAAATCAAGAGATGGTGAGAAGCATTAGAATATATACATATATAAATAAGGTATAATGGGCTGTGCAGGTACTTGCAGGAAAGTTCTTAGTAATTGGTGAAACTTCAATTGTAACAGGAAAATTTGCCTTACTCCTTTCTTTCCTGGCACAAGGATGTGAGGAAGTAGAACCACACACAATAAAGAAAGAGGACCTCTACGGAAAGCTGAGGTGCTGGCGAGGAGGGAGATGATGATCTCTGAGAAGATGAGCAAGCCCCGCTCACCCTGCACCTGCTCCTGACCCGGCCTTGTATTCCGTGAGCTCCGCACGCCCCCTGCTGGCCCTGAGCTGCACCTGCGCCCGCCCCCTCAGCCTCCCTGCAGGGAGGTTTTTGTCTGGGCTCACACTCACCTCCCCTCACTGTGTGTCTCGCACAGTAATACACAGCCGTGTCTGCGGCGGTCACAGAGCTCAGCTTCAGGGAGAACTGGTTCTTGGACGTGTCTACGGATATGGTGACTCGACTCTTGAGGGACGGGTTGTAGTAGGTGCTCCCACTATAATAGATACTCCCAATCCACTCCAGCCCCTTCCCTGGGGGCTGGCGGATCCAGCCCCAGTAGTAACTACTACTGCTGATGGAGCCACCAGAGACAGTGCAGGTGAGGGACAGGGTCTCCGAAGGCTTCACCAGTCCTGGGCCCGACTCCTGCAGCTGCAGCTGGGACAGGACCCCTGTGAACAGAAAAACCCACAGTGAGCCCTGGGATCAGAGGCAGCCTCCCATATCTCCATGTCTGCATCCTAGAAACACTCACATCTGGGAGCCGCCACCAGCAGGAGGAAGAACCACAGGTGCTTCATTTTCTTGCACATGAGATCCATGACTCTCAGAAAGCATTTCCCTTATGAGTTGGACCTGAATTTAAGGAAATGTGTGGTGGCTTCCTGTGGGCGCCTAAGTGAGGATTTGCATGGGGGTGGTGCGTTTGTACGGAGCAGTGAAAAGGGATGAGAGAGGCGCCAGTCTTTTGAGCTCACCCTGGGAGGAGAATGCTGGCTGTGCCCTTTGAGAACTCAGTTCTCTTCTTGGGGCCTCCCCTCTCCAAGCCCAGAGTCCTCTTCTTCCAGGTAAAGAGATGTGCTGAAGGAGCTGGTCTGAGAGATGAGTGTGATCCTGGATCAAGGACAGATTTTGGAATAGGGTCAGTACTGTTCAACCCTTAAAGATTCATATAAAACCAACCACACACCCAGGCCATCTAAATAGTCATTTACCCTTTCAGACACATTGAAACAACAGCTGAATGTAATAATGACAGTGACTTCAAACAATACTGGATCCATCCAATGTTTATTGTAGTTCAGAACATCCACCATGGTTACAGGGAAGCTCACTGTCCCTGGAAGTGGGTCATTTTTTAAAAGCACCTGAGAGCTGTCCTTCTGTGTCCTTTTGAAATTTGGGATTCTGTCTGAGATCGTAGGAGAAGGTAGTGGGACATATCTCCATCCTTCTCAATGTGTGACCTTGAAGATGTGTCCTGGCCTCTAAACACTTCTGATTGAAAATATGTAGATTGGGGATTGCAGTGAGAACTTCAGACAAAAACTCCGTAACAGGTCAGCACTGGAGGATAGTCTCATGAAGATCATGAAGATTAGTGCGATTACCTTTCCTGGGAACCAGAGAGGAACTCTGTGACCCCTTCCCTCTGACAGCACAAGGAACTCTGATCCTTCCCTGACAGGACACACTTGTGAAACATGGCTGGACAATGATACTCAAGCCCAGAGTCCTTACCCACATATTTATCATTTCAGATCCATCTGTCTCTGAAAGATTTTCTCCTCCATTGAATTGCATGAACATACCCTAGGATGTGCGGTATTGCAACTTGGGCATTTGACATTAGTTTGCTGAATTATATAATAAATAATCTATCTCCATGGATGTGGGTAACAGGAGAGTCATCAGAAGTTTGATGTGTTTTAAAATCAGGACAAACCTGGGCTTTCTTGTTAGGACGTGAACAACTGGGCTGACCTGTGGGACAACAGAGGGAAAGAGACAGACCCCACACCAGAGCCAGGTGAACTCCTTACCTACTGGATGGTCTCTGGGCATTTTGTTTGAACAGATTGAGAAGGACCTTCCTCACTCTCAGAATTATGAACATTGAAGGAATTTGAGATAAATTTTTATTTACAGAGAACAATTCATAGGCTTGTAGACATCTATGTGGGTGTGTACAGGGTTGCTAAGACATGCTCATACACAGAACAGAAAGAATTATATTTTGTGGAAAGAAAAACAAAGAGGTTCTGAATTTGTAGGTATTGTTTGCACAATGTGTCAGATCACTAGATCATGTTATGATGCTGGAGGTAAAACTTCCCAACATTGTCAAGGAGACAAAATGCAAAAGAGTAAAGATTCAAGTGAGATTGCTCTGAAAAATATCAGTAATGAACAGGCCAAAAGAAATGAACCATTATGGAAAGAGAGGTAATGAAATGAAACAATAAATTCCATGTTGAGGTGACAGGGAAGTTCCATCTGAAAGCTCATTTTCACCTCTGCGGGTACTGAGTGCCCCCTGCCACCCAGCTCCCACCCTGAAGGGAGGTTTCTGTCTGAGCTCTGTGAGTGAGCTGGAGTCATTGTGAGCCATTTAGAAAAGCAGCTGTGTGCCAGGGTGTATGGAGTCCTCCTGAGTTAAGAGGTGCTGAATATATATCAGTTTCACTGCCGTCATTGTGTTTTATTCTCTGGACTCTCTTGATGTCCAGATTTGAACACATGGAGCATTGAAGGAACTCATCGTGACTGGGAACTTTTCAGTGAAGATGCAGGTAACATGTGGGTGTGATTAAATTTGGGTGGTGAAAATATTATTATCAAAAATTTCGAAGTCAGTACCTACTAATTTTTCTTTTTTAGATTTTACAGATGAAGACTTGCTTGGTTGTGCAGGCTGGAGTGCAGTGTCATCTATTAATTTTATAGCATAAAAATGATCAGCCCAATTTATGTAGTCATGTTATATCCATCAAGGATTTAGGTCCATGTGGCCTGTGACATAGCTCTAGTCACAGAGTGAAGAGAGGTGGTTTGTTGAGTTGATGCTGCTTCTTCAGAGGGGAATTTAAACAATCAACTCCTCACCTTACCCAGTCTATTTTCATATCTATGCATAACCCTTGGGAATGCAGTCACCATTTCTTACATAATGGGAGTTGACTGTGCTGTGAAGGTAACAAGAAGACATGTAAATTTCCAGTCTGGGTACATGAACTGCTGAATTACAAAGCCTGGAGCCAATCACATTCTGGCATCTTGTTTAATTAGTTGTGAATTTGTTTTCAGTTGTTTAGTTCAAGTTCCCATAATTCACTTTCTGCTAAAATAGTCATATACGATAATCTTGAGATATTACATTGAAAAAAATAACTAATTTGAAAATGAACCCAGCTTCCAGGAGAGGTGAAAATTCCTTTGTGGCGAAGGGTGTGAAGGGTGGAGACATGGCTGAATACCGAGGTTGTGTTCACAATTGTTTCATTTTAATTAGGGGAAGCTCTATACATCCTTTCTATTTATTAGAAACTCCCATTGAGAACCTTGAACTAACATAATTTGCTGATGGATTACACAAAAACAATGAAGCTGAAGGTTTTTAAGCAGGAATTGCTATTACAACATTAGCTTTCCTTTATAACGCGTTCCTCTACCTGATGTGAAATTAGCCCAGGTGCACTGATGAGAGCTTGTCAGTTAAGCAAAGACCAGGAAATGGGCTCACATGTATCTAGAACAGGGCATGGATTTGGGATGCTTTGCTAACAAAGTGGCTTCTCACGTCTTCTGGAAAACCCATCAAAATGGGCAAGTTAAGGATCTCTTAGGAGCACCTGTCTACCCCAAGTTCTTAGCTAATATAAAAGTAGAAGATGATGCAAAATGAGATCATATGGAAGTTAAAGAAACTGCTGCACCACTGCCTCAGCTCAGCACAGCTGCCTCCTCCCTCGGGGTTTCTGACTCCCTCGGGATGTGGGTTTCCACACTGTGTCTCTCATACAGTCATACACGGCCGTGTCCTCAGCCTTTAGGCTGCTGATCTGCAGATACGCCATGCTGACAGAGGTGTCCATGGAGAATAGAAACCGTCCTGTGAAGCCGTTGGTATATGTTGGGTTCCCAGTGTAGGTGATGATCCATCCCATCCACTCAAGCCCTTGTCCAGGGGCTGGTCACACTGAATTCATACCATACTGGCTGCATAGTATTCCATGATTTACATATATCATATTTTATCTAATCATCCACTGATTGACACTTAGATTATTTGACTTTTCTATTGAAAATGGTGTTGAAATAAACATATGAGTGCAGGCAACATTCTCTGATATAAAAGTTTGGGAGGAACATGCCTACTGGGACAGCTTACTGGAAGAAATGGTAATTCTAATTTTAGTTCTTTGAGAAATTTCTATGTTGTTTTTCATGGAGGTTGTACTAATTTACATTCTCACCAAGCATATATAAATCATTATTTTTCCTATGTTTGTCTGCAAAACCTGCTGTTTTTATTTGTAATAACAGCCATTCTGACTGGTGGAAGATGCCGTATCATGTTGTTTCTAATTTACATTTATCAGATGATTGGTGATGCTGAGTATATTTTCTTATTTGTGTTGGCCACTTCTGTGTATTCTTTTGATAAATGTCTGTTTATGTCTATTCTTTAATGAAGTTATTTGTAATTTTTAGTTGACTTATTTGAGTTACTTGTAGATTCTATATATTAGCCCTTTGCAAGATGAATAGATTCCAGATATTTTTTCCATTTGCAGATTGTCTGGTCACCATGTTGGTTATTTCTTTTGCTGTGCAGAAGACCTTTAGTTCAACTAAATCCTGTTTGTCTACTTCTGTTTTTATTGCATTTGCTTTTGAAGTCTTAGTCGTATATTGTTTGCTTAGACCAATGTCCAGAGGACTCTTTTTAGATTTTATTCAAGTATTTTTATAGTTTTAGTTTATAAATTTAAACACTGAATCCATATTCAGTTAATTTGTGTCTACGGTGATATGGAAGTCTCGTTCTATTCTTCCACATAAGCCACCTAATTTTCCCGGCACCACTTATTGAATAGAGGGTTGTTTCTCCAGTGTATATTTTTGTCAGTTTTGTCAAACAACAGTTGGTTTTAGATATTTGGCTTTCTTTCTGGGCTATTTTTTTCTACTAGTAGCATGCTGTCTTTCTTATTATATTCATGTAGTATAATTTGAGGTCAGAGAATGTGGTGCTTCCAGCTTCGGTCTTTTTGCTTAGGATTGCTTTTGCTATTCAGACTCTTTTTTGATTCTGTAGGAATTTTAGTATTTTTTTCTAAATATGTAATCAATTATATTGGTCATTTGATAAAAATAGAGTTGAATCTGTGTAATGCTTTGGACGGTGTGTTAGTCTCTTTTGCATTCCTATAAATTAATACCTGAGGCCAAGTGATTTACAAAGAAAAGAGGCACATTTGGCTTACAGTTCTGAAGGCTGTGTGAGAAGCATGGCACCAGGATCTGCTTTACAATCATGATGGAAGGCAAAGGGGGAACAGGCTATGTCACATGGTGAGAGCTGGGACATGAGTGGCAAGAAGGGTTGCCAGACTCTTTTTAACAATCAGATCTCATAGTAGCTAACACAGCAAGAATTCACTAAGTGCCATGGGGTGGTTCCCAAGCCATTCCTGAAGGATCTTTCCCCATGACCCAAAACCTCCCAGTCGGTCCCACCTCCAACATTGAGAATCACATTTCACCATGACATTTGGAAGGGAAAACATCTAAACTATATCATTGCACTCTCGAGCCCAAAATTCTCATGTCCTTGCATTGCAAAATATGATCATCTTTTTTCAGTAGGGAAGCAAGAGCAAACATTCAAAAGCTAGCAGAAGGCAAGAAATAACTAAGATCAGAGCAGAACTGAAGGAAATAGAGACACAAAAAACCCTTCAAAAAATCAGTGAATCCAGGAGCTGGTTTTTTGAAAAGACCAACAAAATTGATAGACCACTAGCAAGACTAATAAAGAAGAAAAGAGAGAAGAATCAAATAGATGCAATAAAAAATGATAAAGGGGGTATCACCACCGATCCCAGAGAAATACAAACTACCATCAGAGAATACTATAAACACCTCTACGCAAATAAACTAGAAAATCTAGAAGATATGGATAAATTCCTGGACACATATACTCTCCCAAGACTAAACCAGGAAGAAGCTGAATCTCTGAATAGACCAATAACAGGCTCTGAAATTGGGGCAATAATTAATAGCTTACCAAACCAAAAAAGTCCAGGACCAGACGGATTCACAGCTGAATTCTACCAGAGGTACAAGGAGGAGTTGGTACCATTCCTTCTGAAACTATTCCAATCAATAGAAAAAGAGGGAATCCTCCCTAACTCATTTTATGAGGCCAGCATCATCCTGATACCAAAGCCTGGCAGAGACAAAACAAAAAAAGAGAATTTTAGACCAATATCCTTGATGAACATCGATGCAAAAATCCTCAATAAAATACTGGCAAACCGAATCCAGCAGCACATCAAAAAGCTTATCCACCACGATCAAGTGGGCTTCATCCCTGGGATGCAAGGCTGGTTCAACATACGAAAATCAATAAATGTAATCCAGCATATAAACAGAACCAAAGACAAAAACCACATGATTATCTCAATACATGCAGAAAACGCCTTTGACAAAATTCAACAACACTTCATGCTAAAAACTCTCAATAAATTAGGTATTGATGGGATGTATCTCAACATAATAAGAGCTGTCTATGACAAAGCCACAGCCAATATCATACTGAATGGACAAAAACTGGAAGTATTCCCTTTGAAAACTGGCACAAGACAGGGATGCCCTCTCTCACCACTCCTATTCAACATAGTGTTGGAAGTTCTGGCCAGGGCAATCAGGCAGGAGAAGGAAATAAAGGATATTTAATTAGGAAAAGAGGAAGTCAAATTGTTCCTGTTTGGAGATGACATGATTGTATATCTAGAAAACCCCATTATCTCAGCCCAAAATCTCCTTAAGCTGATAAGCAACTTCAGCAAAGTCTCGGGATACAAAATCAATATGCAAAAATCACAAGCGTTCTTATACACCAATAACAGACAAACAGAGAGCCAAATCATGAGTGAACTCCCATTCACAATTGCTTCAAAGAGAATAAAATACCTAGGAATCCAATTTACAAGGGATGTGAAGGATCTCTTCAAGGAGAACTACAAACGACTGCTCAATGAAATTAAAGAGGATACAAACAAATGGAAGAACATTGCATGCTCGTGGGTAGGAAGAATCAATATCGTGAAAATGGCCATACTGCCCAAGGTAATTTACAGATTCAATGCCATCCCCATCAAGCTACCAATGGCTTTCTTCACAGAATTGGAAAAAACTACTTTAAAGTTCGTATGGAACCAAAAAAGAGCCTGCATTGCCAAGTCAATCCTAAGCCAAAAGAACAAAGCTGGAGGCATCATGCTACCTGACTTCAAACTATACTACAAGGCTACAGTAACCAAAACAGCATGGTACTGGTACCAAAACAGAGATATAGACCAATGGAACAGAACAGAACCCTCAGAAATAATGCCGCATATCTATAACTATCTGATCTTTGACAAACCTGACAAAAACAAGCAATGGGGAAAGGATTCCCTATTTAATAAATGGTGCTGGGAAAACTGGCTAGCCATATGTAGAAAGGTGAAACTGGATCCCTTCCTTACACCTTATACAAAAATTAATTCAAGATGGATTAAAGACTTAAATGTTAGACCTAAAACCATAAAAACCCTAGAAGAAAACCTAGGCAATACCATTCAGGACATAGGCATGGGCAAGGACTTCATGTCTAAAACACCAAAAGCAATGGCAACAAAAGCGAAAATTGACAAATGGGATCTAATTAAACTAAAGAGCTTCTGCAGAGTGAAAGAAATTACCATCAGAGTGAACAGGCAACCTACAGAATGGGACAAAATTTTTGCAACCTACTCATCTGACAAATGGCTAATATCCAGAATCTACAATGAACTCAAACAAATTTACAAGAAAAAAACAAATAACCCCATCAAAAAGTGGGCAAAGGACATGAACAGACACTTCTCAAAAGAAGACATTTATGCAGCCAAAAGACGCATGAAAAAATGCTCATCATCACTGGCCATCAGAGAAATGCAAATCAAAACGACAATGAGATACCATCTCACACCAGTTAGAATGGCGATCATTAAAAAGTCAGGAAGCAACAGGTGCTGGAGAGGATGTGGAGAAATAGGAACACTTTTACACTGTTGGTGGGACTGTAAACTAGTTCAACCATTGTGGAAGGGAGTGTGGCGATTCCTCAGGGATCTAGAACTAGAAATACCATTTGACCCAGCCATCCCATTACTGGGTATATACCCAAAGGATTATAAATCATGCTGCTATAAAGACACATGCACACGTATGTTTATTGTGGCACTATTCACAATAGCAAAGACTTGGAACCAACCCAAATGTCAAACAATGATAGACTGGATTGAGAAAATGTGGCACATATACACCATGGAATACTATGCAGCCATAAAAAATGATGAGTTCATGTCATTTCTAGGGACATGGATGAAGCTGGAAACCATCATTCTCAGCAAACTATCGCAAGGACAACAAACCAAACACCGCGTGTTCTCACTCATAGGTGGGAATTGAACAATGAGAACACATGGACACAGGAATGGGAACATCACACACCAGGGACTGTTGTGGGGTGGGGGGATGGGGGAGGGATAGCATTAAGAGATATACCTAATGCTAAATGATGAGTTAATGGGTGCAGCACACCAACATGGCACATGTATAAATATGTAACAAACCTGCACATTGTGCACATGTACCCTAAAACTTAAAGTATAATAATACTAAAATAACAAAAAGTCTTAACTTGGTCAGCCTCCAACTCAAATGTCTAAAGTCTCATCTGAGTCTTAAGGCAATTTCCCTCCATCTGTGAGCTTGCAAAATTAAAAAAAAAAAACATTGCAAATGTTGTGTATTCCAAGGTACAATTATGGTACAGGCATTGGGTAAATTATTCCAATCCAAAATAGATAAATTGGCCAAAGGAATGGCCAACAGCGCTCCCCCCCCCCACACACACATATAACCCAGTAGAGCAGATATTAAATCTTAAAGTTACAGAATAACCTCTCTCAAATTTATGTAATTCAACCAGGGCACAGTGGGACAAGTGTTGGCTCCCCAAAACCTCCGGCAGCCCATCACTGTAGTTTTGCTGGGCGCAGTCCTTGGGGCTCCATTCATGAGTCAGAGTCAAGTGCTGTAAGCTTTTCTAGGCTGAGGGTGCAAGTTGCCCATGGATCTACCATTCTGCAGTCTTGAGATCTGTGGCCACATTCCCACAGTTCCACTATGTAGTGCCCCAGTGTGGACTTTGAATGGGGGCTCCAACCCCATCTTTCCACATCTTTGGCACTGCCCTAGTAGAGGCTCTCTGTGGTGGCTCCACTCCTGCAGCAAGCTTTTTCCTGGGCACATAGGGCTCTCTGCACATCTGAAATCAAGGTAGAAACTGCCCAGCCTCCTTCACTGTTGCATTCTGCATATCTGCCCGAATCCAGGTCTCCCAGCACTATTTACTGAATACGGAGTTTTTTTTTTTAATCTATGGCTTGATTCTTGTCAACCTTATCAAATATCAAATGGTTTAGGTGTGTAGCTCTATTTCTGTTTTCTGTTTTGTTCTTTTTTTTTTTCTGTGTGTCTGCTCTTGCACCAGTACCAAGCTGTTTTTCTTACTTTGTAATGTTAAATCTGGTAGCATGATGCCTCTGGCATTGATCTTTTTGTTTAGGATTGCTTTGGCTATTCAGGGTCTTTCTTGGTTCCATATATATTTTAGAATATGTATGGGTTTTTTAATTCTGTGAAGAATGATGGTAATAATTTGATGGAAATAACATCGAATCTGCAAATTACTTTGGGCAGTATGACCATTTTGGCAATATTGATTCCTCCAATCCAGGAGCATGAAATGTTTTTTTCCATTTATTTGTGTCATTTATGATTTATTTCTGCAGTGTTTTGTTGTTCTCCTTGCAGAGATCTTTCATCTTGTTTGTTACCTGCATTCCTAAGCATGTCATTTTCTTTGAAGATATTGTACATGGGATAGGACTGTGTTCTTGATTTTATTCTCAGCATGGATGTGGTTGGGATATAGAAATGCTGGTGATTTTTGTACATTGATTTTGCATCCTTACACTTTACTAAAGTTATTTATCTATTCTAGAATTACTTTGGGGGATTTTCTAGGCATAGAATTGTATCATCAGTGAAGACAGATGGATTGACTTATTTTCCTGTTTGGATGCTGTGTTAGTCCATTCTCAGACTATAAACACCTGAGACTAGGTAATTTATAAAGAAAAGAGTTTTAATTGCTCATGGTTCTGCGAGTTGTACAGGAAGCATGGCTGGGGAGGCATCAGGATCCTGACAATCATGACAGAAAGGGAAGCATCATGTCTTACATGGCAGGAGCAGGAGGAAGAGACAAGGGGGAGGTGCCACACACTTAGAAACCAGATCTCCTGAGAGCTCTGTCACCAGAACAGCGTGAGAGAGGAAAACACAACCCCATGATCGAATCACCTTTCACCAGGCCCCACCTCCAACACTGGGGATTACAGTTTGACATGAGATTTGGGTGGGGACACAAATCAAAACCACATCAGCTGCCTTTCATTTTTGCTCCTGCCTGATTGTTCTAACTAGGATTTATAGTGTTATATTGAATAGGAGTAGTGAGAGACAGTATCCTTCTCTTGTTCCAGTTCTCAAGGTGTTTGAGCTTTTGCTCATTTAGCATGATGTTTACTGAGTTTGTCACAGATGGCTCTTATTATTTTGAGGTATGTTTTGATGCCTAGTCTGTTGAAGGTTTTTATGACGAGTGGATGTTGGATCCTATCAAATGCTTTTGCAGGATCTATTGAGATAATCCTATGTTTTTTGCTTTTATTCTGCTCACATGGCGAATCACAGTTACTGATTTGTGGATGTTGAATGAACCTTGCATCCCAGGGTAAATCCCATTTGATCATGATGTATTACATTTTAAAGTGCTTCTGGATTCTATTTGCTAGTATTTTGTTGAGGACTTTTAGATCTATGTTCATCAGGAATATTCATCTTATATACTTTTTTCATTATGTCTCTTCCTGATGGAGTGTGCCAAGAACACACAGTAGAGAAAGGACAGTCTTTTCAATAATGGTGTAAAAACTGGGCATCCATATAAAAAGAAATAAAATTAGGCCTCCTCTAACATGATATAAAAATCAACTAAAAATGAACATAATACCTGAAACCATAAACTCATAGACAACATGGAAAAAGAAAAAACTTCCTGTCATTGATTCAGAACTGATTTATTTGAATTTAATACCAAAACACAGGAAAAACTATGTGTAATTATATATCTGACAAGAAGTTCAAATAAAATATATAAATAAGCCATACAACTCAATAACAAATAACAAGTGACCCGATTAAAAAAGGCAAAATTCTGGATAGATTTTTTTTTCAGAAGACACACACATGGCAAACGGAAAATGAAAAGTTTATCAATATTCCTAATTATCAGGGGAATTCAAATAAAAAGCACAATGATATATCACTTCAAAGCAGTTAAAATGGCTATTATCAGCAAGACAAAACTTTAAAAATGTTGGCAACAATGTGGAGAAAAAGGAATCCTTATATGATGTGGTAGGATTGGTTACTTAACAAATTGAAAATAAAACTATCTTATGATCTAGTGATTCCACTTCTTGTTATATATTAAAAGGAAATAAAATTATTATGCAAAAGACATGTTCATTGCAAGATTATTAATAATAGTGTAGATTTGTAAAATAATTTAAGGGTCATACATTGATAAATGTATAAATAAAATGTGTATACATAAAACTAAATTTATGACGCTTTGAAAAGAAGGAAATTCTGACATTTGCAATAACATGGATGGGCCTAGAGGACATGATGCTGAGTGGAATAAGCCAGATGCAGAAAGACAAATGCTTCATGATCTCATTTACGTGTGGGATCTAAAATATCCAAGGTCTTAAAAGAAGAGAGTAGACTAGAGGGTGTCAGGACCTGGGAGGAGAGGGAATTTGGGTGATGTTGATCAAAGGGTACAGAGTTTCAGTTGTGCAGGGTGAATGAGTTCTGGAAATCTAATGTACAGCAATGTTCCTATAGTTAATACTTTACTGTAAAAACGATTTTTGCTAAAAGGGTAGATTTTAGATGTTCTCATCAGACACACACACATATGCAGTAAATTTAAAAAAATAAAATTGTAGCTCTGTGAGATGATATACACACAAATTACCTTGACTACGATGATCATTTTACAATGTGTATCTGATATGGTTTGGATCCGTATCTTGACCCAAATCTCATGTTATATTATAATCCTCATTCCTGAAAGTAGGACCTGTTGGGAGATGACTGGGTCATGGGGTAGGTCTTTCATGAATGGTTTAGCAACAACTCCTGCTGCTGTTCTCATGACAGTGCATGAGTTCTCACAAGATCTGGTGTCTAACGGTGTGTAGACCCGCCCCGCCCCCCGCTGCACGCCTCCTGTGGCTCCTGCTCTGGCCATGTGATTGCCCTGCTCCTCTTTGTCTTCTGCCATGATTCTAACTTTCCTGAGTCTCCCCAGAAGAATAAACAACTACATTTCCTATAGAGCCTGCAGAATCATGAGCCAATTAAACATCTTTTTCTTTTTTTCAAATTAGTCTCAGGCATTTCTTTATAGCAATGTGAGAATGGCCTAAGACAAAGCATCAAGTGGTGCATTGTTCCTCAACCATATACTTTTAAAAAATTTTTTCAAATATACCTCAATGAAACTGAAAAAAGTTAAAATTACTCTTACAAGAAAGAAATGCATACGTCATGTTTTCACAATAAAAATGAGACAACATAGGAAAACTTACACTAAGGTATTTGTAACAGCTTTGCTTATAATATTCATAAACTAGAAACAAATTTAAAGTCCATCAACAAAAAATAGATCAATATGTTGTTATGTATGGGATGTCAATGTCACTTTATTACATTCTTTATTCTTTTAAGTTATCTCTAAAATCTCTAAAAATTAATTTTTCCAAAGCACCACTCAAAACCAGGGTATTATTAGAACTTGTGGGTGTAATCGTTGGACCAATATTAAGAATAAATTCAATTTAGTTCACATGCTGTCAAATATCCTTTTTTCTTTAAAACTTGTTCACATTGTAATATCAGACAAATATTAGTAATCTATACTTATGACACAGGTTAAAAAATTGTTTAAATAGTTTAATGACATTTGATTGGAAAAAAGAATACACATTCCACATATGTCTTGACTACCTTTTTCTTCTCTATGAAATATATGCTTATTAATTTTTAAGTTACGGATGTTACCCTTATCTTTTTATTTTCCAGAAGTTAATTTCAGTAGGTATATTTGAATGCATTTTATTAATTCATATAATAATGTTCATTACTGAATGTTTTGGATAGGCATGTAATGTCATTTTTATTATGTTCTGAATTTTAAATTATTTTATACATTATTTTTTGTTTTTATGAGAAAATTTACATATAAGAGGAAATGCATAGATCTGGAATTTGTCACTAGAGAGTTTCTGGCAAACGTGAATACTCTTGTCCCCGGCACCTAAGGTAGACCGAAGAGCAAGTCCATCCCCCAACACAGGTCTTCCTGTGCCTGTGGTCAGCTCCTGCGTGCGGAAATGTTTAGATTTCTGACAATACAGATCCATGTTTTTCTCTTTTGAACTTCTCATAAGTGGAATCTAACATTATAGAGCTGTTTTTGGTAAGGGGCTACTTTTGCTATTGTTGAGGTTTCTTCATGCTATTTAACGTATACAATTAGATCAACCTATTGTCATACATTCAATGAATGGACTGATTCAACTGAAACCTCAAAGTCGTTATGTATATATGTAGAGAGAGAGGAAGGACAGAAATTTTATATCTGAGTTAGTCCATTAAGAATTTATTCTTAATATTGGTCCAACGATTACACCCACAAGTTCTAATAATACACTGGTTTTGAGTGGTGCTTTGGAAAGATTAATTTTTAGAGATTTTAGAGATAACTTAAAAGAATAAAGACTGTAATAAAGTGGCATTGACATCCCATATCAGAAAGCAATTGAAAATAAGTAATACATATAAATTCCTGAGAATAAACCTCGAACTACAGGAAGGGTATCATGTATAGTAGGTTGTAATATGTTTATTGTTAAAATTATCACCTTTATGTTGTTTTGAAAAATTAAAGGTAAGCATAAGAAAATAAAGTGCTTTTGTGTTTATTTGGGGCAACAACAGCATGTTGAGAAAACTGAAGAGCCCTGTAATCCTGAGGAGGTGGCCTAATCTAAGGAGAGAGAGGCTCCAGATCCTGTGGACACACAGGGTTAAACCGATTCTGCCCATCTAGGAGCTACTTCCTAAAGCCTATTTTTTTTTTTTTTAATGAGACAGAGTCTTGTTCTGTCGCCCAGGCTGGAGTGCAGTGGAACGATCTCGGCTCACTGCAACCTCCGCCTCCCGGGTTCAAGCGATTCTACTGCCATAGCCTCGGAGTAGCTGGAACTGTAGGCACCCGCCACCACGCCTGGCTAATTTTTTGTATTTTTAGTAGAGACAGGGTTTCACCGTGTTAGCCAGGATGGTCTCGATCTCCTGATCTCGTGATCCGCCCGCCTCGACCTCCCAAAATGCTGGGATTACAGGCGTGAGCCACCGCGCCCGGCGGAGAGGAGATTTCTACTCTGGAAAGGAGTGAGTGGACGGCACAACTGGTTTGGAAACACGACAAACTGCGTCTGCATTTACAGAAGCAACGCACACAGGGAACGTCCTAGCGCCATCTGGTCTCGCACACATGCTTGGGACTCACGGTGGGGATCCCGGGCCTCCACCAGCCCTAGTTGTCGGTGCCCAGCTTGGGAGGCCTGGGCGAGAGTCATTCAGGTCGTGGATCTTCCCGTCCAGCTCCTCCAGGAAGCTCTTCACCTCCACCTCCAGGTGGCGCTGTCGAGATTTATTCTCCTCAGTGTCTGTCTTTAGGGAACTGTAGGTTCCTCCAGGTTCTGGAAAATCTCATTTCCTACAGGATTTTTTTTTTTTAGAAGGCTCTTGGTACATTTCTCGGTAATTAATCCTCCCCAATTCAGACCCATAAAAAAATTATTTGGATTGTATACCTGAGAATCTGGAAGATTTTGAAGGAAAGTTCAGAAGACTACGGAGTGTAGGTCCCCAGGAATCTCACCCTAGTCCACATCTGCCGTTTAGGCTTTCATAGCATTTACCATGTGTGTGCTCTCACCAACTCGTGCTTTCTTCAAGTTCTTTTCCAGTTCAGCCAGTGTCACCTCTGATCCTGGACATGTCTGTATCTTCAGTATTTGGAATGGGTAATTTCCCTTGCAATTTCAATTCCTTGATAGATTTCAAAAATTGTTGATGTTCAAATTGTGCAGATGTTTTTTGACATAAGAATGAGCTTGATGACTTTCCTAATCTTTACATGTTAGAGCATGTAAAGGTGATCTGATGTGTGTATCCTGAATGCTATGTGTGATGTTATGTATGTAAAAGTTATGTAAAGCTTATGATGTAAAGGTTATGTATCAGATGATATCATGGTCTTACAGGTGTCCCTAGCCCTGGACTGGAGCCAGCGGGAGAACCTGGGCCTTTGCACCTGTGACAGGAACTCTCATTCCTTAAACACAAGGCATTCTAATGAGAAAGCTGATATCAGGTGAGGTGCAAAGCAGTGGAGAGGAGATAGAGGTGCCCTTTAACTTCAAGAATTGCTGGAACTTGAATACCAAGATCATCTCTGAAAGGCAGTGGTCTACTGGTGAGGATATCAGTCAGCTCTGTCTTCAGGAATCTTTGTATGTGTGGAAAGCATCAGGGGTGTGATTTATTTTCTTCTGCTCATCCAGTGTATTTCAGAGAAAAATAAAATGCAAAGTAAGTAAGCATGTTCAATATACATGTTAAGAGAGAGAACATGTATAATTCATGGCAATAGAAGTGCTCACTTAATAGCTTGCAGAAGGAGCAGGTGCACAATTGACAGGAGGATGCTCCCTGCCCCAGGAAGCAGGTGCCTTAGAACTGCACTGTAGATGCCTTGCATCAGTAGAACCTGGGCGTGTGTCTGGGGTCTTGTAGGTAGTGTGGAGAGCAGAGCACAGCTCCATTTCTCCTCACTCTGTGACCTAGCATGTGGACCCTCCCTCTGGGCTTTATTCTAGTAAGGTGTTAATTTGATATAGCAGCAGTAGCTTTACCTGCAACCTTTCAAGGAAGGGCCAGTGCTGTTCAGAGTCGTTATTACTGTTGTTGTTCCCACCCTTGTAAACCAGAAAAATACCTGTGTGACCCTCAACTCAGACCTCAGATGACCCTTTGCAGAGGAAGCACCTGCTTTGTTTCTGTCACAAACATGTTACTGGATACTGGATAAAATGTGTGACTTGTTATAGAATGTATCTTAATTATGTTACCTTAGTTAAAATTAGGATTAGTATATGACACTCTGGGAATTTAGCTGAAGATATTTCTTAGCAAAGTGTTGATGATGTGTCCTGATATCTCATTGCTTATAACAGTACAATATGAGAGGAGAAAAAAATTAAAGAGGAAATGTTGGGAACAGGCCCCCCAAAATCTGGCCATAAACTGGCCCCAAAACTGGCCACAAACAAAATATCTGCAGCACTGTGACATGTTCATGATGGCCATAATGCCCACGCTGGAAGGTTGTGGGTTTACCGGAATGAGGGCAAGGAACACCTGGCCCCCCCAGGGCAGAAAACCGCTTAAAGGCGTTCTTAAACCACAAACAATAGCATGAGTGATCTGTGCCTTAGGGCATGTTCCTGCTGCAGATAACTAGCCAGACCCACCCCCTTTAATTCGGTCCATCCCTTCATTTCCCATAAGGGATACTTTTAGTTAATTTAATATCTATAGAAACAATATTAATGGCTGGCTTGCTGTTAATAAATACGTGGGTAAATCTTTCTTCAGGGCTCTCAGCTCTGAAGGCTGTGAGACCCCTGATTTCCCACTTCACACCTCTATATTTCTGTGTGTGTCTTTAATTCCTCTAGCACCGCTGGGTTAGGGTCTCCCGACTGAGCTGGTCTCAGCAACGAAACTATTGAGCAATGTGTTACCAGGTATTTTATACACAAGGGAGGTTTTCTCATCTTCTGGAAACTCCAGTGAAATGAAAAATTCGAGAAAATGTAAGACGTATTTTTACATTCTAGACACACGAGTAATAGAAACTTGAATTTAAATGCAAAAATGCACAGCAAGGAAGTCAAAATTCTGCAGCAGATCATTTTACCTAGTAGGCAGCTTAAACTATTTATAATATGACTTAAATATTCAAGAGGTAAACTTCAGAGATATCCAAATAAATAATTACAAAATTTCAATGTTCAATGACTGGTTGAGAGAAGATTGAACTAACATTATTTTGATGCATCACACCTCAATAATCAAACTATGGCCAATTGTCCAAATGTTGCAAGAGGATGCCTGAGGAAATAATTTCTATCTCCCTTATTTAGGAGTGCTGGCACAACCCAACATCCCCGAAAACCTGGGGTCTACTAAGAATAAAGCCAGAAATTTGAATTAGCATGAAGGATTTAAAGGCCTCACTCACTGACTGGGCTGACTGGTGAAGATGTTCTCCATGAGGCTACACTGTGAACAGTGGGTATGGTCTCTGTTTGTTTGAATGAAAGATAATGAAGAAGGCAAAAGGATTCATGGATCAGGAACCACACTAAAAACTAAATTATGCACTTTAGGAGATTTACATATGAAAAACCTGAAAATGAATTATGCCGTTGCATTCTCTCATTTGTGTTTGATGTGAGACATATTTTCTTTTTTAGAAACCTATTTTAAATCATGGATTTTCATCTCCACTGTGATAGATGAAACTACTACTGCCCCTGGTGAGCCTCATTATTGAGTCTCTAATGTGCACTTGGCATGTGCGGAGAGTTGGGAAGAAGTGACCAGGGCTCTGACCATTGAAGCTGAAGTTCTATGAGAGAGTCTGTGAGAATGTAGACAATACAAGACAGAGGGCAATGTTGGGTGAATTTCTGAGGAATAGGGAAGAATAGCAGAATGAGGCAGGGATCAGGACACCATTCAGCTTGAATTTCTCTATGTGCATTCTCCTAGTGGAATCAGAGAGATACAGCTTAGGACACAGCCCCAGGGCAGCCTTCAGAGACTCTGCACAGAACACAGCCCAGCAAGGTAGCGACAAGTTTTATCTTTGTGTTTGTCTTCCTGCCTCCATCACAATAAATTCTGAGAGCTGCCTGCATTTCTCTTGGGTGAAAATGCTGTGCACCAATCACCATAGTGTGAATGAGAAGTGAGAGGTCAAAATTATTCTTGGAGGACAGGGAACTTTGTGAGACAGAGGTGAGAAAATGATTATAACAACACGGGGACACGTGTGCTTGTCAGAAGAAAGAGTCCACGTGGGGACATGTTTGCTTGTCTGAGAGAAGAGTCCATATGTAGACAAGTGTACTTCTCTGAGGGAAGGGTCACAGTGGAGACAATCATGCTTGTCTTAGTGAAGAATCCCTGTGGGAATATGTGTGCTTTCCATGCGGAAGAGTTCACATGGGAAAATGCGTGCTTGTCTAAGGGAAGAGTCTACAATGGAGAATGGGTGTTTCAGAGAAGAGTCCCTGTGGGAATATGTGTGCTTCCCATGCAGAAGAGTTCACATGGGAAAATGCGTGCTTGTCTAAGGGAAGAGTCTACAATGGAGAACGGGTGTTTGAGAGAAGAGTCCATGTGAGGACCTGTGGGCTTGTCTGAGAGTAGAGTCCACATGTGGACATGCAGACCTATCTGAGTGATGAGCCCGTGAGGAAATATGTGTGCTTGTTATACGGGAGTTCACATGGGAACATGTGTGCTTGTCATATGGAAGGGTTCATATGGGAACATCTGTGCTTGTCTAAGGGAAGAGTCTACCTGGGAATACGTGTGCTTGTCTGAGGGAAGGGACTACATGGGGAAATGGGTGTTTGTCTGTGAGAAATGTCCATGTGCGGACATATGGGCTTGTGGGAGAAGAGTCTACTCAGGGGAAAATGCATTTGTGGGAGGAAGATGTCCACATGAAACAATGTGTGCTTGTCTGAAAGTACAGTCCACAAGAAGCCACGTGTGCTTGTGTGTGGCAAGAGTCCATGAGGGGACAGACGTGTTTGTCTGAAAGAAGAATTCATGTGCAGACACATCTGCTTGTCTGAAGATATAGTGCATGTGGGAACATGTGGGCTTGTCTGAATTCATGATAAGTGGGCTGGAATTCATCCTCCACTCATCACGTATGCACCTGACCCACTCCTGTGCTTTCCATCCAGTGCCTACAGGAAGCACTGATTGTGACAGAGAATCCAGAGGCAGCACAGGTGAGTGAGGGGGTTTGCAAGGGCTTCACCAGGCTGATAATTGACTGAGAAAAACAGTTGTTAGCATGCACAAGTTCTGGACGATACATTGGAAACCCTACCTACACACATTTTGGTAAAAATAATAAAATCCACTTCTGTTCAATTTTTGAGATTTCTAGACCAATTCAGTTGATTCTGAAGTTAGATTCAGGCAAATATGTAATAAACTTGCACCAAATTAAAAACAAGGATGAAATACGGTCAGGGAAATGGATATTGAATTATTTCCATTTTCTATGATGAGGCTGATTTTTAGAATAGAAATGGTTTGAGAGCCTAATGGTGTCCTAAATCTGAAATCACAGTTAGATCTGAGCAGCAATCACAGGAAGTGGAGGTCTCACCCCCCATGAGAAAGCACCTGTGTCTATAAAACTGCACTGGGAGGTCTCTGCAGGCTCTGAGTTGTGTAGGACTAACTCCTACCCCAGACTCAGGAAACATGAAAATCTCTACTCTTTTTGTCGAGAAGGTCAGAGTTAGTGTGCAGAAAGAAGCAGATTACTTAAGATCTCTGCACATGGACAGGAATCAAATAATATGAGAAACAAGTGATCTCACTCTAAATTTAACAGTCCCTCAAGAGAAAGGCTACTATGTGCCTGGACCCTGCACAGAAATAAGTAATAATTCATTTGGGGTAAATGTGAAAATTACAGTTGTTTGTAGACTGCATGCTTGCTTCTCTACGTCATATGAAAGAACCGAATAAAATTAGGTATTCCATGAGATCCAGTCATTTGCAACAACATGGATGGAACTGGAGGTCACTATGTTAAGTGAAAAAGACAAGGCACTGAAAAAAAAAGCATTGCAGGTTCTTACTTATGTGTGTGCTCTAAAAATCAACAGAATTAAACTCAGGAACATGGATGGTAGAAGGATGGTAACTGGAGTCTGGGAGGCTAGTGGGGGCCAGAGAACAGGTGGATATGGTTAATGGGTACAAAATACAGAGTTAGAAAGAATGAATAACACCTACTATTTAGTAGCAAAATAGTGTGACTATAATCAATAATGACTTAATTGCACATAATAAAATTACTTCCAAAGTGAAATTGGAATGTTTTTGTAAATCAAAGGACAAATGATTGAAGGGATGAATACCCCATTAACCATAAACCAACAAATAAAAGTATGTGTTCTGAAGTAAATATCCCTAGAGTATATGTTGGCCCAGAGAATGCACCTCTCAACCCTCCAACATCAGGGAGCCTATGGACCAGACACCCAGCTGCCCCTCTCTGACATCCATGACCTGGTTTGTGCCAAAGCCCCACATCCTGGGAGCTTGTCCTAGACAATGACTGCACAGTGGAGATACTAAGGTGTGGCTGCTGTTGAGCACATGGGTTATCCCTGAAGGGCAACTGTGGTTAGGGAGGCACTGAGGGTCTTGCTGGGCTCAGCTTAAACCATACGTTAGTTAGGATGATCCATCAACCCCCTGCCCTTTCTCCTGCACTTGTGGTGAGATTTGCATCCTGGGTTGACAGTGTCTACAGCCTCACCTGACTTCCTGGGCAATTTTTCTGCTTCCATCAGTGACACTTGCAGATGAGAATTTTTCCTCCTATAATAATGAAGTCTTTTTTGGCTAGGCACAGTGGCTCATGCCTGTAATCCCAGCACTTTGGGAGGCCAAGGTGGGAGGGTCTCCTGAGGTCAGGAGTTCGAGACTAGCCTGGCCAACATGGTGAAACCCTGTCTCTACTAAAAATACAAAAATTAGCCGGGCGTGGTGGCAGTTGTCTGGAATCCCAGCTACTTGGGAGGCTGAGGCAGGAAAATCGCTTGAATTCATGAGGCGGATGTTGCAGTGAGCTGAGATCATGCCATTGCACTCCAGCCTGGGGCACAAGCACGAGACTTCATCTCAAAAAAAAAAGTGTTTAAACTTAGCAACCTCATTAGTGGGCACAGAAAAATAAATATACAGAGGCTCACCAGGAAACAGTTAGATGTAGACGAAGCCACAGACCCTCTTGACATCCATCTGCACCTGCCTTTGGGCTGTCCCTGTCTTCAGGGGATCCTGGGCACCCTCTGGTGGCCCCGCGTGCCCCTGCAGGGAGGTTTGTGTCTGGGCTCACACGGACTTCCTCTCACTGTGTCTGGTACAGTAATACATGGCCGTGTCCTTAGCTTTCAGACTGTCCATTTGCAGATAGAGCATGCTCTTAGAATTGTCTCTGGAGATTGTGAATCGGCCCTTCACAGAGTCTGCATAGTATTTCTGACTTCCATCATTCCAGATATGTGCCACTCAGTCCAGCCCCTTCCCTGGAGCCTGGCGGACCCAGCTCATGCCATAGCTACTAAAGGAGAATCCTGAGGCTGCACAGGAGAGTCTCAGGGACCCCCCAGGCTGGACCAAGCCTCCCCCAGACTCCACCAGCTGCACCTCACACTGGACACCTGCAAACAAAAAGAAACCCTGGTCAGAAACTTCCACACAAATCCACTGTTTATCTCACTCTTATCCACTCACACTCAATTTCAATAGTTCTCAATGAATTACCTTTTAAAATAGCGGCAAGAAAAACCCAGCTCAGCCATGACTCCATGGTGAATCCTCTGTGTTCAGTCCTGATCACAAAATGAAAGCACCTGAAAATCCCAGGGCTGGGGCTCCTCTCCCACAGCTGCAGGGTCAGGGCTGGGCTGGTTTTCATAAGCAGAGGGAGGGCCCTATTTGCATGTCTCCTAATACATGCCAAGCTCTGGGATGGGACGCCTGAGGAGAGAGTGGGGCTCAGAGCATGTGAGAGTGTCCTGGGGGAGATTTGTGATATTGATAGCATTTGGAAATTCTGGTTTCTTATTGTAAGTTTGTTCTATGATAAACCCTTAAAACCTATAAAATTTATAGTTTTGTAATTTTTATTTTAAAACAGTTTTATTGAGGTACAATTGATCTACATAAACTGTGTGTATTTAAAGTTTGCACCTATCATCTTTTATTTTTCCATATGCACAGAAACCATGGTATGTAGTATCAATGTTATTTCCATGTTACAGATGAAAAAATATCAGCAAAACACAGATGGATTGTACAATGTCCCCAGCACTCACATTTGGTCAGAGGGAGTCTGGTTATCTGGGCCCGTGCTTCTAACCACTGGTCCTGACTTCTCCCTGAACCAAGCCCAGCATACAGGAGGTCACACCAAGTGAGGTTTGCAGAACCTTTTCTCTGTAATGAGAACATGGTGTGATGTGTATGCACTGTTGCGATTACCTAACAAAAAGTAAAGTATGTTTCCTACAGTTTTATTTTCTTGATTGTCATACATTTGTCATGTAAGTGTCTATATTTCCATCAATCTTAATTGAACAAATTATCCATCCACTTATTTGCAATACCCTTATTGAGGCATTATTGCCACGTAATAAATACTGCATAATTAAAGTGTCTGGTTGAATAAGCACTGAAGCCGAGCATGGTGGTGCACAGCTGTAGTCCCAGCTAGATAGGGCAGAGGGAGGAGGATTGCTGGAGACCCAGGGTCTGAGGCTGCAGAGAGCTATGATGTCACCACGGAGCTCCAGCCTGGATGACAAAGCAAGAAAATGTCTCCAAAGGAAAAAAATGTTATTACACATGTGCTCACCTGTGCATCCCAAATAACAATCAAGATACCAATGAATTACACTTAAAAGCTTCCCTGTGTTCCTCTCATTCCTGCCTCCCAGTCATTTTCCTCTCACCATATTGAGTCAGTCATCTTTGTTACTTTAGATCTATTTTTCAAGATTTTGTTCAAGTGAAATCTTATAGTTTCAATTTCATTTGTGTGGTTTTCTGCACAGTATAATTACTTGTGAGCCAGTAATTTGGTTCTATATAAATAATGTGTTTTTAAAATTATACTTTAAGTTCTGAGATGCATGTGGAGAACGTGCAGGTTTGTTACATAGATATACATGTGCCATGCTGGTTTGCTGCACTCATCAACCTGTCATCTACATTAGGTATTTCTCCTAATGCTGTCCCTCCCCTTGCTCCCCACCCCGACAGGCCCTGGTGTGTGACATTCCCCTCCCTGTGTCCATGTGTTCTCACTGTTCAGATCCCACTTATGAGTGAGAACATGCGGTGTTTGGTTTCCTGTCCCTGTGATAGTTTTCTGACTATGATGGTTTCCAGCTTCATCCATGTCCCTGCAAAGGACATGAACTAAAGAATGTGTTGATTCTAATGAGGAACAGTATTACAGTTAATGAGTGCACCCTTACTATTTATTTATAATGCTCCTTAATAGTTGTGTAAATTCCAGTTACTGAGTACTACAAATAAATCTCCTACTCAGCCTGGAGATGTATGCACCCCTTAAAATATATTATTTTTGGCTGGGTGCGATGGCTTATGCCAGAAATCCCAGCACTTTTGGAGGCCAAGACTCCTGTAGTCCCAGCTACTATGGAGGCTGATGCAGGAGAATCGCTTGAACCAAGGGGGCGGAGGTTGCAGTGAGCCAAGTTCGCACGACTGCACTCCAGCATGGTGACAGAGCAAGACTCCATCTCAAAAAAACATATATATTTTTACAGAAACAACTAACCTTACTGATCTGCAAATTAGCACATTTTCTTTAATATTTCAGATTATTGATGTTATAGGGCAAACAAGAAACCTTACATCTTGCAAAAGTCAGTCACTTGCAGGGATAAACAGGAAGAGAAAATGGCCTTATCTGGGGCAATGGCCAGCAAATGTCACATAAGCTAATGCAAGATTAAATTAGACATATTTATTACATTGTTTAAAATTGAGTATAATAAATAAGTTATTGTTTAAATTCTCAGAGAACATACAACTGAGAGATTCCTATTGCTATTGAAAACTTTTCTCCCAGGATTGAGGACACATTACAAAAAGCTCTTCCCTGTAGCTCCCAAGATGGTTCTGTGCTGGAAAGAAAAACAGCAACTGCAGCTGAAATGCATCCAGACCCACCTCCACTGTCACCACTACATTGCTAAAGAATTAACATGCAGGGGCAAAGCCACTAACACCTTTGTGTTACTGGTACTGGAGGAACTCATAGAAACTGGGATAGAAGAAAGAAAAGCTCCAAAGCCCTGTTCATTCTCTCAGGAATAACAGCCTCATCTCCCACCTCCTCTCTCTTTCTTCAGGAATAAAAGCCTCATCCTGCTGGGAAGGGCAGAAAAGAGGAAGCTGAAGACATCAGTGGGAAGACATAGTATAGTGGCTGCTGGAAGAAGATCTGGGAAAAAACAAGGAGACCCTCTACCCAGGAATGGGAGGAAGATGCATGGATCAGCATCACACCTGCAGGAGGGCAGGGATACTTGGAAGGACACAACCTGAGCCAGGACTGTGATGTCTGCCTGCAGTATGGCTCCCTCAGAAGGACAGAGAGTGCCCGTTCAGTGCGACCCTTCCCACCACATTGACAATTGTCCGGTCCATGTGGCTTTAGAATGACCTGGGGGATTTGAAAGACAGAGTCTCTCTGGATAGCACAAGACTAAAGCCCAAAGCCAAGCAGGAAACAAAATTAAGGTGTTACTGGAGGAATCTGGGTGTCTGGTGGCTACAGAGGAAATGTACTTCAATTCTGGCAGCCACTGCAATAAGGACTTTCAAATGTAGTCCTGAGTAGTTTCACACAATTTTCTACAATAAAGGCCTAGAAAAGATATGGTGTTATCATCTACAAAAAATGCAAAAAATCATAAAACAAATAATTAGCTGATATAATAAATCTGATAGAAGTATCTGCAGAACATAAATATCAAAATAACTTGCATAAATACATTAAAACATTTACACTTGATCCCATTGTTAGTCTATGCCTAACTTCATAAGAAATTGCCAATATGTGGTATACCCAATACTATTATAACTAATACTATATTGATTTTATGCTTGTAACAAAGAGCACAGAGTAGGTTCTGTAAGAACTATTAATGAAAAAGTCAACTTTGCAAAATATTTAGATTTATTCGAGCCAAATGTGAGGACCATGCCCTGTGACACAGCCCCAGAAGATCTTGAGAACGTGTGCCCAAAGTGGCTTGATTGCAGCTTAAATTTAATGTCTTAGAGAGAAAGACATCAGTCAATACATATGAGACATGTGTCGATTTGTTTCATAAAGATAAAAGAGCTACAAGTGAGGCAGTGTGGGGAGGGGATTACAGCTTACAGGTGAATTCAAAGATTTTCTGATTGAAAGACTTAACTTTTTATTTAAAGAGCTGAAATCAGTAGAAAAACGTTTCTGTGTTTGAAGGGGGCCAGCCCCTCCACAACTGTGGGTATTTCTCGTCAGGTGGGATGAGAGACTGAGAAAAGAAATAAGACACAGAGACAAAGTATAGAGAAAGAACAGTAGGCACAGGGGACCGGTGCTCAGCATACGGAGGACCCACACCGGCACCGGTCTCTGAGTTCCCTCAGTATTTATTGATTATTATTTTCACTATCTCAGCAAGGGGAATGTGGCAGAACAGGGTGATAGTGGGGAGAAGGGCAGCAAGAAAACGTGTGAGCAAAGGAATCTGTGTCACAAATAAGTTCAAGGGAAGGTACTATCGCTGGATGTGCACATAGGCCAGATTTATGCTTCTCTCCACCCTAACATCTCAGTGTAGTAAAGAGTAACAGAGGAGCATTGCTGCCAACATGTCTCACCTCCAGCCACAGGGTGGTTTTCTCCTATCTCAGAATAGAACAAATGTACAATTGGGTTTTATACCGAGACATTCCATTCCCAGGGACATGCAGGAGACAGAGGCCTTCCTCTTTTACTAATCCTCCTCAGCATAGACCCTTCACGGTTGTCAGGCTGGGGGACGGTCAGGTCTTTTCCATCCCACGAGGCCATATCTTAGGCTGTCTCAGTGGGGAGAAATGTTGGACAATACCCGGCTTCCCTGGGCAGAGGTCCCTGTGGCTTTCTGCACTGCATTGTTACCCTTGGTTAATCAAGAATGGAGAATGGTGATGACTTTTACCAAGCATACTGCCTGTAAACATATTGTTAACAAGGCACATCCTGCACAGCCCTAGATCCCTTAAACTTTGATTCCATACAACATATGTTTCTGTGAGCACAAGGTTGGGGCAAAAGTTACAGATTAACAGCATCTCAAGGCAAAACAATTCTTCAGGGTACAGATCAAAATGGAGTTTCTTACGTCTTCCTTTTCTACATAGAGTAACAGTCTGATCTCTCTTTTCCCTACATAGGTTAGGATAACGGGTTTTGGAGAACAAGATTCTTATTATGTAGATGAATTCTCTTATGTGGCCACCGTTAGAGGCAGTAGATAGCAAATGTTTTCTACTATGACATTTAAAAGATGCTAGACTCTCAGCTAATCTAACAACTAGACCTGGAAAGGGAAGGAGATTCGCTACAGAACGTAAATTTCTCTCTCAAAAGATAACTGTGCAGGGTGATTTTAAAATATGTCAAATAAATATATTTTAGGGTAAAAGTCTTTGATTCTTTTCAAGGTCTGCTCTCTGTCATGTGATCCTATTCTTGAGTCAGGTTAGAATTTGGTATCTTACTGCTGCAAAGAATCTGTTTTCTGAGTCTTAAGATCTGTTTTAATGAAAAATACTGGTTAGTTGTGCTTGAATTCCAAAGGGAGGAGGGTATAATGAGGCATTTCTGAACCTCTATTTCTCACATGAACTGCACTACGTTTTCAAGAGTCTCTGGAACTCCTTTTTGACAAGAAAGGGTACATTCAGGGAATGTGCAATTAGCTGGATTCCCCTGCATTGCTGTTTTTTAATACCTAATTTATATAGATACATGAGTTCAAAATCTTTATGGGGTATATATTTTGATAAAAGATTATTATATGCAGTGATTAAATCTGGATAACTGGTATATCTTTCATCTCCATCATTGATTATTTCTTTGTGTTAACAATTCTAAATCTTCTCTTCTAGCTGTTTTGTAATATACACTAAATTATTAACTGTACATGTCTATGTGCCATTTCAGCATTACCACCAGCAAAGAGTGAATGTTCCTGTTTTTCAACTTCCTCATCACCATTTGGTATTATCTATATTGTGTATTTTACCCATCCTCATAAGATAGTAGTATTTTTTGAATATTAAACATGCATATACCTAATGAAAATGAAGTTGATCTCTTTATATTTATTTTTAGATGCGATTTCTATTCAGATCTTTGCCCATTTTAAAATTAATTTGTGTGGTTTTGTTGTTGTTCAATTGTAAGGTAATTTGTACATTTGTGATAAAAGTCATTTTCCAAATATTTGATTTGCAAGCAAATTCTCCAAATCTAAGACTTATGTTTTCACTTTCATGTAAGGGTTTATTTTCAAAGGCCTAAGCTTGCTAGAGTAAGCCATGGCCGTAGGATTATGGAACACATTTCTCTCCACATCTTACAATGACATCGCTAAAGGCCTCTTTACAGCAGTTTCTTTTACCTGGTACATAATTTCTGGCTAAAAAAATCACGAGACATACTAAAAGAAAAATATCACAGTGTAATGAGACAGAACAAGCATTAGAATGAGACTCAGCTACGTCATGTAAGTTGGAATTACCAAACAAGGAATTTAAGACCCCGCTATAACTCATATGCTAAGGGCTGTGATGAGTTAAGCAGAGGGCATCCAGGAACAGTTGTGTTATGCAAGTCGAAATATGCAAACTCTTAAAAAGCAAAAAAATGTAGATATCAAGAATATTGTAACAGAATTAAGCAATGCTTTCAATGGACTTATATGTAGACGCAGCATGGCTGAGGAAAAAAATCTGAAATTAAAAATATCTCAGTAGCAATGTCCCAAACTGAAAATGGAGAAATATTTTTTTTAAAAAGTAAACACACAAATACACACACAAACATACAAGTACACAAATACACACCCATAAGAAACCAGAACAGCTTATCCAAGAATTGTGAGACAATTATAAGGGTATAACATGGGAAAGAGAAGGAACAGAGAAAGGTTAAGAAGAAATATTTAAAGCAATGATGACTGACAATTTTTCCAAATTAATGTCAATCACCAAACTACAGACTCGGGATTATGATCATTTCATCTACAGAGATGGTTTGACATCCTCTCTTCCGGTTCTGATGCTTTTCTTTCTCTTGCCTGCACGCTCTGGCTGGGACCTCCATGACTATGATGAACAGGAGTGGTTAGAGTGGGAATGCTTTTCTTGTTCCAGTTTTCAGGGAAAACTGCTTCCAGCTTTTGCCCATTCAGTATGATTTTGGCTGTGGGTTCATGATAGATGGTTATTATTTTGAGGTATGTTTCTTCATGCCTAGTTGAGGGTTTTGGATATGAAACAATGTTAAATTTCATTGAATACCTTTTCTATGTCCATTGATAGCATGGTTTTGTTTTTAGTTCTGTTTATGAGACGAATCACACTTACTGATTTGCGTATATGAACCAACCTTGCATCCTAGGAACAAAGTCTACTTGATCATGGTGGATTAGCTTTTTGATGTGCTGCTGTGGTCAGTTTGCTAGTATTTCATTGAGCATTTTTGCATCATGAATATTGGCCCAAAGTTATCTTTTTTTTTAGTCTCTGCCAGGTTTTGTTATCAGAATAATGCTGGTCTCACAGAATAATTTAGGGAGGAGTCCCTTATCCTAATTTTTGGGGAATAGTTTCACTAGGATTGGTAGCAACTCTTCTTTATACATCCGAATAAATTCAGCTGTGAATCTTTCTGGTCCATGGCTTTTTCTGGTTGGTACCACCTATCCATCTTGATTTGTGACCCCTGCCTGAGCCAGTAATAATCACATTAAATTCAGACAAAGCTGAATCCAATCCAATGTTTTTATAGTTCTTAACAGCTTTACTGGCTCACTTAACTTCAGTGAACATTTCCTCACCCAAAACAGTTTCACTACCAATAATATTTAAGGATTTCCACTGGATTTGTTTTTCATGTCATCCAGTGATGCAACTACTTAAAACAATGTTGACTTCTCTACATGCACAATAATCATCCTACTATTGTTGAATGGGCCAGCAACCCTCTACTCCTGCTTCTTCCATCTGCACAGCTGCCTGCAAGACCTCCCTGGAACTCAGGTCTCTATTGTAGGGCAAACTTTGAGAAATGTCACATCTACTCAGTGCTACAAATAGAAAAAGCTAATGGAAGCTCCTCTGCCCACTGACATGTTAGGCCTGTAATGTATCCCAGAGCCTCCCTTTATCCCCACACCTATCCCAGAGCCTCCATTTATGTCACTGCCAATGAATTTTGTGTTATTTTAAAATATAATTTTAATAGACAATAATTGTAACTATTCATGAGGTACATAGTGATGTTTTGATACATATAATGCATAGGGGTCAGATTAGGGTAATTAGCACATCCATCATCTCAAACCATTTCTTTTTGTTAGGAACACTCAGTATCCTTCTTCTAACTATTTAAAACTACATATTATTGTTAACCGTATCCATCCTACAGTGGTAAAGATCATTATAATCTATTCCTCCTCCCTAGCTCTAATTTTGTATTATTTAACAAATCTCTGCCTATCTCGTCCTTTACCCTACCCTTCCCAGCGTCTGGTATCCTCTGTTCTATTCTTTACTTCTAGGAGACCATTTTTTTTTAAGTATCCACCTATGAGTGAGAAAACAAGGTGTATTACTTTCTGTCCCTGGCTTAGTTCATTTAACATAATGTCCTCCAGTTCCATCCTCATTGCCACAAACAACATGATTTCATTTCTTATGGCTGATGAGTACTTCGTCATGTATATGCACCACATCATCTTTAACCATTATTCTCTTGTGTTCAACACCTGTGTTGATTCCATATCTTGGCTATTGTGAAAGGTCCTGCCACATACACTGGGGTGCAGAATTCTCTGATACAATGATTTTCATTCCTTTGGATAAATTTGCAGTAGTGGAATTGCTGGATCATACGGTAGTTCTATTTGTAGTTTTTTGAGGTACCTCCACACTGCTCTCCATAGTGACTGTACTAGTTTACATTCTCCTCAACAATGCATAAGAGTTTTCTTTTCTCTGTATCCTTACGAGCATTGGTTAGTGTTTTGTTTGTGTGTGTGTGTGTGTGTGTGTGTGTGTGTGTGTTTAATATGAGCCATGTTAACTGAGGTGAGATGATACCTTCTACCATCCTGCAGGTTGTTTACTCACCATGTTGATTATTTCTTTTTCTGTGCAGAAGATTTTTACTTAAGTCCTGTTTGTCTGTGTTTTCATTGCATTTGCTTTTGAAATCTTAGTCATGTTTTATTTGCCTAGGCCAATGTCCAGAGAACTTTTTTTTTGCATTTTCTTCAAGTATTTTTGTAGATTCAGTTTATATTTTTAAGTGTTGAATCCATATTCACTTAATTTTTGTCTATTGTGAGATAGAAGTCTGGTTTTATTCTTCTTTGTGTGGCTGCCCAATTTTCCAAGCACCACTTATTGAATAAAGGGTTGTTTCTCCAGTGTATATTTTTTGTCAGTTTTGTCAAATAACAGGTGGTCGTAGATATTTGGCTTTATTTCTGGGCTGTCTGTTGTGTTACATCAATTTTTATTTTTTGTCACTACGATGATGTCATTCTTATTATATCTGTGTAGTATAATTTGAAGTCCGGCAATGTGGTGCTTCCAGCTTTGTTACTTTTCCTTAGGGTTGCTTTTGATGTTCAAGCTCTTTTTTGATTCCATATAAATTTTATGGTTTTTTAAAATATGTAATCAATTATATTGGTTACTTAATAGAAATTGCATTGAATCTGTATATTGCTTTGGACAGTGTACTAGTCTATTTGGCTTATTTGGCTGATAGTTCTGCAGGCTAAGTGAGAAGCATGGCATCAGCATCTGCATCATGTGATGGCCTCAGAAAGCTTACAGTCATGGTGGAAGGCAAAGGGGAAACAGGCTGTGTTACATGGTGAGAGGGAGGACATGAAAGGGGAGGATGGTTGCTAGATTATTTTGAAAATCAGATCTCACAGTAGATAATACAGAAATAATTCACTAATTACCATGGGGTGGATACCAAGCCATTCCTGAAGGATCTTTCCCCATGTCTCAAAACCTCCCAGTCGGCCCCACCGCAAATGCTGTGAATCACATTTCACCTTGAGATTTAGCAGGGACCATCATCTAAACTATACCATTTTACTCTTGTGTCCTGATCTCATGTCCTTCTTAGATTGCAAAGTCATCTTTTTTTTAATAGTTTTTTTAATAGTGACCAAACTCTTCACTTGGTCAACCTCCGACTGAAAATACCAAAGTCTCCTCTGAGTCTTAAGGCAATTTCTCTGCAGCTATGAGCTTGCAAAATGTTTTAAACAGGCTGGGCGTGGCAGCTC
Source organism: Homo sapiens (assembly GCF_000001405.40). Classification (NCBI taxonomy): domain Eukaryota; kingdom Metazoa; phylum Chordata; class Mammalia; order Primates; family Hominidae; genus Homo; species Homo sapiens. The sequence goes on from NC_000014.9 coordinate 106,453,390, forward strand.
ACGCCTGTAATCCCAGCACTTTGGGAGGCCGAGGCGGGTGGATCACGAAGTCAGGAGATCAAGACCATCCTGGCTAATACAGTGAAACCCTGTCTCTACTAAAAATACAAAAATTAGTCGGGCGTGGTGATGAGCGCCTGTAATCCCAGCTACTCGGGAGGCTGAGGCAGTGAAGCCAGGAGACAGGGGTTGCGGTGAGCCGAGATCGCGCCACTGCACACCAGCCTGGGCGACAGAGCAAGACTCCGTCTCAAAAAAAAAAAAAAAAAGTTTTAAACAGTTGTTTACTTCCAAGGTGCAATAGTGCCACAGGAATTGGGTAAATATTGTCAATACAAAAGGAATAAATTGGCCAAAGGAACTGCCAACAGGCTCTAGACACACCTAAAGCCTAGTAAGGCAGATATTAAATCTTAAAGCTACAAAATAGTCTCTCTTGACTTTATGTACTTCCACCAGGGCACACTAGGACAAAGGGGGTCCCAAAAACCTCAGGAATATCATCCCTGTAGCTGGGCACAGCCCATGGTGCTGCTTTCACAGGTTAGAGTCAAGTGCCAGAAGGTTTTCCAGGCTGAGAGGACAAGCTGCCTTTGACTCTACCATTCTGGGATCTTGAGGGTTGTGGCCACATTCCCACAGCTTTACTATGAAGTGCCCTAGTGGGGACTCTGAATGGGGGTTCCGACCCCATCTTTCCCCATCTTTGGTATTGTCCTAATAGACACTGTCTGTGGTGGCTCCACTCCTGCAGCAGGCTTCTTCCTTGGCATATAGGGTTCTCCATGCACATCTTCTGAAATCTAGGTAGAAGCTGCCCAACCTCCTTCACTCTTGCATTCTGCATATCTGCCAGAATCCATTTATTGAATAGAGTTTTTTCCCCATTGCTTGTTTTGTCAGCCTTATCAAATATCAGATGGTTGCAAGCATGCAGCTTTATTTCTGCTTTCTCTTTTGTTCCACTTTTTCTGCATGTCTGCCCTTTTACCAGTACCAAGCTGTTTTTGTTACCATGACTTTATGGTGTAGTTTAAATTCAGTACCATGATGCCTCTGGCATTGTTCTTTTTGCTTAGGATTGCTGTGGCTATTCAGGGTCTTTTTTTTATTCCATATAAATTTTAGAATTTTTTTTCTATTTATCTGAAGAATGCTGGTGAGAGTTTTATGTAAATAGCATTGAATCTGTAAATTGCTTTGGGCAGTATGACAATTTTTACAATATCAATTCTTCCAATCCATGAGTATGAAATGTTTTCACATTTATTTCTGTCATTTGTGATTTCTTTCTGCTGTGTTTGGTAGTTCTCCTTATACAGTTTTCACCTTGTTTTTTACCTGTATTTTCAGGCACTTCATTTTTTGTGAGCATTGTAAGTGGGACAGGATCGTGTTCTTGATTTCACTCTCAGCTTGGATGTGGTTGGGATATAGAAATGCTGGAGACTTTTGTACATTGATTTTTGTATCCTGAGACTTTACCAAAGTTGTTTATCTCTCTTGAATTATTTTGTCAGAGTCTTTAGAATTTTATAGGTATAGAATTTTATCATCAGTTTGGACAGATACATTGCATTCTTTTCCCATTTGGATGCTGCATTAGTCCATTCTCACACTACAAAGAAACACACAGGAGTGAGTAATTTATAAAGATATTTAATTCTTTAATTTAATTTAATTCATGGTTCTGCAGGCTGTACAGGAAGCATGGCTGGGGAGGCCTGGGGAACCTGACAATCATGACAGAATGGGAAACATCATGTCTTACATGGCTGCAGCAGGAGGAAGAGATAAGGGAGAGGTACCACACACTTTGAAACCAGATCTCCTGAGAGCTCTGTCAGGAGAACAGCATGAGAGAGGAAAACACATCCCCATGATCTAATCATCCTTTACCAGACGCCACCTCCAACATTGGTGGTTACAATTCGACATGCTATTTGGGTGGGGACACAAATCCAAACCATATCAGCTGCCTTTTATTTTTGTTATTGCCTGGTTCCTCGGACTAGGATTTCTAATACTATGTTCAATAGGAGTGGTGAGACGGCATCCTTGTCTTTTTTCAATTCTCAAGGGGTTTGAACTTTTGCTTATTCAGTATGATGTTGACTGTGGTTTGTCATAGATAGCTCTTATAATTTCGAGGTATATTTTTCTGATGCCTAGTCTGTTGAGGGTTTTTATTATGAGTGGATGTTGGATGCTATTAAAAGCTTTCTCAGCATCTATTGAGATAATCTATGTTTTTCGCTTTTATTTTGCTTACATAGTGAATCAGTTACTGATTTTTGGATGTTGAATGAAACTTGCCTTCCAGGGGTAAAGCCTACTTGATCATGATGTATCACATTTTAAAGTGCTTCTGGATTCTATTTGCTAGTATTTTGCTCAGAACTTTTAGGTCTATGTTCACCAGGAATATTCATCTGATGTTTTCTTTTTTAATTATGTGTCTTCCTAATTTTGTATGCCAAGAACACACAGTGAAGAAAGGACAGTCTCCTCAATCAATGGTGTAGAAAATGGTCATGCATGTGCAAAAAAAAAATGAAATGAAACTAGACCTTCTCTAACACCATATACAAAAATCAACTAAAAATGAACATAACCTGAAACCATAAATCATAGACAACATGGAAAAATATTCGTCATTGATTCAGAAATTATTTGAATTTAATACCAAAAGCAAGCACAGTAAAAAAAACTATGTGCAATTATATATCTAACAAGAAGTTCCACCCAAATATATAAATTAACCATACAACTCAACAGCAAATATCAACTGACCTAATACAGAGGGCAAAAACCTGGTTAGATTTTTTTTCAGAAGACCCACAGATGAAAAACAGATCCTAAAAAGGTACTCAACATTCCTAATTATCAGGGGAATTCAAATAAAAAGCCCAATGAGATATCACCTCACACCACTTAAAATGGTTATTATCAGCAAGACAAAAGATAACAAATGTTGGCAAGAATGTGGTGAAGAGGGTATCCTTATATCGTATGGTAAGATTGGTTAGTCAATAAATTGAAAAATAAAGCTATCATATGACCTGGTGATCCCACTTCTTGTTATATCGTCAAAGGAAATAAAATTATGATGTCAAATACATGTTAATTGCAAGATTATTTATAATAGTGTAGATTTGTGAAAGAATTTAATGACCATAGATTGATGACTGTATAAAGAAAATGTATATATATAAACTGAATTTCATTTGGCTTTCAAAAAAAAAAAGGAAATTCTGACATTTGCAACAACACGGATGGAGCTAGAGGACATGGTGCTAAGTGGAATAAGCCAGATGCCGAAAGACAAATGCTTCACGATGTCATCTGCATGTAGGATCTAAAATATCCAAGTTCTTGATAGCAGCGAGTAGAGTACTGGGTCCCACGACCTGGGAGGAGAGGGAAATTGGGTGATATCGGTCAAAGGGCACAGAGTTTCAGTTGTGCAAGCTGAATCATTTCTGGAGATCTAATGCACAGCAATGTTCCTGTATTTAATACTATATTGTAAAAGTGATTTTTGCTAAGAGTAGGTCTTAGGTGTTGTTATCAGACACACATACACACACAAGCTCTACATTTAAAAAAAATTAAACGGTAGCTCTGTGAGAAGATGGATATGCAAATTACCTTGACTATGATGAGCATTTTACAATGTATATCTGATATGCTTTGGATCTGTGTCCTACCCCAAATCTCACGTCGTATTATAATCCTCAATTGTGGAAGTGTGACCTGGTTGGAGGTGACTGGGTCATGGCGTGGGTCCTTCATGAATGGTTTAGAACTGACTCCTGGTGCTGTTTTCATGACAATGCATGAGTTGAGTTCTCACAAGTCAATTAAACATCTTACATCTTTTTTTTTTTCCAAATTACTCAGTCTCAAGCTTTTTTTTTTTTTTTTTTTTTTTTTGACAGAGTTTCGCTCTGTCGCCCAGGCTGGAGTGGAGTGCAGTGGTGCAATCTCAGCTCACTGCAAGCTCCACCTCCCAGGTTCACGCCATTCTCCTGCCTCAGCCTCCGGAGTACTGGGACTACAGGCACCTGCCACCACGCCCAGCTAACTTTTTGTATTTTTAGTAGAGACGGGGTTTCACCGTGTTAGCCAGGATGGTCTCGATCTCCTGACCTCATGATCCGCCCACCTCAGCCTCAGGCATTTCTTTATAGCAGTGTTAGAATGGACTAATACAATATCAAAACATCAATTGGTGCACCTTAAACATATATATTATAAAAATATTTCAATTATGCCTCAATACCACTGAAAAAAATTAAACTTACTCTTAGAATAAAGAAATACATACTTCATATTTTCTCAATAAAAATAGAACATCAGAAAACTTACACTAAGCTATTTGTAACAGCTCTGCATATAATATTCATAAACTGGACACAAATTTAAAGTCCACTGACATAAAAATAAATGAAAATATTGTCATTTATTTACTTAATGGACTGACTCAGATATAAAATATCTCTGCTTCCTCTCTTTCTCTCTCTCTCTTTCCATGTACATGAAAATTTTGGTGGTTCATATCACAGTCTGTCTATGAATTGAATAAACGACAATATGTTGATCTAATTTTATACATTAGCTAGCATGAATTAACCTCAAAAATAGAAAAGTAGCCCCTTACCAAAAAAAGTCTATAATGTTTGATTCCATTTATATAAAGTTCAAAGCAGAATAAAATACATCTATAGTGTCAGAAATCGAAACCTTTCCCCATGCAGGATTTGACCACAGGCATAGAAAAAGACGCATGTTTTGGGGAGAGACTTGCTCTTCAGGCTACCTTAGGTGCTGGGGACAAAGGTATTCACATTTGCCAGAAACTCTCTAGTGACACATTTCAGATCTATGCATTTTTTCTTATGTGTGAATTTTATCTCATAAAAACAAAAAAAGTAGAAAAGTTTGAAATTCAGTAAATAGTAAAATTAATATTAAAATCCTATCTAAAATATGAACATTATTATATGAATTAATAAAAGGCATTCCAGTATACCTACTAAAATTAAATCCCAGATATCAAAAAGATAATGCTAGCATCTGAAACTTAAATAATTATAAGCATACATTTTATAGAGAAGGAAAAAATACTCAAGACATGGGGAACATGTATTTTTTCCAATCAAATGTCACTAAATTATGTATACAATATTGTAACCTGTGTCATTAGTATAAATTACTAATATTTTGAGTAATATTACAACTGAGAACAACTTTAAAACGAAAAAGGATATTTGAGAGCACATGAACTGAATTGAATGTATTTTCAACTGTGGTCCAACTATTACACTGCTAATAATACCCTGGTTTTGAGTGGGGCTTTAGAAAAAAATTTTTTTGAGACGGAATTTCACTTTTGTTGCCCAGGCTGGAGTGCAATGGCACGATCTCCACTCACTGCAACCTCTGCCTCCCGGTATCAAGTGATTCTCCTGCCTCAGCCTCCCGAGTAGCTGAGATTAAAGGCATGCACCACTCCCGGCTATTTTTTTTTTCATATTTTTAGTAAAGAAGAGGTTTCTCCATGTTGGTCAGGCTGGTCTCGAACTCCCGACCCCAGGTGATCCGCCTGCTTCAGCCTCCCAAATTGCTGGGATTACAGGTGTGAGCCGCACAAACGTTTATAAAAAACCTACTTTGCACCAGGCATTGTGCTAGGCACCCTCACTGTGTGCTGTTCCCGCACCACAATCATCCGCTCAGAAATTAAAACCAAGAAAAGGAACATTGTCGCAACCATACAAACTGGGGGGCAGAGGGCAATATCGTGGATGCAGGTGATCCCCAGGCCAGAAAATGTACCCACCAGAAACCTGTTTGCCATCTCGATAAGTCTCCACTAAACAGTTGTTTTAAAGCCTCTCGTTATTGACGGAGAGGAATGTTGTTCTCCCTGTGCCCCCTGGGCCTGGCGCCTGATGGACATTCAAATACCCTGAATGCTATTCGATAAAAGGAGCCCGATGACCTGGTGTAAAGAATATCAATATTTGGATTAGAAAGTGCTTTTTTTCAGTTCATATGGTTTCAACAGCCCTTATGAAAAATATAAACATCCCTGGCCTGACTGTGTAAATGTTGAAGGTAGACCTAGTTCTGGATTCCTGAGTCAAAATCTTCCAGTTGTCCACAACCTCACAAGGCCAGAGAAGCGAGAGGAAATTTTTCTTTTTCTTTTTTTTTTTTTTTTGAGATGGAGTCTCGCTCTGTTGCCCAGGCTGGAGGACAGTGGTGCGATCTCGGCTCACAGCAAACTCTCTCTCCTGGTTCAAGCGATTCCCCTGCACCAGCCTCCCAAGTAGGTGGGACTACAGGTGCTTGCCACCAAGCCTGGCTAATTTTTTGTATTTTAGTACAGACAGGGAGGGTTTCACCATGTTGGCCAAGATGCTCTCGGTCTCCTGACCTCGTGATCCTCCCGCGCTTCGACCTCCCAAAGTGCTGGGATTACAGGCGTGAGACACTGTGCCTGGACAAGAGATTTCTATTCTGGGAAGGGGTGAGTGGACGGCACAGTTGGTTTGGAAATACAAGAAACTGCGCCTGCATTTACAGAAGCAACGCACACAGGGAACGTCCTAGCGCCATCTGGTCTCGCACACACGCTTGGGACTCACAGGAGGGGCCTGGGCCTCGGCCAGCCCTAGTTATTGGTGCACAGTATGCAAGGCCTGGGCGGAAGTCAGGCAGGTTGTGGATCTTCCGGTCCAGCACCTCCGGGAAACTCTTCACCTCCACCCCCAGGTGGCGCTGTCTGGATTTGCTCTCCTCAGTGTCTCTCTTCAGGGAACGCACTTTGTCTTCCAGGTTTTGATCCTCTCTCTGCCGCCTCCATCTTCTCAGAGACACAGTTGCACTCACCTGAGCTGAGGAGTAGTTTTACTTTGCTTTTGGGGACTTCCACTCTTTCTCGTTTTCTCGGAGCTCCGCCTCCAGCTCCTCGATCTTCCTCTTCAGCTGCGTGTTCTTCTCCTCTCTGTGGATCTCACGGCCTCTTCCTCTGCTCCACGCTGGCCACCGACTCCTGCAGCGCCGTGGGCAGCCGGGCGTCGCTCTCCCGCCGGATCTGCAGCTCCATCTCCCACCTCTTCCCGTGGGCAGCTCTCTGCGTCGAGGCCGCCTTCAGCTTGTGGTTCCCAGACTGCAGGTGCGTGTCAGCTGCAGCGGCCTGAGAGGCCTTTCATCGTCCGTCCCGTTGACACTGGATGCCGGAGTAGAAGATGGGGCTCCATGCCCGGATTCTCGGGATTATTACTCGAGGGCTCCATGTTCTCCTGGGTCTTGTCTTTGGCTGTCTTGGCCGCTTCCTCCACCTCCTGGAATTTCTCTGCAAACTTTGTCAGCTGCTGCTCAGAGGAAAACCCCAAACCAAACACCGTGTTGGCTCTGCTGTCGGCCCACTGCCCAGACGTCTGTGACACATTGGTGAAGGTCATATTCGGTGTGATTGTGCTGTTTATGGTCACCTTGGCTCCGTCCACACTGACGATCCCATAGATGTTCCTTGTGACATCATAGAAGTAAGAAACGGTGACCGCCTGTTGCTCGCAGGCATCCAGTGCTTTTTGGTGTTGGGGTCAATCTGGAAGACCTGTGCTCCGGTGGTGAAGATGGGCTGTTCTTCCATCCCCGGCACTGCTCCGGCGGCCACTCCGACCCGGCCTCTCACGCTCACTGTCCGCCCGCTTGGCGTCTGCTACCGGCGCGGCACGTGCGGAGGCCCCTGCGCGCCTGGCTCAGCCCAGGCGCCGCTCCATTCCACCAGGCGCGGGCAGGCAGGGGCTCTCGAAAAATCATTCTAAGAGATAAATTAAAAGAGTAATCTGTAATAAGGGGAATAATCTGTAATAAGCATTCCAACTCAGAAAAAAACTGAATATATGTAATACATATAAACTCCTGAGAAGAAAGGTCGAAGCACAAGAAGGGTCTCATGTGTAGCAGGTTGTAATATGTTTATTGTTAAAATTATTACCTTCATTTTTTTTTTTTAAAAAAAGCAAAGCATAATGAAATTAAGTTTTTGTGCTTATCTGGTACAACAGCCTGTTGAGAAAAATGAAGAGCCCTGTAATCCTGAGGAGGGGGCTTAATCCAAAGAGAGATGCTCCAGGTCCTGTGCACATGAAAGATTTGCCTGCTTCTGCCCATCCAGGAGCTTACTTCCTGAAGCCTTTGAAGCCTTCAGGAGGCAGGAGGCTGAATGAGTTTCTCAGGACAATCTAATCATATCCTGACAGGGAGAAAAAAATCATGACCTAGGACGGATTAAAAAATGTATAATTAAAATTTCATTGAAAATTGAGAAATTTTGACTATGTATTTATAGAGTGCAAAGCTATGTTATGATTTATGAATGCAATATGGAATAACTGAATCTAGCTAATTGACATATATATCAACTCAAATCCTCAAATCCTTATTGTGTGTGTTTGTGTGACAGGGACATTTGAAATTTGTTCTTGGCCATTTTAAAATGACCAATACACTATATTTAAGCTTACAAATAGATACCAATTTATGTAAACTATAGAGAATCATTGCAATGAATAATGGATTACTATAATTTATATTTAGTTAATCATTAAGTTTCATTCATTAGGACATATTTTATAATGATTTTATTATATTAAATATAAAAGACTAGACATGTATGCATAAGTTTGTGTATTTACACATATGTCTACAGATGTAAATTAATGTCGCCATAGCTATGTAGTTGAAGATATCAACAGATGTTAATACAACCTAGGAGAATAAGTGCATATTATTAGGAAGAATTATTTTTGAAGGATTTTTTTTATTCTTTAAGTTTTAGGGTACAGAGAAATGCAAATCAAAACCACAATGAGATACCATCTCACACCAGTTAGAATGGCAATCATTAAAAGGTCAGGAAACAACAGGTGCTGGAGAGGATGTGGAGAAATAGGGAACACTTTTACACTGTTGGTGGGACTATAAACTAGTTCAACCATTGTGGAAGTCAGTGTGGCGATTCCACAGGGATCTTGAACTAGAAATAACCATTTGACCCAGCAATCCCATTACTGGGTATATACCCAAAGGATTATAAATCATGCTGCTATAAAGACACATGCACACATATGTTTATTGTGGCACTATTCACAATAGCAAAAACTTGGAACCAACCCAAATGTCCAACAATGATAGACTGGACTAAGAAAATGTGGCACATATACACCATGGAATACTATGCAGCCATAAAAAATGATAAGTTCATGTCCTTTGTAGGGACATGGATGAAGCTGGAAACCATCATTCTCAGCAAACTATTGCAATCACAAAAAACTAAACACCGCATGCTCTCACTCATAGGTGGGAATTGAACAATGAGAACACATGGACACAGGAAGGGGAACACACACCGGGGCCTGTTGTGAGGTGGGGGGAGGGGGGAGGGATAGCATTAGGAGATATACCTAATGTTAAGTGACGAGTTAATGGGTGCAGCACACCAACATGGCACATGTATACATATGTAACAAACCTGCACGTTGTGCACATGTACCCTAAAACTTAATTTTTAAAAATACCCCTACATATAAATTTAAAAATTACTAAAACACAAATCCCAATTTTAAAAAATCATGATAAATAACCATAGTAAAATATCAAAACCTCATAAGACTCCATATTCCTGCAAAAACAAACCCGCCTCCTGCAGCTGAGAAAGGAAACCTCCCCCTGCACCCGCCCCTGGGACCTGTCCCATCCTCAGTGGGTCCCGAGCGCCCCCAGTTGGCCCTGCGCGCCCCTGCAGGGAGATTTGTGTATGGGCCTACGTTAACCTCCCCCTCACTGTCTCTAGTACAGTAATAGATGGCCGTGTACTCGGTTTTCAGGGTATTCACTTGCAGATACAGTGTGTTCTTTGAATCATCTCTTGAGATGGTGAACCTGCCTTTCACAGATGCAGCGCATTCTGTCGTGTAACTGTTACGTTTGGTTCTAATACGGCCAACCCACTCCAGCCCTTTCCCAGAAGCCTGGCGGATCCAGTGCATTCAGAAGTCACTGAAGGTGAATCTAGAAGCTGCAAATGAGAGTCTCGGGGACCCACCCAGGCTGTACCAAGCCTCCCCCAGACTCCACCAGCTGCGCCTCACGCTGGACGCCTGCAAACACAGAGACACCCTGGTCAGAAACGGCCACACATATCTACTGTTTCTCTCACTCATGTCCACTCGCACTCAACATCTCTCATTCTCCATAAATCACCTTCAAACTCCGAAACAACATTATACTGAATAGGAATATGTTGAAAGTATTCCTCCTAAGACTCAGAACACGTCAAGGATGCCCACTTTCACCACTCTTAATCAATATGGAACTTGAAATCCTAGCCAGAGAAATTAGGCAAGAGAAAGAAATAAAGGCACTCAAATTGGAAAAGAGGAAGTCAAACTCTTTGTGTTTGCTGATAATATGATTTTGTACTTAAAAAAACTAATATTCTTTCAAAATACTCCTAGAATTGATGAGTTAATTCAGTAAAGTTTTAGAATAAATGAAAAAAGCATACAAAAACCAGTAGCATTATTATACACAAGTAACAATCAAGTAACAATCTAGCAGAAAGCCATAGATGAGTGGAACAGAATAGACATTTCATAAATAAAGTCAAATGCCTGCAGCCAAACTGACTGTGAAAAACTAGACAAGAAGCATACACTGGGAACAGGTCACCTTGTTATATAAATTGTGCAGGAAAAACTGAACAGCCATTTGCAGCAGAATAAAACTGGACCCGTATCTCTCACTATATCCAAAATTAAGCCAATATGGATAAAAGACTTAACTGGGAGACCTGAGAGTCTGAAAGTTGCAGATGCTATTCTAGGAAATATTGTTCTGGAGATTGTCCTAGGCAAAGAATTCATGACTACAACCTTAAAAGTAAACAATAAAAACCGAAATAGACCATTTGGACTTAATACAAATAAGAAGCAAAGCATCTGAACAGCAAAACAAATAATCAAAAAACTTAACCGAAAGCGTACAGAATGGGATAAACTATTTTTAAACTCTGTATCTGACAAAGAGCTAATATTTACAAACTACAAGAAACAAAAGCAACACAAAAACCCACAAATAACCACATTAAAAATGAGCAAATTACTACAATGTTTATTTTTCAAAAGACAAAAAAATCATCAACCAGCATATGAAAAAATAATCAATGACATTAATCATCAGAAAAATGCAATTTAAAGACACAGTGAGATACCATCTTATACCAGTCAGAAAAGCTACTATTAAAACAGTCAAAAAGAAAAATGGAACAAAACAAAAAACAGATGCTAGTAAGGATGCAGAGAAGCAGGAGTGCTTATACACTGCTAGTGGAAATGTAAATTACTATAAGCTCTATGGAAAACAGTATGGAGATTTTGCAAATAATTAATATTGGAACTAATATTTCATTCAGCAGTCCCACTACTGGGTATCTACCCAAGGGAAGATAAATTATTATATCAGATAGATGCCTGCATTTATATGTTTATTGCTGCTCTATTCACAATAGCAAATACATGGTACCAAACTAAGTTTCTATTAGTAAATGATTAGATAAAGGAAACAGTCGTATATGTTCATACATATACATATATGTACACACACATCCCCACACATACACACACTATACATGTGTATGTACATATACACATTTAATTACTACTCAATAATAGACAAGGAATGAAATTATGTATTTTCCAGTAGCATGGATGAAACTGTAGGCCACTATCTTAAGTTAAAGAACTCAGAAGAATAAAGTTGAATACCACATGTCATATATAAGTGAGAGCTAAATAATATGTACACATGGATACAGAGTGTGGAATAAGAAATATTGGAGACTTGGAAGGTTGGGAGGGTGGGAGTGGCATGTGGGATGAGAAGTTACTTAATGGGTACAATATACACCATCCAGATGATGGCTATACTCAAAGCCCAGATTTTATCCCTCAACAATATATCCATGTAACAAAACGGCACTTTCACCCCATAAATTTATACAAATAAAAGGATAAGTGATACATATCCCAATTATCACAAACCCACTCCAGAATGTCTTATACATACACACACAGCATTACCACTACTTTATTGTAGTGTTCCATTTTTTTCACTTAAAAGAGAAAGGCAATCTCCATTGTCAGGGTAAATACACTTTGGAGAAGCTGTTATCCAGTAGGCCAGGGCAGTGCAGCTCTCCCATCAGCAACCACAAAGCTTTGTGTTTGGGTCATGTACATTCATCTACTATTGTTCTGTAGTAGTCTCTGGGCACAACATTGGCCCACACATTCTCCTCCATTCTAAGGGACTCAAAACAGAATCCACTTTTACACTAGTCATTCTCCAAATCCAGATTAACAAAAATTAGTAAAGAAGCAAAAGATAAAACTCAAAAAGAGAGAACCCATCTCACTATCCTCCCATATTTCAGTCGTTTCATGCCTTACCCTCCCTATTTCACCACCTGAGCCCCCTTCTGGGTGGGTAGAGTTTGTGAAGCTTTTATCTTTTATCACAGTGTAATTGCTAACTCTAGTGGTCATGAGCCCATCAGCCCTAAATGAAAATGGTCAAAATCTGAGGTTGGTGCAGTATCCCTCTCCCTGCCAACTCTCTCCTGGATTTTCACTTAGTTCTCACAGATGGAAATTGCATATGTAGGCTATTTCTAATCATTTCACATTTCATTATGTATTGATTGAGCCAGCTCCTTGGGAGTTGGATTTATAATTTCTAAATCCCATTTACCTCCAGAAACCGATTTCAGCTCAGCTGCTGTAATAGACTGTAGTATTCTGTCACTCCCCAGGTATCAAATTTTGCCATTCCATACCTGAACACTTACGTTTTCCATGCAATGCTTCAGCCATGTATCATCATTGAGTCAGGGTCTCTCTAGGAAATCCTTCTTCTAACACAACTGTGTTGAGAGTTCTCATCTGCCACCTGTAGGCTGAAAAATCAGTAAAAACATAGGACTCATAACTGTTCTATTCACAGGAACAGTTTATTACAGAAAAATGATACAATTTAAAATAAGTAAAGACAAAAGGCACAAGGAGTGAAGCCCTGGAGAATCCAGGCACAAGCTCTCAGGTGTCCTCTCACAGTGGAGCCTTCTACACATGTGTAATTGTTCAGCTGTGAGGTAAGATGGCTTGTGTGAAGTGTTGACAACAAGGGGAGTGCCGCTGAGCTCTCTTGTCCAGGGCTGTGTTTGGGGAATGAATCATAGACTATGGAACACCTGGGGAACTGACCACAATACTCAGACGACAGCCCTCTCCAGCAAAACAAAAGTAGACATTCACTATAAATCACTGATTAAACTTGTACCGCATGTCCCAAGGCTACAGACATCCACAGACACTGTTATCAGGTGCAATATTTTATGGACTCGGAGATCTCATCACAGTAGGTAACAGCAATAAATGAACAAAAGTTTTTTTTTTTTTTTAGTTATTTTTTAGGAATGTGCAGGGTTTGAACAATTCATACCTGCTGAGTTAACCCAGTGCTATACACAAGTCCAGATGGGATGGATTGTGGATGGCCAGGCTGAGAAGAGAGGATAGAGATGGCCAAGTTAGGACCCCAGGGAGGAGCCTGAGGGAGGGAAATCGAGAACCTCTGGAGGGGCCCATGAGTGTGCCTGATCTGTGAGTTAAACCAAAGCTGTGATATTTCCAAGGAGCCCAAGAAAATGGTGCTACAGTGAAGGGTGTGGGGAAGTGGCCGTAAAGAGGCAGTGCATGGGTGCAGGAGCGGAAGGGAGCTAAAGGGGTTAAGAACCAGGAAGCAGAGCAAGGGATCTGGGCATTCCTTAAAGAAGTAGGTTCAGAAATAAGCTGTCAAATGCCTCTAGCCTGGGCTTCCATCCATATGTCAAAGATAAATTCTAGGCATGTTTCCCATCTGACAAATACCACAGTGTGAGGAAGGAGATGGCGGCGTTGCTAGGAGAGAACACTCTGGACGTGGCAGCAGCCCATCCTTGTCCACACATGGCCCTGCCTGTCCTTTATCATCACAGCTTGGAGGTTCTCATCCTTGTCCTGTGGTGGAAAAAAACCACCCTGTTCTTGGAATCCTAAGGAGATCTCCAGACACACGTGGGTGGTAAAGTCTACCCTAAATCTGGCATTTCCAAACAAGTCTTCTATCTACTTTTCATCAATGTGTTCATGAAGCTTCAGGTTAAGTGAAATATGTCAGTCACTAAATAGTAAAAACAAATCGCCAATTTACCAATGTTGGGATGACTCCTGGCTTTCAGAAGCAAAGAATTGGACAGAGAAGCAAAACTGTTTGTGCTCAGGACTTCTGGACACCACACATGGAAATTGAAATTCACACATACACACACAGTAAAATGGATAATCGCACTTATCTTATTTTTCGAGGTTCCTTGAGCAATTTAGGAAGCACTAAAGGTAGATTTATTAAAGAAAAAATATCAAGTAAAGACACTTGTTCCAGCACAGTAAGGAAGACTTTATCCAGGGTCCTCATGGTAGGTGTCGGGATCAGGGCAATGGTGTTTTGCAGTGAGGAGAGAGATTCAGCTGAACTCCAAATGCAGAATGGAAACATGGGGATTTAAAGCCAAGCAGCAGGGTGGGGTCCGGAAGATGGAAAATTACTGAGAGGAAACATCAGGGGCACAGCAAATCTTGCTTAAACCAACCTGCCAGAATTCTTGATGTTGGGCCAGGGTGATTAGACGTCACCGAGGTATGGTGAAGGGCAAGGAAACTGATCAGATACCCAGGAAAATCAGACATGGAGGATGGGGAACTCTGGCTAAACCAACACACCAGAATTCCAGGTAAAACTGAATTTCACATGAAGTGCAGAGAGAAGGGCTGATGAGAAGTTTTAGGAGCCTCCTAACTTCTGTTGAAGCAAATGAGCTTCATCAGTTTGGGACCCATAAATGGTAGCACTTTCTGCTAACCAAACTCACAACTAAGTGAAATGAGAAAAATTTGTCACAAAAATGTACATTCAACCATTTCCTGAATTTCTGGAGATTCTGAGTGGCAGAATGAGCTGAGGTGTGATAGATCAATGGGTGTCCTAATTCTGAACCCACAATTAGTTTTAAGGAGTGTTCACTGACAAAAGAACAGCTCAAGGTTCCCACATGTACAAACACCTGACTCCATGAATCTGCAGCTGGGGGTCTCTGCAGGCTCTGAGGTTCAGAGGACAGATCCCACCTCAGATTCAGCCTCAGGTAATTATTTGCTCTTTCTGTGGGGAGGAGAGCAACAGTGTAGAAGGAGGGTCAGCTGTACTCTATTTAGGAGCTCTGTACATGGAGGAAAACAATGAAAGTAGGGATCACACATCCTCAACACACGTCACAATTCCACATGAGAAAGGCAATTCTGTGCCAGGACATTCTGCAGAATTAAGGAATAAAGCAATTGGGGCAAATGTAGGAATCACCATTGTTTACAGACTGCATGTTTGTTTCTATGTCATCCACAGAAATGAAGTAAAAGTGTATGTTCTGTATAGAACCCACAGTCTCTGGGCCCTGAGTCAGCACTTCCCTCCCTCCACCTGCAGGGAGCACAATGCACCTGACCCAGGCACCCAGGGCTGCTCTCTGTCTTCCATGCCATGGCTGGTGTTGGAGCCACGTCCTGTGCTCCACTCTCAGGAGACGAACAAGCTCTGCGCTGATCTGAGCAGAGCCACTGCTGGGAGTCACTGGGTCCCTGATGGGAACCTGTGACACGACTCTGATTCAGTGACCTTGCTGGACCTTCATAGAACAACACAGAAGTTTAGGAAAGTTCCACCCAGTCCTCCTCCCTTTCTCCTTCACTCAGGGACCGACTTCCCTCACATGCATTCAGCTACCCCAGACCCCTTCCACCACCTCTGCATTTCCTCTCAGAAGAGTGGACAGGGAAACTGTACACGAAGGAAACTGTACACGAAGCTAATCCAGTCACAGAGTTTGCTTCTCCGAAGACCAACACTAACACATATATTTTGGCAAAGCTGTTTATAATACCAGCCAGATTCTATTAATAAATATAAAATATGAACCAACCATGGAAATCATGTTTTATGTGTCTCCTTGGCTAGACCATAGTCTCAATTATTAAATCAGACACTATTCTAGGTGTTGCTCTGATGGTTTCATACAAGTGTTATTCAAGCCTGCTATCAAGTTTCTCGAGCTAGGAAGATAGTGCTAGTTAACCTTGGTGTGCCTGATTTAATTCTAGCAGACATTAATCTAGTTGTTGCTCTGATGGCTTCATACAGGTGTTATTCAAGCCTGCCATCAAGTTTCTCAAGCTAGGAAGATAGTGCTAGTTAACCTTGGTGTGTCTGATTTAATTCTAGCAGAACAAAAGACAACAAAATTTCCTGGTGGATGGCAGGTGCGCCTCTTTCCAAAAATTCCAGCCTGCCCTTCCTGATGGCCAGCCCTAGACATGCCTAGACAGAAGACACAATTGCTGTCACCAAGAAATCCCACACACTGGAGTGTCCACAATCAGCTCCCCCAAAGTCACAGGTGAGGAAGGTGACACAGGCAGTTTCAGCAGATCCAGATCACAGATCTAGACAGGGTTCCTGGGGAAACTGTTAGATGGAGAAATTGTGAAGACTCTGAAAGGAAACCAGCTCTTAACCTTCCTGAGCAACTTGTCCCAGAGTTAACCCTATGCTCAGTGTGTCTTGAGTGGCCTCTGCAGCCCAGGCCCCTCCTGTCTTCCTGCAGCAAGGTTTTTGTCTGGGCTCTCGCTGACTTCCCCTCACTGTGTATCTTTTGCACAGTAATACAAGGCGGTGTCCTCAGTTCTCAGACTGTTCATTTGCAGATACAGGGAGTTTTTGCTGTTGTCTCTGGAGATGGTGAATCGGCCCTTCACAGAGTCTGCATAGTATGTGCTACCACCATCCCAACTAATAAGAGAGACCCACTCCAGACCCTTCCCCGGAGCTTGACGGACCCAGTGCATGGTATAATCATCAAAGGTGAATCCAGAGGCTGCACAGGAGAGTCTCAGGGACCCCCCAGGCTGTACCACGACTCCCCCAGACTCCACCAGCTGCACTTCACACTGGACACCTGCAAACACAGAGACACCCTGGTCAGACACTGCCACACATATCCACTGTTTCTCTCACTCATGTTCACTCACACTCAACATCTCTATTTATCCATGAATCACCTTTTAAAATAGCAACAAGGAAAACCCAGCTCAGTCCAAACTCCATGGTGCGTTCTCTGTGTTCAGTGCTGATCACCGAATGGAAACACCTGGGAATCTCAGGGCTGGGGCTCCTCTCCCAGAGCTGCAGGGTCAGGGCTGGGCTGGTTTTCATCAGCAGAGGGAGGACCCTATTTGCATGTCTCCTACTATATAATGAGTTCTGTAACAGATGCCTCAGAGTGGGCTGTGTCCAAGAGTGGATGTGGGTGATTATACTTCATAAGTAATTAATTCTCACTAGCATTCATACTTTTACATGCACATGAAATATGTTCTTTGAGAGTCAATGTTTCCTTCATTTACAGATGTGAATGTAAACCCCCAAGTATGGAAGGACCATGTGACATAGACAAGAGCTCACATCTCATAAGAGCCAGTCTCAGTGTCCAGCCTGCATTTCTCACAATTGGATCCAACTGTTCCCAAAATTAACTCTAGGAAAGAGCTATAAATTCCCAGTGAGGTTTACAAAACACTCTTCTTATAATGATATCGTGATATTATTTGGCTGTATCTTGGTGTTTTTATAAGTAATAGAGAAAAACTAAGGGTTAATTCATTCAGGAGTTCATGACTTTTCTTGTATTATTTTTATTTCTCTCTTCATCTTTTTCTACCACATTAGACTTTTATTTATAATAGCTTTAATGAAGTAATACAGACATATAATCTTCACACAATATGTTCACCATTTGACAAACATTGACCTAATGACCATTCACAGAGAAAACAAATCAATTCGCCTCTCAATTTTCTCTTTGTCTCTCACAATTTCTCCCTCCTATACCTTCGCTTCTCTTACTATGGAGAAGTCAGTTAGTGATCTTTGTTATGTAATTTCCAATGAGTATTCACTTTGTACAGTTTATAAAACGGAATCATATGTATGTGCTTTGGCTCACTATACTCATCATATGTACTTGTGAATTGAACCATGCTGTTGATCGTATCCAACATTTACTGATTGTAGTAGTGGGTACTATCCCAATAAACGACTTTTCCACAATTTGTTTACTTATGAAGGTGCTGATTAATATTTGGATTGTTTTCAGTTTCTGTGTATTTCAAATAAAGCTGCTGCTCAGCTTAGAGGAGTACACAGCTGAGAAACATGTTCCTGATCTTACAACAACATGAACAACAGCTAAACTGGTCAAGTTGCAAATGAATCAATATTCTTTAATACATCAGGTAATTAATGTTATGGCACCCCGTGTGTTTGTCAGTGTGTGAGTGAGAAAGAAAGAAAGAGGAAGGAAAGGAGACTGAAAAAGAAAGTGATTCTACATAATTATTAATTTGTGAGGTCCTCAAATACAGGGACTTATTCCTAATGAACAGGGTCCACATAGGTTGAAGTGGTTAACTTGATGCACCCACAAGATGGCTATAGATTCATAACATAAATAATATTCTCTAAACACATGAACACCCATACACATTAGAATAGATGTGCTGGAGGGTGTTTAGTAGTGGAAATGAGAAGGTGACACTAAACTCCGTCTTCAGAGCCTTTCCCCGCCTGCTACACCTGCTCTGAGGCTGAACCTTGAGCCTGCCTGACCACTGAGCCCCACAATGGTCCTGAGCCTTCAGGCGGTGCCAAATGCCCCCTGGGTTTCCCTGCTGGTTCCTGGGTGCTGGCTTCTGTCCTCAGCACCCACTGCTGTTCTGTAAACTCCCACAGGAAGGTTTGTGTGTGGGCTCATACTGAAGTCTCTTCACTGTGTCTTTTGCTTAAAAATACTTGTTTGTGGCTGGGCACAGTGGCTTATACCTGTAATCCCAGCACTTTTGGAGGCCGAGTCGGGTGGATCAGAAGGTCAGGAGTTCAAGACCAGCCTGGCCAACATAGTGAAACCCTGTCTCTACTAAAAATACAAAAATTAGCCAGGTGTGGTGGTGAGTGCCTGCAGTCCAAGCTACTTGGAGGCTGAGGCTGGAGAATCACTTGAACCCAGGAGGTGGAGCTCGTAGTGAGCCAAGATTGATTGCCCCACTGCACTCCAGCCTGGGTGACACAAGACTCTATCAAAAACACACACACACACACCAAAACAAAACAAAAAAACAAACATGGCTGTGTGCTTGTTGCTAATGTCACTCAGCCATACGAAGAGCTGTTTTTGGACATAGATCTGGAGGTGGTGACTGGACTCTTGAGGAGTGGGTTAGAATTTGTGCTCCCTTCATGACCTGTGCACCTGACCCACTCCAGTCCCTTCCCTGGGGGCTGATGGATCCAGCTCCAGCAGGAAGCACTGGTTCTGTTGGGGAATCCAGAATTTAAACCTAAATGTTATTGTTGTTGAGTCACTAAACAAAATGTGGTGCTCATTTCTATTGTGTTGAGATACACATGACATAAAATTTACAATTTTAGCCACGATTAAGTGTACGGGTCAGTGATACTTTACACATTTGCAATGTTGTGCAAATATCACCAGTATTTGGTTTGGGAACATTTTCATCACAGAAAAGAAAACCTCAGCTCCATTAAGCGTCACTCTCCATTTCCCCTCCACTCACCCCCTGTGATCTGTCTCTAGGGATTTTCCTCCTCTGCATACTTCATGTCAATAGGACAATTCAGGATGTAGACTTCCGTGTCTCCCTCAGTTCACTCACCCAATGTTTACAAGGCCCATCCGAGTTGCAGCCTATGTCAGTGCTTCACTCCTTTTTAAAGCACCACAGCGTCTTCATCCCTGTGGGTTACAGACGCACCGCGGCGTCTTCATCCCTGTGGGTTACAGACGCACCGCGGCGTCTTCATCCCTCTGGCAGTCGATGGACACTTGAGTTGTATTCTCCATCTACTTCTGTGAGTGGTGACACTAGCTACATTTATGAGGTTTTCTGTGAAGACCATTTTCCAAAGTTGCTGTCCCATTTCAATACCAACATGCAAGCCATGACCATTCCAAATTCAGTATGTCTATACCTACAAGTGGTTATGTTTTTCTATTCATTTTTCTTTTTTGAATGCTGATTATCTTAGTGTGTGTAAGGTGGTAATTCATAGGGAACTTAATCACCAGCATAAACCAAATAACCCCATTAAAAATGGAGAAAGGACATGCACAGAAACTTCTCAAATACAAACATAGAAGTGGCCAACTAACCTATAAAAATGCTCAGCATATTCAGTCATCAGATAAGTGCGAATCAAAACCAAATGATATACTTTCTCACATATGTCAGAATTGCTATCACTGAAAGATCAGAAATTAACAGATGCAGGCAAGGCTATAGAGATAACGGACCACTTACACACTTTTGGTGAAAATATAATTTGGCCCAAGAACTGATGAAATCAATCTGGAGATTTCTCAAAGAATTTAAAACAGAGCTACCATTCCCCTCAGCAATCTCATTACTGGGTATATGTCCAAGAGAAAACCAATCATTGGAACAAAAAGACACATCAACTCACGTGTGTATCACTGTGCTATTCACAGTACCAAAGACATACAATAAAACTAAATGCCGATCAGTTACAGACTGAAAAAAGAAAACGTGGTACTTATACACAGTGGAATACCATGCAGCTGTAAAAATGAATGAAATCATGTTTTTGCAGCAACTTGGATTAAGCTGGAGGCCAAAATTCTAAGCAAACTGACAGAGACAGATGATAAGAGTCAATGGGAGATGAAATGGACAATTTGGGTGTTTCTTTGTGTAAAAATGAGAAAAGAAATCCCCTGGTTGCATGAACTCTAGAAATAGACAAGCCTGGAGATGCTGATGTCCTGACTTCCATTACATTAGGTTGTGCTTTTTCTCATTTTTAGTCAGTTAACCTTGCTTTCCTTCACTCTTGCCTAAAATAGCCACAGATAATAATCTAGAGACATTAGAATAAAAATAACATATTTGAACATTAGAACAAGTGTTAACTTTTAGATCAAAGTTAGCGTGAATTCAGTGTGACAGACAGGAGACATGGCTGAATACTAGCAGTGTGCTCACAGTAATACTATCTAAATTAGGAAAGTTTATTCACATCTTTTAGATTAGATTCCGATTGAAATCCTTGATCTAGTATCATCTCTGATGAATCATACATCAGTAACGAAACTGGAGGTTATGCACTCAATTCAGTAGTACATTCAGAATCTGTTCCTCTACCTGATGTCAAGTCAGCCCGCATGACAGAAGTTTTATTGTGGTCAACAGAGCTCATCAATAAGCCAAAGACAAGGATTAAGTACATGTTTTACAGGAGTGCCTGACTTTGGGATGCTCTTCACGCAAAGAAGTTTCTCATATCTTCTGGAACACGTAAAAATTCTCAACAAAAGAATAAATTTTAGATGCACGCCTATATTTTAGGGAACTGATTCATGTAACTTAGAAAGTAAAATCCTAAAGGAAAATGAAATGGTGTAACAACTAAAAGTATATATATTGTAGTGGGTCATTATACCAAACAGTCTTCTTTATAATATTATCTAAACACAGAAGGCATTAGAATTACTTATATAACTCAGCATCATTCCCATCCACAATCTTCTGAAAATGTTGAAGAAAATTGTCATACTTGAACTAAACTTGTCAAAACCTTAAGAAAATCTTGAACTTCCTTGGCCAAAGTTTCTCTCCCTAGCACTAGAGCATTATAGTCAAGTCCCTCAGTGAGACATCAGTCATCACCTTATGATTTGGTGGCTGGAAGGCCCATACATTTAGAGATTTTCCCCCAGAGCTCACCTCTTCCTATTACATGCACGCATGACAAAGCATTGAAAGTGATGACTGTATCTTACCCACTCCAGTCATCGACAGATTAAGCTATCATTTTCCTACATCTTTTCAATAGCCTCTAATGACATTAAAACAGGGAATGGTATTTACTGGAAGAAACATCAGGGTAGGATATTGCTCTTGAACGGCTTTGAAGGGAATCTTACCAGGTAATTTTAACCACAACACAGCAGTGAATATGCACAATGTCAATACTAGGGTTCATATTTATGAACTGTAAAACAAAAATAAAATCCTAAGTGCCCCAACTGACTAAATAGTCCATCTGTTCATCTAAGGGACTCCAGAAAAGCCTAAAAACTGAGATCCCAGCCATGACAAGATCAGACGCGCCTCTTACACTCACTCCCCTTTGCGGTTTAGACACAACAATGACCAACACTAATGTTAAAATAGAGATCAAAAGAATGACAGAACAGAATCTCTGTGGCAATAAGATGTCAAATTATAAACAAGACCTAAAGCCATGTCAGGCAAGGGTTCTGCCACTCACTCCCACACTTAAAAGGTAAACTGTCTTCTAACTGCCAATAGGTTATTCGTTTTCTCTAGCGGCTCAGTAAGCACCGGCACTGAGACAAGCACTATGAAGACAATTGCAGCCCATCCCCTGATGAACTGACCCCTGTTCCACAAGCCATAACCCCAGCTTTGATTGAACACTAGAGTGATATCAGGACCTTTCTCCTGATCAGAGACCACTCACCATGGCCTGGCTCTGGCCGTTTACAGAGGCTGCACCCTGAGTGCCTTTGTGTTTCTGCTTCTGCTATTGGCACATAGGGCCTGACTGTAATGAATTTAAATGCTAAGTCTCCACTGGTAAGTGAACAGGGGTCATACGTTACAGACATGTTTGTTCAGTATGCATGTGTGAGGACCACCTCCATGAACATCAGTAGCCCCTCCTGTAACCTGTTGATTATGTCTGTTTAGCCAAACCCTTCAGCATAAAGCTTCTGCCCAACCCCTTCTTCCTGGGAGTGCCTTTCTCTCGTCTTTACCAAAAGCTATGCTTTCCAGCATATGGGATGGCTGTAAACCTTGATAAAAATAAACTCTCACTTTCCTAAATTGTAGATTGTGTTTTTTTTTATTTAACACAACTGAAGATTAAATTCAGAAGTACATCTAATTATAAGGCTACTTTAGTGAAGAACGACAAACCGAGGATTTTCACATATACTGTAAGGGCCTGTGATATTTTGAAGCAGGAAGCTGACCTGAGACCTTCAGAATTAACTGATAACTGTGGATAATGAAAAGGCCCCACTCAGGACATTGATTCAGCACCCCTGCCTGTCTCATTCATTCTTCTCTTTCTTTTTATTATGTGCTTACAGTAATAAAATTTTTATTTTCTTTAGACCTGTTTGCTTTTCACACATAGTGGACTCTTCTCTCTCTTTTTCACTCATTTTCTTAAGCTGCTAGGGAGAATAAAGCGTCAGGTCCTATTTTTGGTGCCTCGTTGCTGACGAATTAAGGTTTATTCTTCCTCCTCCTTATCCCCTGCATGTGGTAAATCTAGTAAGAAATCACAGAAGCTCCCTTATCTGATGCCCCTGTGAGGTTTAAATCACACAATCTCCTTCTCCTGAGTAGAAACGCACCCCCAACCCCACCACCAAATCATTATAAAGCCCTGAGCCAGCCTCCTTTCCTGTCTACTGAGGAAATTCCAGTTTGAAATTTCTTGAGAGGCCTGTGCTGCTCTCAGCAGACACCTCAAAAATAGAGTTAATAAATGTTTTCATATTCACCTGGAGTGTGAGTGTGGAACCATCAGACTCGAAATCCACACTAACCATTGGTGGGGTCTCTCTTCCTTTGCCCAGTATCACCTACAATTGGAACTGTGGGCTTGGAGTCCTGACAATGACCACCACGGGGGCTTTCTTCTCTTGCACTGGATGCTAACTCCCTCTGCCCCAATGCCCAGCATGCACTTTATCCTGCCTGCTTGCTCACTGGCCCTTGGAGTTCTGTTGAGCTGGGCTGCCATGCTGAGTTAAACACCGCACCTTTTATAGATTTAGCTGATTAACTTCAGAAGCATTGACACCTTATTGACATTCAGAAACAGGAGTAAATGACTGTAGGTGACTCTGCCTTTGGTGCATATGAGAAAGTTTTTCTCTTGTTACGACAAATGTTTCTTCTTCAGACTTCACAGGAAAAAAAGGATAAGGAATCCAGAGATGTGCCACAAAGGAAACTGTTTTATGGAGAGGAAGCCACAGGGCTGACAGGAAACCAGACCTTAACACCCCTCTGCACCTGCCCTGGGGCTGGCTCTTGTGCTCAGTGGGTCCTGAGCGCCCCCAGGTGGTCCAGTGCCCACTTCAGGGAGGCTTGTTTCTAGGCTCACACTGACTTTTTTTCTAATTGTTTTCACAAAAATGGAGACAGAGTAAACGGTGAATCCATGCATCTCAGAGAACACAGAACAATAGCATAACACCCCTCGACACACACACACACATTTAGGTGAATCTTATTAAAACTGCTGAAAACCAAAGACAAATAGAAATACATGCAGACAAGTGGAGATGAGTTGAGGGGGCATTCCTTCTAAAAGAACAGGAAAGATGATGACAGCATTCTTCTGGTTAAAACCTTATAAGCAAGAGGAAAATTGATGGTGTCTGTAAAGTGTTGGAAGAAAAGCCAACCCATTATTTTGTAACCCATGGATGTTCGCTAAAAAGTGAAAAAAAAAAAAAAAAAAGACTCTACCAGCTGCACCTCATACTGCACACCTGCAAACACAGAGAAATCCTGGTCAGCAACTGCCACACATATCCACTGTTTCTCTAATATCCACTCACAAACAATATCTGTAGTTCTTCATGAATCACCTCTTAAAATAGTAACAAGGAAAGCCCAGCTCAGCCCAAACAACATGGTGAGTCCTCTGTGTTAAGTTCTGATCACCAAGTGAAAACACCTGGGAATCCTGGCACTTGAGCTCCTCTCCCAGAGCTGCAGGGTCAAGGCTGGGCTGGTTTTCATCAGCAGAGGGAGGGAACTATTTGCATGTCTCCTACTATATAGAAGTCTCTTGGGCAGGATGTCTGAGGACAGGGCAAGGCACAGAGCAGATGAAGTTTTCTAGTGGGTGGTGGGGCTTGAAGACAATGATAATATTTGGAAAAAATGTAATTTCTTAGTAAAAGATTGTGCTGTGGTAAACATTTAGCATACATTATCTTAACACACGAAAATACATTGTTAGAGGCAGATGCCCATTGGTCCTCCATTTACAGATGTGAATGTAAACCCAGAAGCATGAGGGAGCTATGAGATGTGTCCTGGAGCTCACATGTGACAAGAATGGGCTCCAGGATCGGGACCTGTGCTCCTCTCCACCGGATCCCACAGCTCCCTTAGCCAACTTTATCCCAGAGTTACGCATACCTGGTGTGGTTTGAAGAAACCCTTCTTGTAATAAAAACATTAAAAAAAACTGCTGCATTTTAGAATTACCAAAAAATAGAGATAGAGCTAAGGGTTATTCATTGTACATTCAGAAATATCTGACTTTTTATGTGATTTATCCATCTCCCTTACACCGTCCCTAAGAAATTTATACAGGTATTTATTTGTAATAGCTTGAATAATATAAAATTCTAATTAACACACAAAATGTACAATTTGGAAATTATTGATGTAACCATCACCATTATTAAGATAGAAAACAAATCAATTACCCTCAACATTTTCTCTTATTCTCTTGCAACGCCTTCCTCCCTCTTTTCTCTCACCTTTTCTCCATTCAACTCCCGACCTTCATGTCACTTCAGTTTCTATTCTGTAGAATGTATAAAAGTGTCATCATACAGGATGTAGTTTTTTTTTTTTGGCTTATTTTACTTATATGTACTCGTGAATTTAGTGCGTTTATGCGTGTATCAAACGTTCATTAATTGTAATGAACAACAGTATTCCAATGATTGATTTTTTTTTTTGTTTTTTTGAGACGAAGTCTCGCTCTGTCGCCCAGGCTGAGTGCAGTGGCGCAATCTCGGCGATTCTCCTGCCTCAGCCTCCTGAGTAGCTGGGATTACAGGCGCGCACAACCACGCCCGGCTAATTTTTGTATTTTTAGTAGAGACGGAGTTTCACTATGTTGGTCAGGCTGTTCTCAAACTCCTGACCTCATCATCCACCCGCCTCGGCCTCTCAAAGTGCTGGGATTACAGGCGTGAGCCACCGTGCCCGGCTGAATTTGTTAAATTCGGTGTTTAATCTGACATCCTTCTGGATTTGCTCACATTGGAACGTAAAAGAAAATAATTTCCAAGACTTACGTGTAGCCAAAACAAAACCAAAAATTTCCCGTCTCTAAGCTACACCTACCACTGGATTTTTAACTGAGGAAAGATGAGCCTGAGAGAAATCACAAAAGCAGCCAATTCAAGGAAAAGCCATTTATCGTTCTCAGCTGAACTTAAGACCACAGTTACCACGAAGGCAGCTTCTCCACCTCCGGAGCTCAAGCGATCCGCCCGCCTCGGCCTCCCAAAGTGCTGGGATTCCAGGCCTGAGCCCGGCGCCCGGTCAGCGAAGGCAACGTCTAAAAAAACTTCTCACCTCCTGTCACCATTTCAGTGACAAATTCCCGAGTTTTCAGAGGACATGCCGAATCCAGCACAAAACACTGACTCTGAGGAGCTCCCGACGCCGCTGGCGCCTCAGCTGGCAGCAGCTGCTCCAAGTTCGAACCCGCGGGCGGTGGCGGAAGGGCCTTCTCGCGGGCGTCGGGCAGCAGCTGCAGCCCTGGGCTCGGCCGCGGCGGCTCCGCGTCCTTCCCGGAGGCGCCGGCGCGAGGTCCTCACACCCAGGCGGCTCAGTGGAGGCGCAGCAGCCCAAGGAGCGCGGCCCCCAGCGCCCGCGCCCATCCTGGAGAACTGCATCTGCGCAGGCCCAGAGCGTCCTCCTGGAGCAGGCGAGCCAGGATGGCGCCTCCTCGCTCCCAGCAGGCGCCCCCACGCGGCCCGTGCGGAGCCCAGCGACCAGAGCCGCGCGAGCCTGTGGGGAGCCTGTGGGGAGCCTGTGGAGGCCTGGGCTCCACCGCCTTCCCCACAGCCAGCAGCAGCTTGTGCCGCCCGCCTTCCCCTGGCCAGGTCTTCCTGCAGCTGGCGCCGGAGGCTGCGGAGGGAGGGCCCAAGGGTTCTTTTCAGAAGACTGGCTTTTTATGAATTTTAACACAATATGTACAAGCTGCGTTCGTTTAATAACGCTGCTTCCGTCATACACTGGCAACTTAACACCTGAAAAGATTAGATGTTATAAATAGGACTTGTTCATCCTTTATACACAGGATATCCATAGATAAATAAAACAAACACACAGACAGAAGAGATGATCATTAATCTCTCCTCCCGGTGCGCACAGAGGCCTGGAAGTCTGCACTTTCTCCTCCTCTCTCCTCCCCTGAACCAGAGCACAAACGCAATGTGTGTTGATCAAGCAGGGATTTGGCCATCCTCCCCACCCCCCACCAACATCAAAATAAAATAAAACACTGCATATGAATTTTAACAAAAAGATATTTACAAAATTTATTATTTTACCACCTGTAATTTTAACATACATCAGGCACTTCAGAACATCTAGAAAGACTAGATATTTCAAAAGAATACTTAGAATTTCCAATGATGTATACAATAGCGAGGAATAAAACGCACACAAGAAAACAATGACAATGATATGAAAATGTCTTCTAAATATGAGCAGCCTGGCATGGAACCCTCTTCCCTTCCTGCCCAGGTCTCCCCTCCATGTCCTCTCACCCACTGAACGAACGTGGACGTGTGGTTACTGTGTCCCTTCCAGGGGTGGTCTAATAACACCATTTCAAAATGTCATTTCCAGAAGACACCCCTTTGCTATGATTTTTTTAAAAAGCACATGGTAACTTACGGCCAGGCACGGTGGCTCACACCTGTAATCCCAGCACTTTGAGAGGCCAAGGTGGGTGGCTCACCTGAGGTCAGGAGTTCAAGACCAGCCTGGCCAACGTGGCAAAACCCCATCTCTACTAAAAACTACAAAAATTAGCCAGGCGTGGTGGTGCACACTTGTAATCCAAGCTACTCGGGAGGCTGAGGCAGCACAATTGTTGAAACTCAGGAAGCAGAGGTTGCAGTGAGCCAAGATCCTGCCACTGCACTCCAGCCTGGGCGACAGAGTGAGACTCCGTCTCAAAAACAAAAAACAAAAAAACGAAAAAAAACGGAAAACAAAAGACAAGCACATGGTAACTTACAAGACATGTAATTTTCTGACTCTGTCATACATTTGGGAACCTCCTTATATCTAGGCGGATTAGATGCAGCAAATGTTTTCTTTTAAAAGGTCAGGGAAAGGTCGAGCGGAGCTTTTTCATGTGTTACGCACAGGCCTTCTAGAAAGGGCTGGTAAAGTGTGGTGGGCATGTCCAGTGGGACAAACTTGGAAGGTTCTTCTCTGTTTCTCCCCATCCATGTCAAGGTCTTGTAGAAGAACGATCACCATCCGGTGGCCGCTACCCGTTCCCCACATCGTCTTCCAGGACTCTACTAACATTTCTTGCCCTAAGGCCTTTGAACCTTGCCAGGACTGGCAGGGTCCCTTCCAACATGGACAGGAGTCATCCCAGGATTCGGAGCTTCGGGGCTGCATGGCCTGAAGAGAAAGCGGATCTAAGTCCTAGACCCCGCTTCCTGGCGACCCCACGCGTCCCCGGAACTCCCACGTCCCAGCTGCCCCCTCGCATCCCTGGACCGCCCACAACCCGCCAGCCCCCGCGCGTCCCGGACCACCTGCATCTCAGCTGCCCCCGCGCCTCTCCAGACCGCCCACGTCCCAGCTGCCCCCTGGCATCTCCGATCGCCGACGTCCCGCCATCCCCCGCGCGTCCCCGGACCGCCCACGTCCCATCAGCCCCGCGCCTCCCGGACCGCCCACTTCCCGACAGCCCCCGCGCATCTCTGTGGCAGCTGCTCCGTGCTTCCCGCCCCGCCGCGCCCGCCCACCCAACGGCGCTGTGTCCCGCCGGTAGCTCAGCGGGGACTTCCTTTATGTGGTACAGGGTTGGGCCTGGAGACCCGGATGCCGGCGAGGTCCTGGCTGGGAGAGGCCGCCGCTGCCTTCAGGTTTCCGAGGTGGGTAGAGAGGTTCCCGCTGCTTTGAGGTCAAGGCTCCTCGGTGGCAGCCACAGCAAAGGCTCCAGTGTCCGCCGCAGGGCAGAGGCCGGGCCTGTCTGGGGACCCCCGACTCATCTGAGGCTCAGGGCGGAGGGTCCAGTGAACTGACCTTGCCCCGCTTCTCACCACGCGCCCAGTGTCACTGTATTCAGCCACCACTGCACAAAGGCGGCACAGCTCTGTGCCCTGAGAAGCCCCTCATTCCCTCAGTGACTCCACAGGGAACACCGGGTGGGCCCCTGGATTCACAGCCCTGTAGCACGCTGCCCAAGGGGCCCCCTTGCTCTCCCACCACCCAGAACACCGAGCCCGTTGTCAAGGCTGAACCATCCGCGGGCAGCTGGGACCAGGGAACATGGTGAGGGGCTCACGGCACCTGGCGTGCAGATCCCAGTAGCTGGATGCGGTTCTGCTAATCACTAACAGGCTTGCAGGCTTCCCCAGGAATCCACCCATAAACTTCACAGAACACCGTGTCTGTGAACCACCCAGTATGTGCATTCAGTTTCTAACCTCACTCTGGTCCGGAATCTGCCACCTGCAGGATCCAATTAACAAGAGAGAGATCTGGTACAAAGATTATTGTATTAACCATAATGGTAAAGGGGAAGTGACCGCATTCCCATCCCAAGCAACCACTTGAATTTTGAAGGAAAGGCAGGGGTTTAAAAAAGGAAAAGTTGGTAAGAAAGGCATGCAAGATTTGGGCTGAGAACCAGGTCTGTGCGTCTTGTTCTGGCGGCTCTCTGGCATCCCAGTCCACCTAGATCTTGGGCTGGCATCATCTGGGCAATGCCTGGGTTGTTAACTAGCAACATTGAAGTCACCTCTGGAATTCTGCATCAGGGTCTCCCGACTTTGTCTATCTGTCTCAAATTAGCTTCCGGAACTTCCAAAAAGGCACATAGTTCGATGCAAACATAAAGTTAGATTAATGTGAAGGGAATATTTATGGTGAAAGGGAGAAAGGTGGAGTCTATTTCAAGGCGTAAGAAAATTGATTCTGCTGTTTGCCTCAAGATTATATCTTTACACCCAAGAGAGACAGAAAAGTTTAACCTCTCTTCTGCCACCATGTATGACTGCCTTGCTTCCCCTTTTTCTTCTGCCATGATTATAAGTTTCCTGAGGCGTCCCAAGCCATGCAGAACTGTTTGGTGTGGAGATTACTGAAGAAGGGTTTTACTTACTACTTGACAGAATTCCCCTTGGTGAAGAGGAAATGTCAGAGATCTTTAATTCATGACGATGTTGGATTATTGGCAGTTGGCTCACTAAGGATCCCATGTCCAAGAGCAGGATTCTCCTTCCAAAGTGTGGGTGTGGACTTGAGGAGCAGCCTTTGAAAGATGGGGCCCCTAGAATTTATAGAACTTCCTTTGATTCCTTGGAGGTTTGCAGTCTCCAGGTTGTCTGTCATCCAGGACTTTGACTGTTTGTGTGAAAGAGTGCTTCCTTTTGGGTGAAGAATTCTGTATGAATATCCTAGGGCTGCCAAAATGAAATACTACAAACTGGGTGGCTTAAAAATGACAGGACTGTATTCTCTCACAGTTCTAGAGACTAGAAGTCCAAAATCAAGTGTGAGCTGGGCTGCACTCCCTCTGAGACTCAGGAGAATTCTTCCTTGCCCTTTCCTCACTTGTGGAGGTGACTGGTAATCCCGGACATGCATTGGTTTACTGCTGCACCACTCTGATCTTTGCCTCTGCTGTCATATGGCACACTGTATGTCTCTGTCTCTGTGTCCAAATTTCCTTGTACTTAGAAAGACACCCATCTTCCCACATTGAGGGCCTGCCCTGCTCAAGTAAGACCTCATCTTCACTAATAACATCTCCAGCTACCATATTTCCAAATAAGGACGTGTTCTGAAGTGCTGGTTGTCAGGACTTTGACATATCATTTGGGTACACAGTTTAATACATGACGAACCCCGTTACAGAGCTACCATGTCTAGTGTCTTACACATTTTGTTTGGAGGGGGAGGGTAAAAATAACAATGGACTCCTGTGTGTTCTCTGACGATAGCAATACCAATAGCTACCATGTAATGCCTATTAGTTGTTAGGTACTAAATATTAACTAATTTCATTCTTACAACAACCCTACTTTACATATGAGAAAACTGGGGTACAGGAAGTAACTGGCCCATTGTCCTCCAGTTAGCAGTGGCAGAGACGGTATACAAAGCCAGACTTCCCAGCTCCAGAGGCCGCATACTTAATACCACCCTGCCTTCTGGACAGTCAGGACAAGCAATTATGCCTGTGGTAAACATA
Organism: Homo sapiens; assembly: GCF_000001405.40. Lineage (NCBI taxonomy): Eukaryota > Metazoa > Chordata > Mammalia > Primates > Hominidae > Homo > Homo sapiens. The sequence continues at coordinate 106,484,962 of NC_000014.9, forward strand.
CTGTGCTGACAAGTAAGGTTACACTTGAAATGTGGCTTACAATGCAAGGTATAGAGATTACAGGCAATTCATGTGTTCTGGTTATTTGTTGCTATTAAGTCTGAATTAAAATGTAAGTGTGAAATTTCAGGTTTCAGGGAGTATAAAAAATAATATTAAAACCTCAAATACTAAGTTTAAAATGCATTTTGAAATTAAGCTGCCTGTATATCATTCCCCACTGTCAAATTCCATTTCGTTTCTATGGAAAACATGTGTCATAGTCATTCTGGCTACTTCTTTAGAAAGGGCATAGGTTGTATGTATTGGAAGGGAATCCATTAAACTGGAGTTGGAAATATTCTGGAGTCTCCGGAATTACAGTAGGTGTTTGTTGGAGCATTATGGTGCAAGGACCTAGGAGTTTTTGAGAAGGTCAGTATTACATTCTCACTTAAAGTGCAAGATAGCAATAAAATCCATAGCAATTGAAGATAGCAATGAACAGAATACCAGCTCTACTATATATGAAACTCTTCCATGTGTTAGGAAGTCAACTAAACCATGCTGTCATGGGGTTCTGAGAGAGGGCATCCATCTCTAGCAGAAATATGGGTATCTAATGCTTGCATAGCTTGAGTTATATTGTGGGACTAATCTTGTATATATATGCAACATTCAGTGTTCATTAATACACAAGTGTTACCTTTGGCTGTAGTTGCAATACCTAGGGTCATATAGCTTCATAGTGTCACTTGTCAAATCTGTGAGGTTTCTTCAGTAAGAATGATGATGGCATGGTAGGTGTTGTTAAAGGGACTGGTGGTTTGCTTAGCCAGGGCCTCTACTTGCAATTCTAAATCTATGACTGCCACCTGGGGGGAAGAGCTGGCTAGTGGGCAGAACAACTAGGATGTCTGTTTATGTCAGTAGTGTCTGTCTTTCACACTTTTCCAGTTGACATAAAGAGAATGCACTTTGGACAGTTACATCCTGGGATATAAGGTCATATCCAGTTGCTTCTTTTAGTCCAGTTGTAAGGAAAGTAGGGCCAGCCATGAGTGCCACAGGCTGTAGCTAACCCCAGAGGGAAGAACAGATTCCACTCTGCAGGCTGGCATTGCCTTGTCATCCCAGCCACATATTAAGGGCTCAGTTACATTGCTAAGGAGGCAACAATTCCATATCATGAGTGACAGTGTAGAGTATGCTGTGGTGTTTCTTCACACATAGCAGTGCTTGACCAATTACTTGGATTCGCACCACTGTCAGCCATCCTACCTCACTGGATATGGCATAGCCTATAGTGGGAGTGATATTAATGAAGTGTCTTCTGTTTTTATAATAGATGGAAAAGATGGCTTCTCCAATGGATGGAAAATCATAAATTCTTACGTTGGGAGCTTGTATTATGCCAGGGCAGGCCTATAGTGGAAGAAATGGGCAAACTCTTTACAGAACCAACTATGTTTTCTTTTGCAGGGAAGCCACCATCTTCCACCCATTCAGCAAAAAAGATTAGTTTTAATAAGGAGAAATAATGTACTTATAACTATAGAACTCATTAAGAATTTTATATTAACAGAAGGGTATTACCTATCTGTCTTCTTGTCTCCTCTTTATCAGCAACTTCAGGTTTTCCTTAGGCTTATGTGACCAGGTAGTCTGTTATCTGGGGTCAAATTGAGGTGGGACAGGTTTTTTCCAACAGCGATGCACCCATGGCTTTACATTGGATAACTTAACTGAACAAAGGTTAATCAGTAGCACATCATGGGGTCTGTTCCACCTTTCAGTCAGCTGCTGATCTTGTTTTTGACTTTTACAAGACTGTAGTGGCATCTTGTCTCTTGGATGGAAGGGGTGAAGAGGCTCACTGTGGAATAAACAGGCCTGGAAATAGCAAGCTGATGTGCAGTTAGCAAGGTCTGCACCAATCTGCACATATGGTTTAACTCTGGGCTCTTTTACCAGCTCTAAAGGTGCTGTTACTGGCAAGAGGTCTGGAAGGGCCTCCTATATATAATTTCAAAGAGACTTTTCCCAAGCCCACTTCAGGGCACCGTTCTGCCCCAGAACAAGGCAATAAGAAAAAATCTATCCCAACGCAGGTCAATTTCCTGCCTGAGTTTGGCTATTGTCTTCTTCAAGGTGTTATCTTTTATTTCTTTACTGCTGACTGTGGTCTCCATGATGACTGTGGTTTCCATTCGATTTGCAGTGCTTGACTTACCTTTTGAGTAAACTCTGAAATAAAAGAAAGATCGTTGTCACTGTGTATAGTGCATGGGAGTCCAAACCTGGCAACGATTTCCTTGAATTATGCCTTAGCCAGTCATGTGGCTCTTTGGGACTTGGTGAGATATGCTTCTACCCATCTTGAAACAATATCTAGAACAATCAGGAGGAATTTATAGTTGCCACTGGCCACAGGCATGTGAGTGAATCCACTTGCCAATCTTCCAAGAGTCACAGTTCTCTGTGTTGTACCTCTTCGTTGCAAAGATTTTGTTCAGTCTCAAAGATATTTTTGGCACACAAAACACACTCGTATGTGACTTTCTGAACAGTTTTCTGACCATTCTGACACATGGTCATACAAAGTCTGCAAGGGAATCTCATTTGGAGTGTGTGCCCTCATGTAAATGTTTTAAAATTGTAGACCAGGGCCTCGGAGAGTAAGAATAATCCATAAGCATTAGTTTTTCAGAATAAATCTGGATCTGTTTTACCAAATCCCCAGTCGCAGGCATGCTTCTTGTCTATTTAGTATAATGGAGTTTGAACTATGGAAACTCCAGATGTGGAATCAAAGCTCATAGCAGGTGTGCATCCTGCACTGCTCACTTCTCAGCCTTTTCTGCAGTCTGATTTCCTTTAGGTGCCAATGAGTCATCTTTTGGGTGCTCAGGGCAATGCATAATGGAGGATGAGAAGGATGAGAACACACCTCTAGTAGTTTAACACCATTTCTATTGGGTGTTTAATGTCCTTATTTCCTGATGAGACAAGGCCTCTTTCTTTCCAGATGGCCCCATGAGCATGCACCACCATGAAGGTGTACTTAGTATAGGTGTCAATGTTTACTCAACTTGGTGAGGGTGATTAGCTCAGGTTTCGGACCAGAGGTACTGGCAGAAAGGGCACAGGCTTCTATTATCCAGTCAATAGTTATGATCGCACAACTGGCTCAGCATTTTTCCTCCTCCATGAAACAGCTCCCATCAGTTTAAATTTCCCAATCTGGAGCATTTATTGGCTGGGCTTCCAGGTCTGGGCTGCTGAAGTTGACTGCATCAAAAAATTTCAAACAGTCATGCACTAAATCAAAATCAAGTGCTGTAGCTGGGAGCAGAAATTTAAAATTACCTTTATTTTTCCTCTATTGCCTCCCCAACATGAATCCATCAGAAGATACATCATTCATTATTTCAAAATATATTCTACATTTATATATCCAAAGAAATGTTACTGTGGAAATATTTCATCAGATCTTCATCATGAGACTCTGTGAGGGCAGAGACTTGGCCTCACCTCCCATTAGCTCCACTCCCACACTGGAGAGCTTGCAGTCCTGAGCCTGCAGAAGCTGAGCTGCATGGCCAGCTTGGCTTGAGTGAAGGAGTGGATGTGTGTTCCCCTCCACATGGGGTATGTGAGCCTGAGGGTCTGGGAATTAATATATTCCTAAAAAAATACATCCTATCTTGTATATGGTGGGTTCAGGCTTTCTGTTTGTTGATCTCGATTCCCCTGAGTGATCCCCATCTTTCCAACTTTGTGGAAGACAAAAGTGAAATAACTATTGGGACAATTCTTCTCTACAGACAATGGAGACTCTGAGAACATCCAGAAATATCCACAGGACTGGCGAGGCTGTGGGCTTTCAACCACCACGAGAGGCTGTTTGCATATGATTCTTCTAAAATTGACATCAGTGAAATGCCTTGAAGATAATAAAGTGTTGAAGAAATAAACAAAATCAGAATATATGGGATCAGTTAGAAAGCTCTTATTTAAGGTGAGTTTATGAAATGAGGATGATTGCACTTGTAAATTCTTAGAATTCTTAGAGTGATTATGTAGATTACAGTTATTCCAGTACCTGGCCCTTGGTAAGTTTTGCTTTCACACTTATGATCTTTTTCCTCCAAAATGAAAGGTACATCTGTTTCCATAGTTTAAAAATATGTCTGTGTCTGCCTGGCTTGTCAGAGGTTTACAAGGCATGGAGATTAAAAGCCCTTCCCTGGGGAGGAGCCCTGACCCCCACCTCCTGTGCCTGACCCAGTTCAGTGGTTCCTAAGTACACCCTGGTGACCTGATCCTTCCCCTTGTGGTCCCAAGAACCCCTGCAGGGCAGGTTTGTGTCTGAGTTCACTCTGGATTCGAGTCACAGTGCCTTGAGCACAGTAATACACGCCTGCCTCCCCAGCCATCACACTTCTCAGCTGTAAGTTTTCTTGTTTTTTACTATGTGTTTCTGGAGATGCTAGCTCTGCCCTGAAGGTTGGGGCTTAGTGTTTCCCTTAACCCATATCACACCAACACACTGAAGACCTTTTGATGGGAGATGGTGGATCCAGGAAACAGAATGTTCAGAAATTGAATGTGCATAGGCGGCATAGGTGAGGCTGAGCATGACCAAGGGGACCACTACTTCTTCCTCCCATTGCACAAGGTGGTCCTCACTGTGAACCCCTGAGAATAGAGAACATCTGTGAGTCACAGACACATTTGCCTCATCCCGTGTCTCCCCACGTATGAAATCATGAGTAACTCACCACAGAGGGCAGCCAGCAGGCAGAGAAGGAGTAGCGGAGGGGCCATGTATCTATGGATGTGGAGAGTGCTACTAGAGACCCCAGCTCAGAGCCAGCACACAGCATAACACTCACAGCCCTGCCTCTATTCGTTCTTGAACCCGGGACTTATTTGCATGGACAGAGCCCCAAGGGCATAGGGTGAAGGGGTAATGTGAGGGGGAGCTCACTGCCCCTGAGCTCTCCTCAGACAGGGTCATAGAATGGGGTCTTGTCTTGTAGAACAGTGGGGAATCTCTGGGTTCCAGGAAAATGAAAACTTAAATGTATCTCAGGACTCTGGAGCTCCCTTTAGGAGTCTCTGTTTCTGTCTTCTTGCTAAATATTCTCAGCAAGATCAGCTGAAATTCGTCATTAGAAGAGGGAGTTCTTAGTATTCTTTGGCTGGAAAGAAGGCTCTTCTCCCATGACCAACTAAATAAGCAACCAATATAATCTAATATACATTATCAATGTCACATGAGTCAACATAGACTGCTTTCTTTATTTTTTTTCTTTTAAGCATATTGTTCAACATTTGTTCTATTTTAAAATCTTCAAGAGACGTTCATATGAAAATATAGCTTAAATATGGCCTCATTGGTGCAGATGATAAAGCATGGAAACTTTGCTTTTTCAGAAACATGGAGGATATGAGAGCAAGCAATGAAGTAATGTTACAAAATGACATATTTGAGTAGTTCATACTGGTGGAATTTTCCTGGCACTCTCATGAGTTGAAACATAATCATTAAAGACTCTGGCACTTGAAACCGTGATGACAGCTGCATTTCTTGCAGTCAAGGGAACTCGGAGTGTTTTAGCTTATGGGTTCTGTGGAAGCCAGGCCACTTGTCTTCCTCGCTTCAGCCCCCTTCGCACAGGAGGTGACGAATCTCTTCCCTCACTGGAGTTCCTGGAGCCAGAGTATACAAAGAAGCCACACACAAAGCTCCTAAAGAGAGCTCCACAGGCCTGAGACATATTAAATTGTCATCTTCCTGGGACCAAGAGATTCCCTCCATTATGAAAATGTTGTACAGCCTTATTATGCAACACACTCTGTTTTGCTCTGTGTGAGTTCCACTCCCACTGTCACAGCTCTGTCAGCAGACCCTGAGGCCTGGGCATCAATTTCAAATCTTCATGGAGAGCCAATGCTGTGGGAAGGGTGTCCTTTAGTCTGTGATATTCACGAGTGAGGGACAGAGCTGGACATTTTAGTGAATCTCAGAGCTGCAGGGAAAGTACTGTCTTCAGCTACTCTTCTCTGCCTAGACTTGGGACTATTCTATAATTTCCTCACTGGATTAATAATCGGTACCTGTTGAATCCTGTGTCCACTGTTCAATATAACCCGGTAGGGTGGAACAATCGGAAAATCATCTGCTTTATGCCTGCATCCTCTCCTGGCTAAGATTTCAATAGGTCCAGTTGTGCACATTAGGTAGAATTGTCATGTCTGAAGAAGGTAGTATCATTCTTGTTTTGTAGTTTATTCTGTAAGGGTTTCTAATTACAGCACTGCATAACCAATGACCATAATCAAGAAGGAGACATTCAGCATGAGACTCCACAGAAGGTGCTAGTCTCATAGAGAAGTAGACCTCCATTGAGAAGCTCAGATGTAGGGACGAGCCCCACAGGGTCGGTGGGTTTTTCTCCCTGTGTGTGGAGATGAGAGATTGTAGAAATAAAGACACAAGACAAAGAGATAAAAGACAGCTGGGCCCAGGGGACCACTACCACCAAGACATGGAGACCGGTAGTGGCCCCGAATGTCTGGCTGCACTGATATTTATTGGACACAAAGCAAAAGGGGCAGGGTAAAGAGTGTGAGTCATCTCCAATGAGATAGGTAAGGTCAAGTGGGTCACGTGTCCACTGGACAGGGGTCCTTTCCTGCCTGACAGCTGAGGCAGAGAGAGAGAGAGAGGGAGAGAGACAGACAGCTTACGCCATTATTTCTGCATATCAGAGACTTTTAGTACTGTCACTAATTTTGCTACTGTTATCTAAAAGGCAGAGCCAGGTATACAGGATGGAACATGATAGCAGACTAGGAGAGTGACCACTGAAGCACAGCATCAGAGGGAGATGATTAGGCCTCCAGATAACTCAGGTGGGCCTGACTGATGCCCTACACAAGAGGTGGAGGAGGAGAGTCTTCTCTAAACTCCCCTGGGGAAAGGGAGACTCCCTGTCCTGGTCTGCTAAGTAGCGGGTGTTTTTCCTTGACACTGACGCTACCGCTAGACCACGGTCTGCTTGGCAACGGGCATCTTCCCAGAAGCTGGTGTTACCGCTAGACCAAGGAGCCCTCTGGTGGCCATGTCCGGGCATAACAGAAGGCTCGCAGTCTTGTCTTCTGGTCACTTCTCACCATGTCCCTTCCACTCCTATCTCTGTATGGCTTGGTTTTTCCTAGGTTATGATTATAGAGCGAGGATTATTAATAACATTGGGATAAAGAGTAATTGCTATAAACTAATGATTAATGATATTCATATATAATCATATCTATGATCTATATCTAGTATAACTATTCTTATTTTATATATTTTATTATACTGGAACAGCTTGTGCCCTCGGTCTCTTACCTTGGCACCTAGGTGGCTTGCCACCCACACTCAGAGACCTTTCTCCCTGGGTAAAGTGTGCAGTCCACCAGGGTGCAGACATGCTCTAAATCCATAGACACCTGATGTGTCCTAGAAGTAAGGAGCATAGGTATGAGCAACCCTACCCCATCCTCTGTAGCTGACATCATTCCCAGTGATCACTTGACAAGTGTGTGGTGCTGCCCAGTTCATTGATGCTTCTCATGTAGGAGACTAGCAGGCCAGGGAAGAGCACCATCTTGGCAAAAACAGCTGAACCTGTCATTAGGTAAGGGATGTTTTTCCATAATAGAAGACATAAATTTAACTATCATTAAGTCCTCTAGGTTGTCATTTGAAACTGCCCAATATTGATAGCATATGGACAAATGAAAACCTCAATAAGTAATTAGCTGAGTGATGTTTAATGTATTGTAGTGTGACCTACTGATGCTGAGCTACACGGTAGTTGTGCTGAAATGAGTGTGGGTAGAGGTCCTCCTCCACATGGTGTAGGTGAGCCTGAGGGTCTGGCGACCAACATGTACCTGGAGAAGATGCCCATGGGCAGCAGAACTTGTTATAGTGGGTTTGCTGAAAGTGTCTATTTTGGTCCCCTCTATTATGTCCCCACAAAGCATGTTCTGGACTTCTGACCGTCAAGAGGGCAAAAAGCAGTGAAGGGCTGAGAGAATTCTTTCTGTCTCTTGAACCTGAACATACTGAGAAGCCTAGAGAGAGCTCGGAGCTCCTGGAGACGCTTATGGGATTTTACCACCCAGGAAGACTCTTTGCACATTATCTGTCTAGATAAACACTCATGCAACACTTTAGTAAAGATAAAATGATAGAAGAAATTGTCAAATAACTTCAATTCAGAATATTAAAGTTTATTTAGAAAGTCAGCAGCATGCAGTTTTATTATTGTAGTTTCATAGCATATTTGCAGTTCAGGTACTAGGAAACCTCCCCCCGCTTTGATGTTTGTATTCAAGGTTACTTTGGACATCTGGGGTCTTTTGTGATTCAATTTTATCATTTAAAAAGTAGTTTGTTGAAAATGTCATTTGTATAGAAATTGCTTTGGATCTGTAGATTGCTTTGGGTAGTATAGACATGTTAACAGTATTATTATCTTCAATCTGTGAATATGGAATAGTTTCCCATATATTTGCATATAGATTTATTTATTTCATCAATGTCATATAGTCTTCAATGCACAGATTTTCACTTATTTGACCAACATTTTTTCTAAGTGATTTTTAGAAATAGATATTGGTCTTGCTGTGTTGCCCAGGCTGGTCTCAAACTCCTAGCCTCAAGTGATTCTCCCCTACCTCCCAAAGTACAAGAATTACAGGTGTAAACTACTGTGCATGGCCACTAAGTAAGTTATTTAATATTGTAAATGCAACTGACATTGTCTTATGATTTTTAAATAGTTAATTTTTAGTTTTTAGTAACACTACTGAGTTTTCCATATAAATTTTGTATACTGCAATGTTACTAAATTTGTTTGTTAGTTTTCAGTGGCTGTTTTTTCAGAATTTTTTATTTTTTTGGAATTTATAAAGTTATATTGTCTGTAAACAGAAACAATTTAACTTATTCCCCTCAATTTGTATGCCTTTTACTATTTTTTTCTTTCTCAAATTTCTATGGTTAAAACTATCATCAATATGCTGATTAGAATTATTAAGACTGGGCATTCTTTTCTTATTCCTTATCTTAGAAGAAAAGCTTTCCATTGTTCTCAGCAGGAAGGTTTATGTCTGGACTCACATTGACTTCCTCTCACTGTTTGTCTTGCACAGTAATACAAACCATGTCCTCAGATGTCACAGAGCTCAGGTATAGTCAAAATTGTTTCTTGGATGAATCTCTGGAGAAGGAGAGTTGGCTCTGCAGAGATGGATCATCGTGTGTGTCACCCTTGCAATGTGTTCCTGACAGCCCATGGAAGCGGGCTAGTGGATTCAGCTCCAGCAGTAACTGTTGGTTGGGATGGACAACCCAGAAATGGGGCATGTGAGGAAGAGAAAATGAAAGTGGATAGCCTGTTACCGAAAACTGCTGGACTAAGACACTTGTAAGCCTGTCAATCTCAGTGGCCAACAGACATGAAAAAAATTTCCAACATCATTAATTATCAGAGAAATGCAAATAAAAACAACAATGAAATACCATCTCAGACCAGTCATAATAGCTAATATGAAAAAAGTTAAACAAAAAACAGCTGCTGGGTGGGAAGTGAAGAAAAGGGAACACATACATGGGTGGTGGAAATGTAAATTAGTTCAGCACTGTGCAAAGCAGTTTAGAGAATTCTCAAAGAACTTGAAACAGAGCTACTGTTTGACCCAGCAATCCCATCATTAGGTATATAGCCAAAGTAAAATAAATCATTCTACCAAAAAATGCACATGCACTCATGCCTCTTGCCACACTATTCACAACAGCAAAGATATGGAATCAATCTAGGTGCCAATCAATGATGTATTAGATGAATAAAATGGTATGTATGCAATATAAAATCATAAAATACCACACATTCATAAAAAAAAGTGTGGTGGCTCACACCTATAATCCCAGCACTTTGGGAGGCTGAGGCAGACAGATCATGAGGTCAGGAGATCAAGATCATCCTGGCCAATATAGTGAAACCCCCTCTCTGCTAAAAATACAAAATTTAGCTGGGCATAGTGGCACATGCCTGTAATCCCAGCTACCCGGGAGGCTGAGGCAGGAGAATCACTTGAACCAGGGACTTAGAGGTTGCAGTAAGCTGAGATCGCGTCACTGCACTCCTGCCTGGTGAGAGAGTGAGACTCTGTCACAAAAGAAACAAAATCATGTCCTTTGCAGCAACATGGATGCAGCTGGAGGTCATAGTCGTAAACAAGTTAACACAGAAAAAGGAAACAAAATATCACATGTTCTCACTTGAAAGTGAGTGCTAAAGGTTGAGCACATGTGGACATGACCATGGAAACAATAGGCACTGTGAACTGCTGGAGTGGGGAGGGAGAGAGAGGTGCATGGGTTGAAAGACTGACTATTGGGTATTATGCTAACTCCCTGGGTGAGGGGATCCATACCCCAAACCTCAGCATCACACAATATGCCCATGTAAAAAAACTTGCATATGTACCCCCTGTACCTGAAATAAAAGTTGAAATTTTAAAAATAATATTAAAATTATAATTAAATAATTTTTCTTCAATTTTTTGAATAGTTTAACAATAATCTGTTTTCATGATTTTTTTTTAAGTTAAGTAGAACACAACTGTGAAACCATCAGGTCCTGAACATTTCTGTGATGGGAGACTTTTCATTATTATTATCTCCTGTTATTCATTGTTCTGTTTAGGCTTTCTACTTCTTCTTGGTTCAGTCTTGGTAGTTTGCATGTGTTCATGAATTTATCCATTTCCTCTAGGTTCTTGAATTTTCTCTAGCATATAGTTGTTCATAATACCCTCTAATGATCTTTTGTATTTTTGTGGTATCATTGTGATGTCTCTTTTTTCATTTCTGATTGTATGTATATGGGCATTTTCTCTTTTCATTTGTAGTTAATCTAGATAATGCCTTCTTGCTTTTTTACATTTTCAAGAAAACAACTGTTTTGCTGATCCCTTTTGTTATTACTTATTTATTTTTGGAGATGGAGTCTTGTTCTGTTGCCAGGCTGGAGTACAGTGGCGCGATCTCGGCTCACTGCAACCTCGGCCTCCCAGATTCGAGGGATTCCCCTGCCTCAGCCTCCCAAGTAGCTGGGAATATAGGCGTGTGCCACCACGCCTGGCTAATTTTTTGTATTTTGGTAGAGACGGGGTTTCACCATGTTGGCCAAGATGGTCTCAATCACCTGACCTCATGATCCGCCCCCCTCGGCCTCCCAAAAAGCTGGGATTACAGTCATGAGTCACCGCGCCCGGCCTTGCTGATCCTTTATAGATTTTTTTTTCTGTATTTTAAAATTCTGCTCTGATATTTACTGTCTATTTTTTCTACAATTATGAATTCTGTTTGTTCTTGCTTCTCTAGTTCTTAAGACACATAGGTGGGTGGTTTTTGAGAAATCGTTCTACTTTTTTGATTTAGGTGTTTATTGCTAGAAACTTTTCTCTTAATATTGCTTTAGCTGTAACCAGTAGCTTTTGCTATATTGTATTTCTATTTTTATTTATTTCAATAAATTTTTAAAGTTTCATTTTAAGTTATTCCTTTATCCAATGGTCACACAGAAGCATGTTGTTTAATTTTCATATATTTGCATTGTTTCAAATATTCCATCCTCTAGGGTTTCTAGTTTATTTCATTGTGTTTGGAAATGATACTTGATATGGCTTTGATATTTTTATAATTTCGAGACTTTTTTGTGTCCAAATATATTAAATTCTGGAGGATGTTCATTGTGCTGTTAAAAAGAATGTGCAATCTGCTGCTGTTTGGCGAAGTGTTCTGTAAGTGTCTGTTGAGTCCGTTCAGTCTGTGGTGCAATTATTGTTTTTGAGATACAGTCTCGCTCTGTTGCCCAGGAGGGCGTGCATGGGTGCCATCAGGGCTCTATGGAGCCTCTATCTCCCTGGGTTCTGGTGATTTTCCCACCTCAGCCTCCTGGGTAGCTGGATCTTTAGGCACATGCTACCACACTGGCTGTTTTTTATTTTTTATTTATTTATTTTTTTTGTAGAGACAGGGTTTTGCCATGCTACCCAGGCTAGTCTCAAACTCCTGAGCTCTCTACCAATCCACCTGCCTTAGCCTCCCAAAGTGCGGGAATTACAGATGTGAGTTATTGTGCCTGGCCTCTGGTGCAATTTTAATCTGAAATTTTCTGTTCATTTTCTCTTTGGATAAACTGTGCAATGCTTTCAGTGAGGGATTGAAGTCGCCAGCAATTATTGTATTGGTGTCTATCCTTTTAGATCTGATAACATTTGCTCTGCATACCTGGGTACTGTATCGTTGGGTATATATCTTTAAAATTCTTATGCCTTCTTCCTGGGTTGAACTCTTTATTTATACATAGTGTCCTTCTTTGTCTGTCTTTACAGCTTTTAACTTAAAGTCTGGTTTATCCACTACAAGTATAGCTACTCCAGGTGAAGTTAGTTTTTATTTGCATTACATAACTTTTTCCATACCTTCATATTCAACGTAAGTGCATCATTACAATTGGAGTGAGTTTTTTGTAGGTAACTGATATAGTTTGGATGCTTGTTCACTTCAGATCTCATGTTGCAATGTTATCTCCGGTGTTGGAGGTAGGACCTAGAGGGAGGTTTTTGGGTCGTGAACACGGATCTCTCATAAAAGCCTTGATGCCCTTCACGTGGTAATGAGTGTGTTCTCATTCTATTCGTTCACATGATACCTGGCTGTTTAAGGAGCATGGCACCCACCCAACAACCTTAATTTTCTGCCTTTTCTTCTCTTCTATCGCCATTCACATACGTGCTCCTTTTTCACCTTCTGCCACAATTGAAAACTTCCTGAGGCCATCGACAGAAGCAGATGCCAGTACTATGCTTCTTGTACAGCCTGCAGAACTGTCAGCCAAATATACCTTTATTTTATTATACTTTACATAATTTTATTTTTATTTCCATAGGTTTTGGGGGAAGAGGTAGGGTTTGGTTACATGAGTAATTTCTTTGGTGATGATTTATGAGATTTTGGCGCACCCATCACCCCAACAGTATACACTGTACCCAATTTGTAGTCTTTTATCCCTCAGCCCCCCTCATCTATTCCAAGTCCCCAAAGTCTATTGTATCATTCTTATGCCTTTGCATCCTCATAGCTTATTTCCCACGTATGAGTGAGAACATATAATGTTTAGTTTCCCACTTCTGAGCTACTTCACTTAGAATAATGGTCTCCAATTCCATCCAGGTTGCTGTGACTGTCATTATTTTGTTCCTTTTTATGGCTTAATAATATTCCATGGTAAATATATACACACACACACACACACATATATATACACGTGTATATATATACATCTATACATATATACACATATACACGTATATATGTACATATATAAAAAATATGTATATATAGAAAATATAAAATTATATATATATGGCCGGGCGCGGTGGCTCACGCCTGTAATCCCAGCACTTTGGGAGGCCGAGGCGGGTGGATCACGAGGTCAGGAGATCGAGACCATCCTGGCTAACAAGGTGAAACCCCGTCTCTACTAAAAATACAAAAAATTAGCCGGGCGCGGTGGCGGGCGCCTGTAGTCCCAGCTACTCGGGAGGCTGAGGCAGGAGAATGGCGTGAACCCGGGAAGCAGAGCTTGCAGTGAGCCGAGATTGCGCCACTGCAGTCCGCAGTCCGGCCTGGGCGACAGAGCGAGACTCCGTCTCAAAAAAAAAAAAAAAAAAAAAAAAAATTATATATATATATATATATATAAAATGGTGTGCGTGTGTGTGTGTGTGTGTGTGTATCACAATTTCTTTATCCACCCATTGACTGATGGGCATTTGGGCCGGTTCCATATTATTGCAACTGCGAATTGTGCTGCTGTGAACATGCATGTGCATGTGCAAGTATCTTTTTTGTATGGTGACTTCCTCTGGGTAGATCCCAGTAATGGGACTGCTGGATGAAATATTTGTTCTCCTTTTTTTCTTTAAGGAATCTCCACACTGTTTTCCATGGTGTTTGTACTAGTTTACATTCCCGCCAGTGTTCCCTTTTCACTGCATCATCACCAACATCTATTTTTTTATTTTTTGATTATGACTATTCTTGCAGGAGTAATGTGGTATTGACTTGCATCTGCATTGTGGTTTTGATTTGCATTTCCCTAATCATTAGTGATGTTGAGCATTTTTTTCATGTTTATTTGCCATTTGTATATCTTATTTTGAGGATGGTCTGTTTATGTCGTTAGCTTATTGTTTTATGGAATTGTTTTTTGTTGTTGTTTTTGTTGTTGTGGCTAATTTGTTTGAGTTCCTCGTAGATTCTAGATATTAGTCCTTTGTTGGATGTATAGATTGTGAAGATTTTCTCCCACTCTATAGATTGTCTTTTTACACTGCTGATTGTTTATTTTGCTGTGCAGAAACTTTTTAGTTTAATCAAGTCCTACCTATTTATCATTGTTTTTGTTGCATTTGCTTTTGGTTCTTGGTTATGAAGACTTTGCTTAAGCCAATATTGAGAAGAGTTTTTCAGATGTTATCTTCTAGAATTTTTATGTTTTCATCTCTCAGATTTAAGTCCTTAATCCATCTCGAGTTGATTTTTGTATAAGGTGAGAGATGAGGATATAGTTCTTCTACATATGGCTTGCCAATTATCCCAGCACCATTTGTTGAATATGGTCTCCATACCCCACCTTATGTTTTTGTTTGCATTGTTAAAGATTCATTGATATAATATTTGGCATTATTTCTGGGTTCTCTATTCTTTTCCACTGATCTATGTGCTTATTTTTATACCAGTACCATGCTGTTTTGGTGACTGTGGCCCTATAGTATAGTTTGAATTCAGGTAATGTGATGCCTCCGGATTTGTTCTTTTTGCTTAGTCTTGCTTTGGCTATCCAAGTCTTTTTTGGTTCCATATGAATTCTAGTTCTGTGAAGAATGATGGTGATATTTTGATGGGAATTGCATTGAATTTGTAGACTGTTTTTGTTTTTAAAGTAAATTGTACAGACTCAGGTACTTCTTTATAACAATGCAAAATGGGCTTAACATAGCAGCCTATAGTTGGCACTTTTGTTTGTTTGTTTCTTTTTTTCTTTTCTTTTCTCTTCAACTCAGTCTATGTATTTTAAATGTAAAATTTAATCCACTTACTTTCAAGCTAATAATAGATAGAAGAGGTCTTACTTCTTTCACTTTCATTGATTCTTTTCTCATTGTTTTGTGTATCTCTTGTTTCTTATTCTTAACCTATTGGTTATTTTTGTAGTTTTGTAATTTTTGTAGTGATAAGATTTGATTCATTTATTTTCTTTTTTGTGTATTGGCTTTACTAGTGGGTTTTATGGTTTTTTAAAAATTTTTCATAATTGTGGCTATTATGTTTTCTCTTCCAGATGTAAGAATCTTGAGCATTTCTTGTAAGGCCAGCCTGGAGGTGATGGATTTCCTGTTCATGTTAGTCCGATAAACATTATATATTTGTTAGTTTGTGAATAATAATGTTTCTAGGTATTATATTATTGGCTGGATACTTTTTTATTTCAATATTTTGAATATACTATCCTACTCTATCATGCTCTATCTTTGTCTTTTGATAATTTGAGGAAAGCATTCTTCAGAGAGGATCTGTTTAGTTTCAGTCTGTTTGGAATATTTGAGTTTCCTGGATCTGAATAACCATCTATCTCCCATGATATGGGACGTTTTCTGCTCTTGTTTTATTAAATATGTTTCCTACATCATTTTCATTTTTTTCCCTCTGGAATTTTCCCCTGGATTTTCCATAACTCAAAAACTTGTTTTCAAATTGTGTTTTGAAAACTATAGGGTTTCTATGTTTTTAAAATTTTATCTTCCTTCCTTCCTTCCTTCCTTCCTTCCTTCCTTCCTTCCTTCCTTCCTTCCTTCCTTCTCTCTTTCATTCTCTTTTTTTTTCTTTTTGGTCTGCTGGAATTATTTTGAAAGACTTGTCTTCAAGCTCAGAAATTCTTATTTTTGCTCGTTATTTTCTGTTATTGAATCTGTAAACTGCATTTTTATTTTATTCATTAAATTCTTCAGCTGTAAGCTTTTTGCTTTATTATTTTGTATGATATCTAACTCTGTTGAATTTCTCTAGTCTCAGCTGTTTATTCATTTCTGTGGTTATTTCATGTGGGGTTGAAGAGTGTCAGGCACGTTTAGTCAGCTGTCCTGCTAATTTTTTTTTTTTTTTACTTTTACTTAAGTTTTTATAGCTAACCTGGATATTACAATTGGTAATTCAGATTTATAACAGAGTAGTTTAAATTATGATTGCCTTAGTTCAATAGTGCATACAACTCTGCTTCTCTACAGCTGTATCCATTTTCACTTATTGTGTTGTTACATATTCATACATTATAAATTATATGCACATTATTCAAATTTATAATGAATTTTATAACCATAAATTATAGGCACATTATTCAAATTTGTCATTACTATTATATCTATTTTTTTTTTAAAAAAGGAATAGAACATGAGACTCAAGGCAAAAATAAAACAATATTGGTTTTCATTACACAAATGTGATTACTGGGATACTTGTTGTTGTTGTTCTTTTAGGTGTAAGATTTTTAAATATTCTCCACTCTGTTTTCATTTCAGCCTGCAGGACTCTATTTAGTATTTCTCATTAGGAATTTGTGGTTTTGATGGACTCCATAGCTTTTGTTTATTTCTATTATCTTGATTTCTCCTTCACTTTTGAAGGTGTTCTTGCTAGTATGGAATTTTTGATTGATAGTGTATTTTAGCACTTTTGATATGCCACTCCAGTGAGCTTTGGCCTTCCTGATTTTTGGTGAGAAATCAGTTGTTAATCTTATTGAGGATTTATCCTAAACAACAAACTATTCCTTAGATTCTAAGGGCTTAAACATACCTGGTATTTTCAGACAAATGATATTGAGGTCAAGAGACAAGTCTTTCAAAGCATACATAACAACATTTCACATGCACATAAACATGCTCACAGACTCACACACACCCTCAACACCTTCATATGTAGAGTCATAGGTAATGAAAACATGCTCACAGACTCACACACACCCTCAACACCTTCATATGTAGAGTCATAGGTAATGACTCACCCAAACAAACTCACATAGGGGCACACACTCACTAAGTAATACAAGTAACACATTCACACTCAAATAGCTCTGCACACACTAGCATTCAAACAATTACATTTACAAAAGTTTTATACTTACACACCTTCAAAAAATTCATGTTCATGTAAATTAATAGGCTCAAATACTGAAGGACCCAGACACACACATTCAATATAACATACCCTTTTACAAACTAACTCACAGACACAGGCATGCACATTCTCCCACACACTCCCTCAAAGACACAGTCTAATGATCAGAAACTAAATTACTCATTTTAAAATAAAACAAAGACACACAAGCTCACACACAGAAACATAGACACTCACAAACACACAGACACAGTTATAGGAATCCTCCCACTTACACACAATGATCCACATACACACAGAATCATATTAAGACTATTCCGTGATCCCAAGATTGAGACAGTAGCCATCCCCAGTCTCCATGGACATCACACTGTGGTAGAGGCTCAGTCTACCTTCTAGATTCTTCTGAGAGATGGCCAGGGCTCCAGAGTTCAGGTTCTCACATATTGTATAACTTTTGGGTTAAACCACACCTAAAACACTGAGTGGATGTTGTCTTTCATCACTTGATTATCATCGGCATTTCAACTGATGCAATTTTTTACCTCATTTTGAAGGAAATAAAATAAATTCATAGAGTCTCCCTAGGCTAGATTGATGTATCTCTGTTTCTCCTGGTAGCTTCAAATATGGTACCTTCAAAAATATGACAGTATTCACTAAATACTACACCTCTTACAACACTTTCTTGGTCAGCTGGTCCAACAACAAGGGAACCCCAGTAGAACAATCATTTTATGGGTCTAATTCTGTACCCACTGTGAACACATACCTTCTTATGTACCAGGACCTCCACTCCATCACAACATATTGTTATGGAGATGGAAAGAAACATTCTCCAAATTTTCATCATAGATTTGGCAAGAAAACCTGATATTTCTGTCCATTAGTTTCCAAACCCAGGTGTTGTAGCTCCTGGCCACAAGGCACTATAATACTCTCTGTTATGGGCATTTGCAGCTTCCTGGAGGATGGTATTGTCTCTAAAAATGGAATTTCTTTAGAGATTATATTTTCTACTATAAAACAGTGGCAGAAAACATCTGGTATAAATCTCACATTAGACTGTGGAGACTAAAGTCAATCATTTCATCGTTTTACTGGTGTCTCTGTTTTGGGGCAAACGTGGAAGAGGAATGTCTGCTGGATCCCTGCTCGTGTTCCATAATCACATCTCCTCTCCCTTAACAACAGCTGCATTCTTTCATGTTGAACACATTCTGTAGTAACTCATGCTAGGAAATAAAATATTCAGCAACTTGGACTGTGGCACTAGTAGCTTCTCTGTGATAAAAAACACATGTAGAGACAGCAGTCAATCCTTCTAAGGATAAATGACTACCTATCAAGTTTAGGCTTTATTTATATTATTCAAATTGTCTCCATATCGCTGGTAGGTAACTTTACAGGGTGTCATTATTTTCTTAGACAAATGTGATATCTATGACTTGTCAGCTCAGGCTCAGTGAGAGATGCTAGGTCAGTCTTGAGGGAGGAATCTGTGTTCAGTCTTCATTGCACATGTTAGGGAAAGCTCTGATATAAAGAGAGAGGACCCTGTAACTTGAGTAGAAGTAATGATTAACGTGCAGAAGATATTGTACTATGAGTTCTCCATACTCTCTGACCCAGCATAATAGATTTTCCTTGCTTTCAGCTGCTGGCTTCTTTATTTTAAATATTAATTTATTTACTTTTATTTTATTTTACATTCATTTTATTCTCTTGTTTCCTGAATATTTAATTAAGTACCTATAAATTTTAACAATCATTTGTAGAAATAACATAAAATGGGTATGATGAAGACGCCAAGTAGAGATGCCAGAAAATAAAACAAATAAATAAACAACTTGTGTAAGTTTAGAGTGGTGCATGAGGACAGAAACTCTGAGGTACTTGTGCTGAATTATAAATGAGGAAGTTCAATTATATTTAACATCCAGAATGTGGGTCATTTCAGTGAAAAAAAAAATTGTACAGTGGGCTGCATTGATCAGAAATTAGAAAGGAATAAAGTCACAAAGTTGCAAGACCAGGAGACATTCCGTGTATTCATCCTTTTCCATTTTGCTAGGAAGAGAAAATGGATGGGCTATACCTTCGTGGGAAATGAGACAAGCCGTTTTTAAGATGACTCTCGAGGGAAGTTGCCAATACAATCACTGAGGCGATGCCCTGACACAGGATGGTAGAGAGACTTGGTCCTGTGGTGGTGGCTGTCGGCGACACAGGATGCTTAACCCTAGTGGGTGCCTTTGCCACTATTTTGTCCATGAGAGACATTAAGCTACGATGTGCTACATGCTGGTGAGTTCCTTAACCTCAGATGAAGAGAGGAACATGACAACACAGAAGATGAGTGTGATGTTTAATACTGAGTGTCAGCTTGATTGCACTGAAAGATGCAAAGAATTGTTCCTGAGTGTGTCTGTGAGGGTATTGCCAAAGAAGATTAACATTTGAGTCAGTAGACTGGGTGAGGCAGACCCAACCTCAACCTCCCTGGGCACCATCTAATGAGCTGCCAGCATGGCTAGAATGAAGCAGGTAGGAGAAATTGGAAAGACTAGACTTGCTGAGTCTTCCAGCCTCCATCTTTCTCCCATGCTGGATGCTTCCTGCCCTCGAACATCAGACTCCAAGTTCTTCAGCTTTTTCACTCTTGGACTTAAGCCAGTGGTTTGCCAGGGGCTCTCTGGCCTTTGGCGACAGACCGAAGGCTGCACCGTCGTCTTCCTGACTTTCGAGGTTTTGGGACTTGGACTGGCTTCCTTGCTCCTCAGCTTGCAGACGGCCTATCACGAGACTTCATCTTGTGATCGTGTGAGTCAGTCCTCCTTAAAAACTCCCCGTCAAATACAGACCTCTATCCTGTTAGTTCTCCCTCTAGATAATCCTGACTAATACAATGAGAAAAGTGAAGACCTCACTACATCAACCACATTTCACTGATGAGAACTCGTCCCATGGAGAGCAGCAGGTGTGCAGGAAATAAAGGGGTTGGGGGATACTGTCCATAAAAGAAGAGACGCAACCTAACTGAACTCCCCAGGAAAGGAGGGTGTAGATATTTGTTCACAGCTAATGATGGCTTATGTCAGGACCTCCACAAGGCTTCAGAAATAGTTTGTATTAACAAATCTAATAATTTATATAGTTTTTTTTTCCCATATCTTATTTTTCCTCCCTGGGCAGCACCACAGAATGATGTTTTCAGAATCTCCCTCATCTTCTGTGAGTTCTTGGTAGAGTTCCTGGAAGAAAAGCCTGCATGGGGAAGTGAGCCCTCCTCATGTGCAGCCCCTGAGGCTGTCATGTCACCTCACGTTTCTGAGTTATGTCATCAACATTTCTGAGTTAAACTTCCTGAAACATATGGCATTTGGCAGTGTCTTCCCTATTCAAAAAATGCTTAAATTCTGTTTATCCCTGCAGACACCTGTCTCTGGAATACAGTTTGGTTTTGAGTGTGTAGTAATTGATACTTTACAGAAGGTTTGTGTGCATCTTGTCATCTTCCAGAGTGCACCTGCCATGCAGTTGACTCCAACAAGCGAGCAGGTTGACTCACTCAGCTGGAAGAGGACAGGCATTTCTATAGCCAGCAACCCCAGTGGGGCTGTCACCCTCCAAGACTAATTGGGCTCATGCCTCTGGCTAATGTGCAGCCAGCAATGGAGGGGGACCAGCGCCCACACAGGAGAGGGTTTCTTCTATTCCCTCCCACTTTGGAAGGAAGTTGGTTGGTTGTGCCTGGAACTCATGCCTGAGTTTTCATTTTCTGTACAAAGGGCCTCATCCAGAAACACCCTCAAAAGCTTACAGTGAATCTAAAGGAATTATAGAAAATCATACATGATGTGCCTCATGACCAAGGTCTCCACTTCTCATTAAAGGACATTCCTTATGGGATTCACTAGAACTTGCTTTCTTTCCATAGATATGGATCTGCCTCTAAACATTTAGGAAGCTTACCGTCTGGGAAGGGATACTAAGTCAGGAGTCACAGAATCTATAGGAACATATACATTTTATGAGTCTTCTAAAAAAGACTCCTAATAGGAATAGCCCCACCCACTTTTCCTCTAACTGGCTTCATTCCCAGGAACCCACTCGAAGAACCTGTTGTGCTTCAAGATAGTTTAGACTTGGTATGCCAAGGGACCGCCGGAAGAGGAAAGAACCAATCCATCCATGTAAGTTCATCCATTGTAACTTATTGATGACTCTGGGGCAGGATGGTGACAGTGGGGAAGGCTGTGCATGTGTGAAGCAGGGGCACATAGGAAATCTCTGCACCTTCTGTTCAATTTTGCTGTGGTCTTAAAACTACTTTTTAATACATTTTATGTAAGAGAGGTGGCAGAGACAAATTGGAATATATTTTGGCCAGTTTTTAGGAATCATATTCAGCATTAGCCATGTTATCAAGCAATCTTGCTCCAAATTATTTATCTATCTGATTTTAGAACTTACATCTGCACAAAGCCTACGTGGGGAACTTTGCATCAGCTTGACTGATTTCTGCTTTTACCTCTCTGCGAATTTTGCATATAGGGTGACAATTATTAGAAATATTTCCTGTATAGAGTGCATACATATTTCTATTACTCATATTCCTCAATTGCTTAGCCTATTTTCTGAACAACTTTAAACATCGTAAGCCCTGTAACCTCCTCATTCAGTGAAGCTGCCTCCTCCTTGGGGTTTCTGACGGTCTCAGGATGTGGGTTTTCACACTGTGTATCTTGCACAGTAATACATGGCTGTGTCCTCAGATCTCAGGCTGCTCAGCTCCATGTAGGCTGTGCTCATAGACCTGTCCCTGGTAATGGTGACTCTGTCCTGGAATTTCTGTGCGTAGTTGGTGTTACCATTGAAAGGTGTGATCCATCCCATCCACTCAAGCGCTTGTCCGGGGGCCTGTCGCACCCAGTGCAGGTAGCGGTAGGTGAAGGTGTATCCGGAAGCCTTGCAGGAAACCTTCACTGAGGACCCAGTCTTCTTCACCTCAGCCCCAGACTGCACCAGCTGCATCTGGGAGTAGGCATCTGTGGAGGGGACACAGGAGTGGATAAAAGCCACCTTGACTGGACTCAATCCCCTCCTCATCACTGGGACTTGGGAGCCCCTTACCTGTGACTGCTGCCACCAAGAAGAGGATTCTCCAGGTCCAGTCCATGGTGAGGAGCTGTGCTTTCAGGGGATTCTCTAGAGGAGGGATGTGGTTGTTGGGTGATGCTCTCAGGGCACAGACATATCCATATTTACCTCAGTCGATCTCAGGTTATTTGCATATTGATGAGACAGGGCATTTCATAGCTCAAAGCCTGGTCGATGATAAGAAAGGGAAGACAAACGACACATCAGCCTTGCAAGAGTGAGATGCTGATGACTCAAGCCCTGATCCTGCTTGAGGAAATGAATGCCCTGCTCCATTTATGAACATTTGTGGGCAGAGGTCCTTTCACTGAAGAATAAGCCCTCTCAGAACAGACTTCTCACTGTGAACATAGATTTTATAAGCATAGAGACCACCTCTATGATTTCTGGAACAATCACTCTCCACGACACAGAGCAGGTGCCTTGGCCCTATCCTGGACCCTTCAGGAACCAGCACAGCTCACTGGTGACTCTGAGAAAGTGATTGCTGATGTCCCACGTGAGTATCCAGTAGGTCCCTCTGAGAGCCGCTGGGCACTCTTTAGACAGTGTCTGCATCACCTGCCTGGTGTCTTGATCCCCCAGGCTCTTCAATAGAAACACTCTTGGACTCTTGGTCTACAGGTTATGAACTCATTATCCCAAAATAACTTCCAAGGAATTTGTGTTATGGATAATTGTGGGTTTTATTTCCAACTCCATTCAGTGAGCACTGAAACCATGAGGAGCTTGTGTTGACTTTTATATGAAGAAGCTCAGTTATATTTGACATCTGGAAGGCTGGTCCCACCAGTGAGAAAAGTCTGTACAGTGGTCTGCACAGGTCAGAAATTAGAAAGTGATATAGTCACAAACTTGCAAAACCAGCAGACATTCAGTGTATTCAGCATTCAGCTCTTTCTATTTCTTCAGGAAAATAGAGGGGTTATATCTGTATGGAAAATGGGACAAGTAGTTTTCAGCTGATTCTCCTGGGAAGTTGTTATTGAAATCACTCAAGTGCTGCTCTCACACAGGATTGTGAAGAGGACGTTGACCCCTGGTGGTCGTTGTCAGCAACACGGGATGCTCAACCATGGTGGGTGCCTTTGTTACTGTTTTGTCCACAAGAGATTTTAGCCTGTCATGTGCTGCATGCAGGTGAGTTTTTAAACTTCAGATGAGGAAAATAACATGACCACATAGAAGATGAGAAAATTGAAGACCTCACTTCATCAACCACATTCCGCTGATGAGAACTTTTTACACAGAGAGCCAGTGATGAGCTGGGAAGAGGAAGGGGCTGAGGAAGATCATCCATAGAAGGACACATCCAGCCTGCTTGAACTCCCTGTGGAAGGAGGGTTTAAATGTTTGTCTTCAGCTAATCAGGGGTATTTCAAGACCTTCACAAGCTTTCAGAGAGAGAGTTTTCATGAACAAAAACCCATGCATTACTCAGAGTTGTATTTTTCATCATTTATTCTTCTTCTCTAGGCAGCTCCACAGCAGGGTGTTCTCAGAATTCTCCCTGATCTTCCTTGAGTTCCTGGTGCAGCTCCTGGAGGAAAAGCCTGCATGGGAGAGGGAGCCCTCCTCATGTGCAGCCCTGAGGCTGTCCCATCACCTCACCCGCCACTGCCCTTCAGTCACTTGATAAACATTTCTGAGCTAATCTTCCTGAAACGTTTGGTTTTGCACAGTATGTTCACCAGGTTACAAAATACTTAAGCTCTGTCTATTTCCACAGACACGTATTCCTTTCTGGAGCAAAGGTTGGTCTTGAGTGTGTGGTAGTGGATAATTAGTGAGAGGAGGTTTGTGTGCATCTTGTCATCTCCCAGAGTGTATCCACCATGGAGTTGACACCCACAAGCAAGCAGATGGACTTGCTCACTGGAGGATGACAAACATTTTCATAACCTATGACCTCAGTGGTGCTCTTTCCCTGCAAGACCAATTATGGTCACGCCTCTGGCTAATGTGCAGTCAGCAAGGACGACCACTGCCCACCTCTGAGGGCTCCCTCCAGATGCCCACCCACTTTGTAAAGGGAAGCTTTTGTTCCTGCCTGGATCCCATGCATGTGTTTGCATTTGCTGCACAAACTGCCTTATTCAGAACCACCACCCAAGAGCTCACAGTGTGTCTAATCCAACTCTAGGGCATTATACAAGGAGTCTCTTATTGTCACGTTTGCCAAGTCTCATTAAAGGATTTTCATTATGGGATTGACCAGAACTTGCTGGCCTTTTAGAGATGTGAATCTGCCTGAAATGTTGCAGAATCTGGAGGACCAGAGAGAGATCTTGGGGTGTATACAGGAGGATATTTTTATTACTGAGTACACCCAGACCCAGCAGACTCAATGACCAAAGACTGGGCACAGAACAAAGAGAGCGCTTGACTTTTATACACACTTCCCAAAATGGGGTGGGCTAGCTTGAAGCAAGCTTAGAGTGCACAAAAGCAGGGATACGGAGGCAGGACAGAGACAGTTAATCAAATTGTAACAGGTTCATAACTCAGGATTACACATGACCATTGCTATGCAACCCAGATGTCTGTTATCTAGGTTTTGTTCTAAAGAGCCTTGCACTGGTTGATCTCATAACACTCACTCCGGTACCTAGACAGCTGTAGTTCTGGCCTGCTCAGGCTTCTCATGACCTTCGTTGTGCTTCTTAGATAAAACAGAATACTTGAAGTTACTAGTTACAGAGAACAAGAATCTATAAACTCATATCATAAGACAAAGGAAAATTTGTTTTTCTTCTCCCTATGTTGAGGGAGTGCTGAAAGAGTCTCCAGAGCACATTAGATAATATTATTAAGACTTTTCCTGGGTCTGGGCTGTGCTTGTTGCTGCCGCTGGGATAAGTCAGCCTAATACAGGAAAGCTTATTTCTCTTTTTTAAAAATTTTTTTTTCCAGCCTCACTAAAAGCTTAAAAATCTTACTCTCTGGGAAGGGACATTGTAAACCAGAAGTAAGAAAAACTCCAAATTAACATATATTTTGTGGATTTTGGAAGAAAGTGCTCAAATAGTAATAGCCTCACTCACTTTCCCTCTGACTAATATCACTTCTAGAAAGCCATTGAAAATACCTGGGTGTTCCAAGATAATTTAGGCTTGTTATATTAGGGGATCACCAGAAAAAGAAAGAACCAAGAGTTCTTGTAGATTCATCCATTGTGACTTATTTGTGACTGTGGGGCAGGATGGCTGTAGTGGAGGAGGCGGTGTCCGTGCGGGGCAGGGATTCATGGGAATTCTCACACCTTCTGTGCAATTTCACTGTAATCCTAAAACCTCTAAAATGAACTTTATGGTAAGAAGTGACAGAAACATTTGAAAGACAATTTTCCCACTTTGTAAGAATCATGCTTACTCTTAACATATGACCAAATAACCTTGCTCCAAATGATTTATTCATCTAATTCAAAAACTTGTTCATAGTAGCACCTTTATGGTATGTTTGTATCAACTTTACTGAGTGTGGCCTTTCCCACTCTGTCAGTTTGGCTTATGTGGTGGCTCTTGAATGGAATATTTCTCTTACAATTCGATTGTGTTTCTATTGTTCTTTGTTCTCAAATATATAACCCGTTTTCTAAACAGTCTTAAACTGAATAACCCCTGTCATTTTCTCAGCTCAGCACAGCTGACTCCTCCCTCAGGGTTTCTGACACTCTGAGGATGTGGTTTCTCACACTGTGTCTCTCGCACAGTAATACACGGCCGTGTCCTCAGATCTCAGGCTGCTCAGCTCCATGTAGACTGTGCTCGTGGACGTGTCCCTGGTCATGGTGACTCTGCCCTGGAACTTCTGTGCGTAGCTTGTGCTACCACCACTAGGGTTGATTATTCCCATCCACTCAAGCCCTTGTCCAGGGGCCTGTCGCACCCAGTGCATATAGTAGCTGGTGAAGGTGTATCCAGATGCCTTGCAGGAAACCTTCACTGAGGCCCCAGGCTTCTTCACCTCAGCCCCAGACTGCACCAGCTGCACCTGGGAGTGAGCACCTGCGGAGAGGACACAGTAGAGAATGACAGTCCTCTAAACTGGAAAAAATCCCTTCCTCAGCCCTGGAACCAGTTGGCCCTTTACCTGGAGCTACAGCCAGCAAGCAGAAGACCCTCCAGGTCCAGTCCATGGTGAAGAACTTTCCTCTCAGAGGCTTCTGTAGAGAAGGGATGTGGTTGTTGGATGATGCTTTCAGGGCCCAGATGTATCCATATTTACCTCAGTAGATCTAAGGTTATTTGCATATTCATGAGACAGATTATTTCATACCTCAAAGCCTGATCGAGGTTGAGAAAGAAGATAGATGTCCCATCTGCCACACAGGAGTGGGATGCTGATGGTCCAAGCCCTAATCCTGCTTGAAGAAATGCATGTCCTGCTCCATTTCTGTTTGCGGACAGGATCCTTTCACTGAAGAACAAGTCCCCACAGATTATGCTCCTCACTCTGAACCCATATTTCATTAGCGTCAAGACCATCTAGATCATTTCTGGACCATCACTGTCCACGACACTGAGCACGTGCCTTGGCCCCATCATGGTCCCCTCAGGCACCAACACAGCTCACTGTTGACTCTGAGAAACTGACTGTAGATGTTCCACGTGACTCTCCAGCAGGTTCCTCTGAGATTCGTTGGGCGCACCTGAGACAGTGTCTCCATCACCTGCCCGGTGTCTTGATTCCCCAGGATCTTCAGCAGAAATGCTCTGGGTTTACAGAATTGCCCTGAGATGCATAATTGGAAATGGTTTTCTTATATCACAGAAACGAGGAGTCAGAAGTTGAAACAAGAGTTTGGAGTTCTTTATGAAATCATGTTCCCAAAATAACTTCCAAGAAATTTGTGTTTTGGATAATTATGGGTTTTATATTCAACTCCGTTTATTAGTATTTTGTGAAGTATTTACATACTTTCAGTTCGTATCCATAGATACTCATCTTTCCATATTGCTTTCTGAATCATTATGTCCGTGCACCCACCACACTCTCAGATCCACCACTGCCCCGTCACTCACACAATGTAGGCAACATTACTTAACACTGAAATCTGAATTTTTTGTTCATAGGAATATAGTGACTCCCACAATTCTGTATCCATTGAAATAGTAAAATCATACCTATTCTTCACATTTTCACTATTAAGATACTTATAATCCTAGAAGCCCGATTTAAAAAATAGTTCTCATTGCCTGAAGTTATATGAATTGTTCCATTGTAGCAGGATATTTGAAGGCATATCAGCAACTTGTTGAACGGTTATTTTAGATTTTTTTTTTTCTGACGAAGGAAAACCGAGGCCCTGAGAGGAAACCTCCTCCCCAGCCTCCTGTTCTAGGGCTGGACCGTGTGCTGCGTGGCTCCTGAGTGCCCCTCCTGCCCAGCCCTTACCTTTCAAGGAGGTTTCTGTCAGGGCTCACAAAACATTTTCTCCAGAGTCTTTAGTCCGGCATAAAGTGCCTGTGTCCTGGCTTAGAATACTCTTCCAGCGACAATATATGCTGCCAACACCATCTCTTGAAACAATTGATTAGCCTAACTAATCCTATTGAATTCTGCAGAAAGACCCAAAGAAAAGATTCTAGGACACAGGAGGGAGCCAGTGCTCTGAAGCTCCAGGTGCACTAAATCAGTGGAGACACAGTGAATACAAGAGCTTGCAGGGGTTTGGGGAGGGTCGTGTTTCTTCATTAGGCTCTTGTAGTTGAATGTTGCATTCGAGAATACCTGCGGGTGTAGATCTATTCAGATTAAAGCCATCTCTGTATCTCCTAGTCCAATAACACACATTTTCCCTTCTTCCTAGTGTCTTGCCTATAAAGAAAGTACCTCCTACACTGACACTAGGTCTAGGTTTATGCCATTTTTTTTGTCCTAGAGATCTAAGAAAAACAGGATACAAGTGGAGACTTGGGAAGTGCATGCAGTTTTTTTTTTTTTCTTTTTCCTTAGCTAGGAACCCTGCAAATGGCCCATGGTAACAGAATCTGTGGTCAATGCGGGAGTTGCCAAGACCTTGTCCTTACAGAGTTGATGTCAGAGGCTTCATATTGCTCTTCTGTCCTTGTCTTACTCTCTGCCATTCTCTTTCAGTTTCCCTACGTTCTCCTTCTCTGACAGAGCCTGTGCATTGTCACACTTTCATCTTTAATTTGTGCATCCCGGAAGTATCATATGTAGTTACAATTGAATCTTAATAATTTAGTGCTCTTCTTTCTATGGAATGTGACCTATATACAGAGTCTCCAGAAGTCAAATTGATGCTTTCCCTTTTCTGGCTGGAACATTATAGGATTCTTACCCTATTGGCTAATTTGACCCATTTTCCTTATAAAGGAAGGCTGCTGTGAGGGGTCTGTAATGGAGATGGACTGCCTTCCCCTACATAGATAAGGTGCTAGAAATGTTCTTCCCCTGGATCTTCTATCTGGAGAATTTTCTGCTTGTATTTCTCAGAGTTTACGTCTCTTGATGACTTAGCCATGAGATAATCTATTACAATTCTCATACAAAAAAACCTGGAGGTTGCTGGAGAAAAGAAAGCACAAGAGTGTGGGGTGTGGGGTCTCCAGGATTTTGCACCCTCATACGGTCAGACATGCCCTCTTTGTTTATGTAGTTCAGATTTACATATAATAAACCCCACAGCCAGGCTCATCTGAATTGCCACATGCTCATTTAAACTCACTGGAGAAGCAGCTGAATGTAATCATCACAATGAACTCAGAGAAACCTGGAGGGTGTTTGGAATGATGTAGACCTTTAAACGTAGATGATAATTGTTCCCAGTCTTGTTGAAATGGCTGGCAGCCCCCAATCCTGTTTCTCTCCTCCACTTACCTGAATGTCTCCAAGAACCTCATGAACCTAAGGACTCTCTTTTTCATGGATGACTCTGAGGATTCTCAATCTGGTCAGTGCCACAATCAGAGGCAGCTAATGGACGATTCTCTGTCCACTGTTATGTTGAGCCCATAACATAGGACACATATACAAGAGTGGCCAATTCATGTCAGTGCCAATCAACATTTAATTCAAGGGGCATGATTTTCAGTGCATTGAAGTACAAAAGCTTCATAATTCTTAATAGAGGCACAAAGCGAATGGTTTGCTGAAGAAATGAGCTCATGGTTGGAAGAAAGCTGACTGCCCCCAAGAAGAGTCTCTTTAACTAAAGCACCTGAAACGTGATGTCCTGAGACCTTGTGAAAATTCATTTCCTTGAGTAAAAAAACAGGAAAGCTATTCTCAAATCATTGGAAGAAACCTTATCAGAAATTTAATCAACACAGCAGTCATATTCCAGTAAGTCAATCCTTGGGTTTATGTTTCACAACTCAAGAAGCTATAAAGAAATCTATATAATTGGAAGGCTGCTCCAACAGAGGGAATTTTGACCTATTTAATTAATAGAACAGTATTCATTCAAAGACACTCTCCTATGGAATCTGCAACTTAAACAGATCTCTGCAACCTGGAAAAATTTTCTCACTTATTTTTCTCTAGACATCCATAAACGCAAAAAGGCATCTCGTATATTTGTGCATCAGTTATCTATGGAAGTACTTTGCATGTTAATGAAAGTTTATCGAAACATGGTAGCTTAATCACCTAATGTGAACTCGCACTTCACTGGTTTCCAAAATTCTCCACCTGTGTGATGGGGCAATGGGTGCCTCTGAGAATATGCTGATTTTTGGACTGAACATATTCTCCACTCCTCACTTGACTCCATGGTTCCTGGCTCATACAAATGTGTCTATGACTGAAAACCCAATGCTGATATTTAGCAAATTTTCCTCTTATGAGATTCATATTCTCTCTTTCTCTGTATGTCTCTATCTCTCTATTTTTCTGTGCCATTACTAGTTATTACTGAATCCTGAATCCTGCCAACAGACTCCATCTCACGTTCTGCCAATCTTCTTCCTCAAAGACAATTAGGGGCAAACTCATCCTTGCCCAAGATGGGAAAACTTTCTGGACTTATTTATTAGAGCCTCATATGAGAACCCTGATCAAACATTATTTGCTTTTGGATTATACCTCAAATCTAAAACTGTTCTTCGTAGCGGCTATGACATTCTGTATTCCCATCATTACCATTAGGCAAAACAGTGTGGTGGCTCCTAAATGAATTAAAACAGAAATACCATATGACCAGTGATGCAGCTTATGGAAATATACCCAAAGAGATGAAATTACCGCCTTGTGAAGATACCTGCGCTCCTGTGATTATTGCAGCTGTATTCACAACAGCCAAGATATGGAAACTAAGTGTCTGTCAATGGGCAAATGGATAAAGACAATGTGGTATGTGTACACAACATAGCATTATTATGCCTTATAAAATAAGGAAATGCTGCCATTTTCCACAAGACAAATGGACTCCCACCACCACTAGCAATGGATTTTATCCATTGCAGCCCCTCCCTGAGAGCCGGCAGATCCAGGTCCACTAGTAAGGACTGGTTGTGACGGAGTGGCCAGTAACAGTGTAGGTGAGGCAGAGGGTAAGTGTGTGCTATTCAGGTCCAGGGCTGACTCCTGCAGCTGCTCCTGGGACAGGGCATGTGATTACATGGAGAATCAGTCCCTGTCAGTCACATGTACCTATCCTAACCCGATAGACCCATGTCTGACATCTGAGACGCTCACCTTCAGGACCTGCTACCAGGCACAGGAGAAGACACGATAATGACATCTTCCTTATGAACACAACTCTGCATTCCCCAGATACCTTACCCCTGCCTGAGGGGAGAGCTGTTACCTTCCACAGTCCAAAAGCATTTTATACCCTGGAGCCTGAATAATATTTTGGATGTGGCAAAGCCTTGTGCTTATAAGACAGAGGGACACAGGTCAGACTCCCCATGGATTTGATATGTTTTATTGTTGTCTGTTTATTTACAGGTTGACATGATAATGTCCTTGCCAAAAACTACAGTCATGACAGTTCATAAAATTTGCTTTATTCCTGTTTTCTTTTTTTTTTTTTTTGAGATGGAGTCTCCCTCTGTTGCCCAGGCTGAAGTTCAGTGGTGTGATCTCGGCTCACTGCAAGCTCTGCCTCCCGGGCTCACGCTATTCTCCCGCCTCAGCCTCCTGAGTAGCTGGGACTACAGGTGCCCGCCACCATGCCTGGCTAATTTTTTGTATTTTTTAGTAGCGATGGGGTTTCACCGTGTTAGCCAGGATGGTTAACCTTGTGATCCTTACCTTGTGATCTGCCCACCTTTATTCCTGTTTTTCCACCTGTGACATTTGAACTTCTGTATCAAGTGAGCAATGTGCATACCTTACAGGAGCAATTACAAAATAACTCTCTAAGTCATCACTATTACACAAATGCTACCCTGTCCTTACTGACAAATGTCTCTGGAAAGATTTAAGTAAACATACATCATAAATTGCTTCCTTAAATTAAAAGTAGCATAAGGTTCAGAAACTCATGAACTCCCTTTGCCAAAGGTACCTCCACTAGAACTTACAACCCATGGTCTCCTTCCTCAAGGACACAGACATTCTCATCCTATGACTTGATTCATCAAAAGCCCATGTATTTCCCATTTTACCTTCAATATTATACTCCGATTCATCACATGCTGATACAGCAAAGTATTTTAGGGGATTGAAGTGCCATGTGGAAACATTCAACAGAATGTTAAAGATGCCTTCCCATTACATCTTCCTAAATAGCTTCTTTACTGCTGTCCACTTGGAAATTCTTTATTTTAGAAGAGACATCAGAGAAAAACAGCCTCAAATATTGTGAAAGGGGCTAATGACCATTAAGAACAAATGCAGCAGTGACTCCAGGATGTGAATCCATAGGTTTACGCAGTGAAAATGAGGTGGGTTACATAAGTCATTTTGAGAGGATTATCCTGTGCTCCTAGAATCAGGACTAAGGGTGGCATCACTGTAGGGTTAAACAGGGAGTTGCTGGGAAGATATCCTTGTAGAAGTGATTTTTGTAGGACTAAGGGTGGCATCACTGTAGGGTTAAACAGGGAGTTGCTGGGAAGATATCCTTGTAGAAGTGATTTTTGTAAGGTTGTGGTTTCTTCTATCCAAGGCTGTGGTTAAGCAGAATCCATTTACGGTAGTTCTTGTTTTCTGGAGTATATGCATGAGAAACTTCTTCATGGTCATTCCTAGTTCCATTTGTCAGGGTGTTAACACAAGTGTTTCCATTTTTATTCTGACAACTTTCACACCCTCTTTCTAATACTACTGGTGAGGAAGTTGAATCTGTGGTTGTTTGTACAGCACAGGATAAATTTCACATCCACATCCCATTTTGTCCACGCAAGCTCATCCCCTTCACTCCTGTTGTCCACATTCGTTCCCAGGTAGTCTCCACACAACACACTGGAGGGTGCTGAGCAATGGGAGAAGAGAAAGCCCCAACAGCCACTCCCATGTGGCTGCAGGAGCCACAGCCTGAGCCCCGCCTGAGCTGCAGGGAATGGGCTTGAGGCTTGGGGCTTTTGCAGCAAGAAACACCTCCCCATTTTACAGGGAGCAAGAGAAGTACGAGGAAAAGCAAGAACAACAACAAATAAAAAGAAATAGAATGGTTTAAGAGCAAAAGGGGACCCAGATCAGTGCTGATACTGATTTGCATACTTTAGTGTCAGGAGAAGGAGAAGGGTCAGACGTGAAACCTGTGAGGTTCTACATGACACTGACCCTGTCCCAGCCTCTCTATTGGCTGGTATCAAAATTCCTGAAGACTGATCTAGTCAGGGAATCTCACAGAGGTTTCTGTCCTGAGTCTGACTGGAGAAGATTCACCAGGCACCCCTGAGTTTCCTCAAGGCTGATCCTGGTGACCATGGTTGAGGACTTTTCATCTCTGTAAGCATCCATCTGCATTTTGTGCATGTAAGAATAGGTTCTCATATTAAAATAATCATTAAAAAACATGTAGAGATGACACTGGTAAGCACAGAATTCTGAACTTAGAGAGGTTCCCTAGAGAAATGGTAAAAAGACGAAGTCCCACACCCTGACAGGAAATCAGCCTCTGTGTGCACCTGCCTCTTGGGCTGACTCTGATCAGTGGCTCCTGAGCGCCCCCTGCAGCTGGTTTCCTCCAGCGTTCCTGCAGGGAAGTTTGTATCTGGGCTCACATTGACTTCCCCTCACTGTGTCTCTTGCACAATAATACACAGCCATGTCCTCAGCTATCAGGCTGTTCATATGAAGATACAAGGACTTCTTGGCGTTGTCTCTGGAGATGGTGAATCGGCCCATCACGGAGTCTGCATAGTATGTATCACCACCAGTACCAATAGCTGATACCCACTCCAGACCCTTCCCTGGAGCCCGGCGAACCCAGTGCAGAGCATAGCTACTGAAGGCGAATCCAGAGGCTGCACAGGAGGGTCGCAGGGACCCCCCAGGCTGTACCAAGCCTCCCCCAGACTCCACCAGCTGATCCTCACACTGGACACCTGCAAACACAGAGACACCAAGGTCAGAAATTGCCAAACATATCCACTGTTTCTCTCACTCATGTAACTCACACTCAATCTCTCTAGTTCTCCATGAATCACATTTTAATATAGCAACAAGGAAAACCCAGCTTAGCACAAACTCCCTGGTGAGTCCTGTGTGTTCAGTCCTGATCACTGAATGCAAACACTTGGGAATCCCAAGGCTGGGGCTCCTCTCCCAGAGCAGCAGGGTCAGGGGTGGGCTGGTTTTCATCCAAAAATTACGGAGACAACTAGGGGTCAGGCAGATAAGTTTTTGGTGTATCTGACATTTAATGTATTTATTTGTTTCTTCCTATCATCCCTTTTTTGTATAAAATGTCGGCTGTTTACTTGTAATAAATTTTATGAGTTTTAACTGACAGATGATAAAATTCACATATTTAACATGTGCAATAGTAAACTTTGAAAAAATAATCTCTATTTTCAATGAGGTAACAAGTCAACTCCCCTCAGCATTCCTCTTGATCTTTTATATTATTTGTTTTTTCCCCTTCCCTTTTTCTACCATTTCTTTATAAACTACTGATGTTTTCATATTTCTTTAGACTAGTATTTATTTGGTAGAATTTATAAGAATGAAATAATATAGTATATTCGCTTATGTATTTGGCTTATTTTTCTCAATAGAAATACTGAGAATTAAACCATTTATGTTATATGTGTTTATTTTTTTATAAAAATTGGTAGCATTTCGGCAAACAAATGTAGCGTAATTTGTTTTTCTATTAAGTTGCTAATTGATATTTGAATTTTTTATTACATTGGGTCTTACTAACAAATCTGCTACTCAGTTTGGTAATGTACAAAGATGATCAATTATACATAAATTATATAAATATATTTATTTTTGCAACAACAATAACAGATAAACAAGATAATGTGTTATTTGGCAGATTTCCTTTAGTATTTCAGATAATTGAAGTTATGAGATAGAAAACATACTTATAAACCAAAGAGTATCTGAGACTAATCTCAATAGATTTAGGAAGTTCATTTTTCCAGGACTAAGGACATGCCTGTGACACAGCCTCAGGGAGTCCTGATGATACGTGCCCAGTGTGGTGGGACACAGCTTGGTTTTACACAATTTAGGGAGACATGAGACATTAATTAATATATGTAAGGTATATTTATTTAGTTCAAAAAGGCAGGACAAATTGAAGTTGGGGGGAGAGCTACCAGATCATAGGTAGGTATGAGAGAAATGGTTGCATTATTTGAGTTTCTGATTAGCCTTTAACTGAATGCACAGTTTACAGGAATAGTCACATAGGCCTTAGTCTGGCTTAGTGAAACAATAGAGCAAAGGGAGCAATCAGATATGCATTTGACTTACGTGAGCAGAGAAATGACTCTCTGCTTGGTCTACAATGTCCTTGGTCAACAAGGATTTTCT
The DNA here is from genome assembly GCF_000001405.40 of Homo sapiens. Taxonomy (NCBI): domain Eukaryota; kingdom Metazoa; phylum Chordata; class Mammalia; order Primates; family Hominidae; genus Homo; species Homo sapiens. The sequence continues at coordinate 106,520,324 of NC_000014.9, forward strand.
GTGCGGTCAAATTTTGAAGGAGATATGTAGCTTGTAAACACCTTAACAGCTATCATTTTAGGGAAAGAATGGAAGGTGGGTTTGCCCCAAACAGTTTTCAGCTTGGCTTTTCCCTTTGGCTTAGTGATATGAGGGTCCCAAAGATTTATTTTCCTTTCAGGAAAATGGAAATTTTGGGAGAAATGAGTTCTTGTAGAGAGAAACAAAGCCATAGTGTTAGCTAAACTGAGGCAGAAGTTGCCATGTGAAATACAGCCTATTACATGTATTGGATTGCTTAAATTCTAGGGTGGTAAACATGTTGCCGTGTGAAATTCTCAGGAACCATATGCTGAAGGGCACTGATAAAGTGAATTAAATATGGCCTGAGGAGGACTCCGTACTTCTATGTTTGAGTCCTTGTGGACAAACTGTAACCTACCTGAATAGGTGGACGAGATTGAAAACCTAACTCAGGAGTATGTACCTGAGCACCTCACCAACAGCTGAGCGTTGGCCAATTTCAGCAGCCATACCTCAACCACTCATACACTCTTGAGTGTGCAAACTGTGTTTAAATAAGACAAACATCAGCCTGTAACCAATCCAGCTGTTTCTGTACCTCACTTCTGATTTCTGTACATCATTTAAAAAAATGTATAAATCTTCTTCAACCACATGGCTGCACTGAATTCTCTTTCAATCCGCTGTGATTCCGGGGGCTGCCCAATTCATGAATCATCCATTGCTCAATTAAACTCCTTTAAATTTAATTTGGTTTGAGTTTTTTTTTATCAGCATTCTTATCCAATTGAATTCCTTTGTTCTAGAATGGGTGCAGTCAGAAAAATCTTATTTTCCCAAAGTGTCTGTCTGAGAGAGGAGAGCCCATACTTCTGAAATGCATTCAGACCCACCTCCCTCATCTTCACTACAGAACTAAGGAATCACCCTGCAGGGGCCAGCCACTGAACCCATTATTCCAGATGCACTGGTGGAGCCCCAGAGGAAATGGGATAAAAACCGAGGTTCTCACCAAAGTTCCATTGAAATGCACCTCCTCTCTGTCGTGGAATCAAATCCTTAATCTGCAGGGCATGGCAGCAGATCTAGAAGGTGATGGTAACAGTGGAGAATATTGGAGCTGTGGGAGGGAACAACTGGGAAAAACAGGAGAAAATATACATATTTAACTCTGTGGACTTCAATCTATTTACATGTTAATTAGGTGGAATATTTCATAGCTAAAGACCTGATCTAGAATGAGAAATAGTAGAGAGATGACACATGGAGAATGCAAGAGTGGGAAGCTGAAGTTCAAGTTCTGATATTTGTTTACTGATACTTGTCTCCTGGCATGTCCAGAACTTTATGAGTACAGAACTCCTCTAATAGAGAAACAAACTCTCACAGGACATGGTCCTCAAAACGATCTCACCTTCAAATGGCACATTAACAATCTCAAACTTTTTTGGTTTTACCCTTTGCAAGTTGAACTCCTGGTATGGTGTGTCTGTCAATATTTGCACACATTTAATTGATATAAATATATTTCTTCTACATCTTCCAACTATTAAGATATATGAAAAGTCTAAAATTTTCTCCTTTCAAATTGGGTCCTCATCACCTCATTGGGTTAGGTAAATGCTTCAAGTATGATGGGGTATGTAAAGACGCATTGTAGTTTTTGCTAAATTTTTTATGTTTTATTTTATTTTTATTTTCAAAAATAAAGATGAAGCCTCACTATTTTTCACAGACTGATCTCAAACTCCTGGGTTCAATAAATCTTCCCACCTCAGCCTCTCAAATTTCTGGGATTATAGGTGTAAGCCACTGTGCCTGGACATTAATTACTTGTTTTAACTTTTTAATTGCATTTTTGTTTTGAAATAAGTGTAATTCAGGTGCTGGAAAAATTTTCTCCTCAGACTCCTCTGCAGCAGCTCCAGGGCTGACATCTGTGTGGAGTGGGTTCTGGGCCTGTCCTGCAGCTCTGCCCTCACCCTGCAGGGGAGGATGCTGTTTGGGCTCACAGAGCATATTCTCCCAATGTCGCTCTCCAAGAAGAAAGGGGCAGTTCCCTGGTTCACAATCCTCTCTCAGCAGCATCTAATGCTTTTGAAATTGTCTCTTGAAACAGTGATTTGTCATTACTATACCCAGTAAACTGCAGGGAGAGCCCAAGCATAGATTCTATGAAACCACCAGAGAGTCTGTTCCCTGGGACTGTCAGATGCAGTGACACAGTCAAGATCCATGGTGAGTCCAGAAACTTTCAGAGAACTCATAGGAGCTTCTTATTTCTTTTAGAATTCTCTATTCAAAGTCACGCCAAATAGCATCTCCACAGAGAGAACTACATGGCTCAAAGCTCGCAAAAATTAAAACACACATGTACACACACACACACACACACACACAGACGCACAGTGTACTATGGCTGATTTTTACAATAATTGGCTCCTGATTTTGGATTTTGCCTAGTGTAACCAAAGGTTTCTGAGAGAGCTCTCAATCAAATTAAAATTAATTTTTCCAAAGTTATGGCATGCTTGGAAGAAAAGTAATCACAGAAACAATGCGTGGTTAGTGCCATTCCCAAAAGACATTTTTTAGGGCTTTCAATATATAAAGGGGAAAAGCTGGCTAGAGGGGAAAGAGGAATTGCATGAAAACTTACATGTAGTAATGAAAAAGAAGCACATAGGGAAATAGAATATCAAGTGGTTCTCCTGCACTAAGTATTTCAAAGATGAACAAATTGTAGCTATCTGTGAAGATATCTAACATTTTATCTGTCTGTGGCTATTTTCTTAGGAATGAAAGGAAAATCAGTTTCTTGCATGGATCATCCTTTAGTTTTTTCCCCCCTCATGACGTAATGAATTGACATCATAAGTTTTTATTTTCATTTCATATCTTCCCAACTTTTTCCTTTCCAAAATATTTCAGAGGAAGCATTTTACCACAAAATAAGTTTCTGGGCTTCTGTTTTTGTTTTTGTTTTTTTCTTTCATGGGTAGGACGGATTATTTCTAGATAAATAGGTCCCAAGTTGTTATTATAGTTCATTGTTACCTATATTTCAAATGTTGTGAAGTTTCACATCCATTAATAAGAAAATAGTGGGAGAAAAAAGAGAAGTAAAACATATAAATAAAGGAGGAAATAACAAACAACAAAAAGGGGAAACAATCCTGGAAAACTGATATAGGCCTTGGAACTCTGAAGGCTGAACATGAATAAGGTAAACGACAAATATCTGAGACAGGTCTCAGTCAATTTAGGAAGTTTACTAATGTGGTTTGTCTGTGTCGCCATCCAAATCTAACCTTGAATTCTAGTCCTGCAGTTCCCATGTGTCATGGGAAGGACCCAATGAGAGATAATTGAATCACAGGGGCAGGTCTTTCCCATGCTGTTCTCATGATAGTAAATACTTCTCATTAGATCTGATGGTTCTGTAAAGAGGAGTTGCCCTGAGCAAGCTCTCTCTAGTCTGCCACCGTGTAAGATGTCGCTTGCTTTTCTGACAAGATTGTGAAGTGTCCCCAGCCATGTGAAACTGTGAGTCAATTAAACCTCTTTCCTTTATCAATTACCCGGTCTTTGTTATGTTTTATTAGCAGCAGGAGAACAGACTAATACGTTTATCTTGCCAAAGATAACTCACCCATGACCATCCTCAGGAAGTCCTGAGACATGTGCCCAAGGCGATTGAAGTACAGCTTGCTTTTATACATTTTAGAGAGACATGAGACATCAATCAATATATGTAAAATGTACTTTGGATTTTTCCTGTAAGGCAGGACGAATCAAAAGCACGGACTGCAGTTTAGAAGTAGATAAGAGACAATAGGTTGCGTTCTTTTGAGTACTTTATTAGCCTACCACTGAATGCACAATTTAGTCTGACTCAGTGGATCTTCGTTTTTACATAAATGATAGTGAAGAGGAAGCAATCAGCTGTGTATTGGTCTCAGGTTAGCCTCAGAGGAATCACTTTAAACAGAAGGGGAGGCAGATTTGCCCAAAGCACTTTCCAGTATGGCAGCCTCGTTGTCTGGAATACCACCCGAACTTCTTTGTCTCACGGCCGTGAATATCAAGGTCGCAGACATGCTAAGGGTGAGGTTAGAGCACAAGTTTAATAGGTAAAATAAAAAAAAAGCTGTCTGTCACAGAGAGGGGTCCCAAATGGGTTATCGTGCTGCAGTAAAATGTAAGGATTTTTATAAATGTGCTCGTGGGGAGACGGTGTCTTATCAGCATAGGGTGCAAAAACAGTTAGGACAATGTGTGCCATCTGCATAGAGCAAAGTCTCTGGCAACCCCACCTCATGCTTTCATTGGGCAGGCGGGCACTTTGCTTGATCTCCTCCACACTGCTTATCTTCTTCCACCGTGCATGTGCTAAGAAAGGCCAGAAGGGTTTTCTTGCCTGGTCCCAGGTACTTCCTCACAGGTGCCGGCGTCGCAAACCCCGTGCAAGCTTCCAGCTTTTCTATCTTAGTGTACTCCCAGAAAAGAAAAGGAATGTGCTTATTAAGGCTCACTGTTTTTACTGGGACCCATCCTATATATGTGAGGTTTGGTGATTACACCCAGAAACACCCTCTCTGTGGCAGAGTTGCTTATCTATATTTCACAGCCTGATTATTTAGTCTGCTTTTTGTTAGAAGTGATTTCTTTGAACTGTGTGTAATTAGAGAAGAAGTTATTTCTGAGCTGATTTTTGTTAGAAGAAAAGTTATTTTGCCAGAGACTCTCTCATCCCAACTATCTACCTAAATAATTTCTTTCTATCTCCTGTAACACCACATTGACTCTTCTCTTTAGCTTAGTAATTTTGGGGTCTCAAGATTTATTTTCCCTTCACAGTAGGAGGGTATAAAAGGAATTTTTGTATATAATTAAGTTGCTGGTATTAGACAATTTTCATGCTGCTATAAGGACATACCTGATGCTGGATAATTTATTTAAAAAAAAGGTTTAATTGTCTCACAGATCTACATGGCTGGGGAGGCCACAAGAAACTTACAGTCATGATGGAAAGGGCAGCAAACACGTACCTCTTCACATGGCTGCAGGAGAGAGAAGTGTCATGTGAAGAGGGAGGCCCTTTATATAACCATCAGGTCTTGTGAGAACTCACTCACTAATAGGATAAAAGCATGGAGAAAACACGTCCCGTGATTCAATTATCTTCACCTCCTTCCACCCTTGACATGTGGAAATTATTACTATACAAACTGAGATTTTGGTGGGAACACAGAGACAAACCATATCATTGATTTTATTTTATTTTAGAGTTTAAGTTGACTAGCTGTAAGAAAGCACAGTTTACCTTCTGGAGATTTCAAATAGGAAAAAAATATTTAAAAAGAAAATCACTGAAAATGTTATTTTGGAGACTTGTGGAAAGAAATATTTTAAAATTGAGTCCAAATTGTAGAAAATATTGTAAATTGAAAAACAAGTGGACAAGGTTAGAACCTAATAACAGATGCACTATAGTTTATTTTGAAAGAATATTTCTCCCTATAATTCCCCAATTTTATTGGAGACAAAATCATAATAGGACTAATTTATTTGTAAAATAAATTTTAGGCTTATTATACTTGGCCTGATTTTTTTGTATAAGATGCAGCAAAAATAATCACTTAACATATTAGCTCTCTTTTTATTGTTTTTGTTTTTGTTGTTGTTTGTTGTACATAGGCTGTTTTATTCATACATTGCTTTTGCTATTTTTTATAAGGAATCTAAGGGTAAGATCTTTAAAAGCCTCAAGCCCAGCCAATATTTTATCTGTGCCATCAGATAGCTATATGGATTGGTTTACTTTTTATTTTTTCAAGTATCCAAGAAAACTTGGGTTTCCTGGGCCTGTCAGAAAGCAAAATTATTTACTTACTACAGCTCAGGGCCCTGTTAAAAAAAAAAAAAAAAGGTAAAATGCCAGTTTTCCAAAGGGGCTTATATCAGCTGTACAGCTCTTCATTTTATAAAGTAAATCAGAAAATATGTCATTCAAGTTAAAGCCTTGGTAAAGTGACCATTGTCTCTAATTGTGCTCTGTTATGGAAGAAAGCAGATTTTTATCGAACCTATGCAAATAACTATTTTGATATAAGAATACCTACAGTTTCCAAATTTTGGAGAAATTATGTAGAGAAGAAGAAATTATATTTTCAATTTTTCTCAATAGAGTATAGTTAAAATTGTTAAAAACTGTGAATAGCTTAAAAGACAAAGTTTTCTTGATTCTGAACAATAAAACATAAGTAAATAGCAAATGCTTTAAAGAATAAGTTATAAAAATTATTTCAGTCTCCTTTTCATTCAGTTCATGCAATTACATCCTGTCCTGCTTGATATTAGATTAACAATCATCATAAATGCTTCAGGTCTCATGAGACTCATGGAAGTTTTTCTCTCTATACCAAAGGCACAATTTATAAAATTGTCAAAATTGTATATTGTATATTTAAGAGTACTACTCAAAGTTCTATAGATTATTATAAGCCACCTGATAAAGAATCAAAGTAAAACAACAATTGTGAATGACCGACCTTTTAGAATACCCCTGGTTAAAGACAGAATTGAGGAGAAAATTTGGTTATTTCTGTGATAAACAAAAATTTTAAATTATAATCATAAGTACTACTGATACTAAGACATATAAAAATCACTTGAATCTAATAGAATTTTGGAACATATACTCTTTACATAAGTATATTCAAATTATATAGTCCACATTTATATAAATATAGTCCAAAGTTAATAACCATTGCAAATTTGACATTACTTCCTGTATAATTTAACTGTACCAAATAAGCTAAATGTGTTTCTTTTCAGGGTGTTCAAATGACTGAATTTAGAATTTTATTTTGTGAACTTTGTCAAATATCAAAAGTTTACAACACTTGATATTACAAAATAGGATTACAGATTATTGTAAAATAAGTTATTTATTTAGCCACATGAAAACTCAGTGATTTCTAAAAAAAAGAAAAAAAATATTTTTGAAAGAGTAGAATTGATTTTCTAAAATATAACCCCTTAGAAGAACAGCATGAGAAAAGTTAAAACTATCAATTCTGAAAAATAAATCTATTAAATTATAATTACTTTTACCATAAAAATAATTTGCATAGATCTTTTATACAGTTTTATCTGTTTTTTAAATTTAAATGTGGATTAATTCTTCAAGAAACCCTGGTCAATCTGGCACAGGGGCCCAGATGCTAGCCTTGCATTAATGTTTAATTTATAAAGAAACTCTGAACCGATTTCATCTCTCAAAATTAGCTTTTACAATCTTACAAAGCCACTTCTTCTGTAATAGTCCCTGGGGCTGGGGTGGTTAAGTAGTTTCAATTTCTGGGCTTGTGTCTTGAGAGTGTGATCAATTTTTCTTGTCATTTTCTTCCAGGTCTGTAGATGGGGCTTTAATTGCTGTCGGTGTTTAAGATTTAGCTGGACTTGGTGTCCTTTTTATTTTTTATTTTATTTATTTATTTTTTCTGAGATGGAGTCTCACTCTGTCACCCAGGCTGGAGTGCAGTAGTGCAATATCTGCTCACTGCAACGTCCACCTCCCCGAGTTCAAGCAATTCTCTCTGCCTCAGGCTCCCAAGTAGCTGGGATTACAGGCACCTGCCACCATGCCCAGCTAATTTTTGTATTTTTTAGTAAAGATGGGGTTTTGTCATGGTGGCCAGGCTGGTCTCTAACTTCTGACCTCAGGTGATTTGCCCACCTTAGCCTCCCAAAGTGTTGTGTGTCCTTTTTAGACCTAGGATTCAAAGCTCAGTAAAGTAGCAGCACAAGGACTTTAAAAGTTATACAGATAGTTACATGAATGTCATAACATTAATTTCTATTGTCTTAAACTCTCAGTATTACTAAGTAGTTGAAAAACTTAATAACACTTACATAGGAATTATTTCAATGAAATTTAAAATTTGTCTCATGCCAGTTACCAAATAGCAAAAATAAAGCCTTCTGCACTGTGACTGTTTTTTCCTATGGGGAACTCCATGTACATAACCTGCAAGTCAACTCTAATGAAAAAAGTATTTGAATTAATCAGACCTAGGAAGAATGTGTCTTTACAAGTGAAGATTTTGGTTTCATAGAAAAATTTAGACAGTTAAAGAAAAGCCAACGACACTGAATATTATATTGAAAGAAAACATTTTATTTAGAACTTTAAGATAGAGGATTTTAACATCAGGAAATAATAGCAGTCAGAAACTAACAACAGTTAGAAGTTAACTCAGAGGCTAACTGCTGTAAGTAAGAAACAATGTTAAAGGAGCTGATGAAAAAGTTGAGATCCTCTCAAGCCTTCTCAAATGGAAAAAAATAAAAATGGCAAGATGCAACAAAAGTTAAAATTTTGGGTTAAAAAATTATAATACCTTATAATTTTATTGAATAAATCAATACTTTAAGACAATTTTGTCATTCTAACCAATCTTCAGTGTGTTAGTATATTTTCATATGAAAGCCAGATCCCTATAAAGACTATAATAAATTCTTCCCTTTCAATTATAGTCAACTCGATAACATGAAGTTTTTTTAATAAGTTAGCTTTCTATAAACCTTATTTTGACTTACACGAACCATTTATGGCATACTTGAACATCTTGTTTTATTCTAAACATTATTCTTTCATAAATAGTCACTTTTATATATAAAAAGTTATCCTACAAAATTCCCTCTCATATAATTTTTTTTTATTTTAACCTTTCTTACCAAAAGTACTTCTCTATGTCTAGAACTTTCTTTAAACCTCTCTTATTAACTGGGTATGTTTATGACATTTTATAATTAACCTTTGAATTAAATAAATTATTTTTCTAAAAACAAATGTTTTCAAAAAATATTTTCTTATAATATGTATTTTTAAAAAGTTTTCCTTATAGTATATATATTTTAAACAATTAGTAATGCATAAACATTTATATAATATATATTATTTAATTAAACTTTAGATTTTTAAATTGTAGAACAAGTTTATTTAAATGGTTTATTTTATTTCATTTACCTAATTTATTTTTTAAATAGCTTACCTAGAATATTTATGAAAACTGTAATACTTGTCCATTAAAGTTTTTCACCTATTAACCATGTTTATAACCCATGAAATTTAGGTGTTTACCTAAGTAAAACCTTATGATTAAGTAGATGATTATTTTTCTAGTAGCTAAGTATTTACCTATTTTTTTTTATTAAAACAACAATACTGAACATCTTGTTAAATTACAAAGATCAATCTGGTTTTAACTAGGTTTTTAATTTTATAATTTTATAATCTTAAACAGCAGGTGTTTAAAAAAAGGGTTAGATGTAAACAGTGATTGTTATCTTAAAACCAGTAGAAAGGTCCTGTAAACTGGAAAACAAAATATTTTAAAGCAAAAAATGTATCTTCATCTTTCTTTATAAACTTCACCAAAAGCTTATTACATGCTCTTACTATTCTAATTCTTAGTAACTCTAATTCATAGTGAGAAAGCTAAGATTACTTAATTTAACATAGCAAGACTTTAAGATTTTAAATACTGACGATAATTATGAGACTAAATTTACAAAATTAATATTTGTAAAGCAATGTAAAATTTAAAGCTGACTATACAAACACAGATGTACTTTTTTGTTTACAAAGTGTTTCATTAAACAGACTTAACTTGATTGGTGGTCTTTGACATACAGCTTAATTAGATGACTGGTCTTGGATTGGAGGCATTTAAGAAAAAGGGCCAAGAAAACATGCAGTTTTTAGGGCATAAACTACAATTATTTATGGAAATGTGCAAAGAAATGAGTAGCCTTCTATAGTGATGATCATTTCCTGCTAACTGCCCTCAGCCACCCCTAACGTAGCTTTCAAAGCCACCCCTAACATTGGAGCTTTCATTCACTATTGCACACACGAGGAATGAATCCTCTCACAGTGCAGTGTAATTCTGGTAACATCCGAAACCAAAAACATTACATAATCCAAGAAAGCAGAGCTTTATACCTGAGAAGAATCTACCAATGTTTCTTGAAACCACAAAGGAAGGAGAAAAACTCCCAAGAGTTTAGTGGCAAGATCCAAAAGGAAAACACCCTTCCTGCCCCAACCCAGGGGCCTGATGTGGAGCTGCCTGCTAAGGGAGCGGTGGTGTCCTCAGTGGCCCCTGGTGTCCTGAGCATCCCCTGGTGTCCTGAGTGCCCCCTGGTGGTTGTGAGGGACCCCTGGTTTACTGAGCACACCCTAGTGTCCTGAGAGCCCCTTGCTGTCCTGAGCACCTCCTGGTGTTCTGAGCGCCCTCTGGTGTTCTGATCACTCTCTGAAGGTCCTGAGCGCCCCCGGAGGTCCTCAGCACGCTCTGATGTCCTGAGGGCCCCCTGGTGGTTCTGAGCGCTTCCTGGTGGTTCTGAGTGTTCCCTAGTGTCCTGAGCGCCCCCTGCAGTCCTGAGGGTCCGCTGGTGCTTCAGAGCACACCCTAGTGTTTGAGTCCCCTGGTTTCCTCAGTGCCCCCAGATGGTTCTGAGAGCTCCCTGGTGTCCTGAGCACCGCCTGGTGGTTCTGAGTACCCCCTAGTTTCCTGAGTCCCCCTGGTGTCCTGAGTGCCCCACGGTGGTTCTGAGCGCCCCTGGCGTCTTGAGTGAGTCATGGTGGTTCTGAGCACCCCCTGGTGTCCTGAGCACCTTCTGGTTTCCTGTGCACCCCCTGGTGGTTCTGAGAAGCATCTACCATGCAGGGAGGTTTGTGTCTCCCTGCAGGCAGGTTTGTGTCTGAGCTCACACAGATGTCCCCTCACCGTGTCCCTCACAGTAATAAACGGAATTTTCCTGAGCTCTCAGGTTAATCATCTTAAGAGAGAATCATCTGAAAAGCGTGTCTCTGAGGACTGTTAATCTTCTTTGTACTCAAGGAGAGTCCCACTGAGAACTTCCACTTGAATTACTGATGTTATCACCTACACCCACCCCTGTCATGAAGCCTGCTGGACCAAGCTTATGCTGTTTTCAGTGAAAGTGAATCCACAGGGTTTCCAGAAAAGTCTGAGAATTCTTGGTCTGTAGTATTTCTCTGAGAGACTCCAGTAATTAACTTCACAGGGGACCTCTGCAAGCACAGAAGCAACAGACTGAGAACAGCCCCCACGTGGAGCAGCCACAGTTCACTCAGTCTGTTTAACGGGGAACCTCAATATTGAGAGTGATGACAAGTGAAGCCCAGATCATCATAGACCCGATGGTGTGGACACTGAGGAAGGGCACAGATATTGGGTGGCTCCTCACCAGGACCTGCAGGAGAAGAGGGGAAGAGCTGCTTTTCATTAGCAGGGAGGGGCCTCATTTCCATGTCTTTCTCCTGGGGACATGTGTGTTCTGCTCAGCAGGGCTCATCCAATCTATATCTCTGGGTTGCAAGGAGGGCAGGGTCAAAGGATTCCTGGGACTGGATGTTCAGGGTTGATGTGTCCATTGCTCTTTCTTTTTCTTTCATGTGGACGCTGTTAGGGTATCTTTATAGTATCAATGTTTGTCAACAAATAAGTACAGTAAACAAATAAAAATAAACCTTGCCCAGAGGAAATGGACATCTGCCTGTAGGCTGTGCAATTCGAGCTGTAAACCACTGTCCTCTACAATAAAGCAAAGTCTTCAGTTAGAATTTTAAAAATGCAGATCTACAAATTGTCAGAGCTGGAGTCCACAATTACTTCTATCCTGAGCTTATTTTGCCACATAGCTGTTCAGTTTCAGATGTATGTGCTTGTCTGAAGAAAAAGTTAATGCGGGGACATGTGGGCTTATCTGAAATGAATACAGAATCTTACAGGAGATTTGGGAGTGCCTTGTTTCTTCAATGGGCTCTTGCAGTTGAATGTTGCATCTGAGAATACCAGCAGGTGCATATACTTTCAGAAGAAAGCCCACTCCATATCCACTATTCCAATAACACCCATCTTCCCTTCTTCCTAGTTTGTAGCTTTTAGGATGTGCCTCCTACACTGACACTAGGTCCAGGTATCTGACTTTTTCCCCTAGAGACCTAAAGCAAACAGGATACAAGCAGAGACTTGAGAAGTGCATGCAGGAGGTTATTTTCTTTTTCTCAGATAGAGTCACTGCAAAGGCTTCATGATGAAAGAAGCTGAGGTCAATGAAGGAGTGTTTAAGACATTGGTCTTAAAAATCATGATGTCAGAGGCTTCAGATTGCTCTACTGTTCTTGTCTCACCCTCTGCCGTTGTCCTTTAGTTTTCCTGTGTTCTCCTCAGATAGAGTCTGTGCATTGCCACACTTTCACCTTTAATCCAGAGCCATCATCCTGGTTAGAATGGATTGTGCAGTGCAGGTAAGCACTGCCTGTTCTGACAGTGGAAACCTAGAGACACAGTCAGCTTCCTCTTCTGGCCTATGATCTTGACCAGGCGTCTCCAGGGGAAAAGCTCATTTTGGGCGATTACTCCCTTTTTTGTTTTCAGCATCCCTGGATTATTTACTTATATCTTACCTCTATTGGCTAACTTTACTCATTTCTACAATTATGGAAGAATGGGAGAGAAATCTGCAGTGGGAGATTTGTCTTCCTTCACATAGGATAAGGTTCTGGAAAAGTCCTTTCCTGTAGAAGCTTTTGAAGAAGGCTCGTGGTATGTTTCTCAGTAATTAATATCTGCAATTTTGATCTATAGGAAATGTCTTTGGAATGTACATTTTAGAATCTTGAGGTTTCTGGAAAGAAATTCCAGAAAACTTAGAAGTATAAGACCCTCTGGAACTGTTACATTTACTGAGTCCACATCTGTCTTCAGACGTCTGTAGTGCTTACCATGTAAGTGCCCTCAACAGCTTGTGGCTTCTGCAGCTTCTGCTCCAGTTAAGCAGGTGTCAATTGCCATTCTGCACATGCCTGTCTCTCCAGGTTTGGAGTGGGTAATATTTCTTGCAATTTCTGTTATTTCATAGATTCCAAAAAGTATTGACATCCAGATTATGCAGATTACTTTTGACATAAAAATGAGGGTGATGAATTTTATAATCTACGTTTTGGAGCATAAACCAAAAGTACAATCAAACCTCACCTCTGATGTGTTACTAGAGGCAGAATTCTGATCCTATTACATAGAAGTGGCACCTGGCATGACATCAATGAACAGGCAAGAAAACAGAGAAAGGACATGGCACAACGCTTATGAACAAGTCTCAACAATTTTAATTTTCTTCTGAAGAAGCTGAAATTGTGAAAGTGAAACAGTGGGACTGGTCGTGTCTCAGGTGATGTTGTCTTCTGAAAAGTATCTCCAATCCTGGGCTGGATCTGGTAGGTGCACCTGGGCTCCCTAACCTCAAACAGCAACTTTTATTTCTTAAACACAAGACATTCCAATGAGAAAGCTGTTCTCAGGTGAGCTGTCGAGCAGGGAGGAGTAGATGGAGGTGTCTTTGGCTTCCTAGAAATTGCTGAAACTTGAAGACCAAGGCCACCTCTGAGGGGCAGAGATCCACCTATGAGTACGTCACATCAGCTCTGTCTTCAGGAATCTTTGGCTGTGTGGGCGGATAAGGAATGTGATATATTCGTTTCTGCTAATGCAGTGTGCTTCAGAGAAAATAAAATTGAAAATTTAATAAAAAGATTTTTGCCATATTAGGGAAGAGAACCTGTAAAAATCATGGGAATACAAGTGCTGACTTCAGACCTTGCAGAAGGAGCAAGTCTGCAATTGAGAGAAGGAAGCGCCCTGCCCGAGGAAGCAGGTGCCCTGAGATCATCCCCTGAGAACTGCCCTCTAGATGCCGTGCGTCATGGAACCTGGGCTTGTGCCTGGGATGTGAAAAGTAGTGTGGAGAGCAGAGCACAGCTCCATTCCTCCTCCTACTGTGACCTAGGATGTGGCCTCTTCCTCTGAGCTTTATTCTAATAAGGCGTTAATATAAAATAACAGCAGTAACTTTACCTGTAACCTTTCAAGTATGACCAGTCTTGTTCAGACTTGTTATCACTGTTCTTGACCAAACCCTTAAATATCATAAAAATACCTGTGTGACCCATCACCTCAGGGCTCAGATGACCACATTACAGAGAGAAGCTCTGTTTTATTTCTGTCACAAACATGGTGTTAGAACTGGAACATATGTGTACCTTGTTATATAATTTATCTTAATTATGTTAAATTGGATAAAATTAGAATTAGTAAATTATACCTTAGAAATTTAGCTGAGGAGATATCTAAGTAAACTGTTGATGGTATGCCTTCATTTCTTTTTGCTTATCATAGTATAATGTGACAGGAGAGAGATAAATTAAAGAGGAAATTATTGAGCAACGTGCAATCAGCTATTTTATAAATAAAGGAGGTTCTCACATCTTCTGGAAACCCCATAAATTTTTTAAAAAGTTAAGTAACTTTAAGACATATTTCTACATTCTAGATACATGACTAATGTAAACTTAGATTTAAGTGCAAAAAGAGATAAAAAAGAGCAAAAAGAGATGTTACCTGAGCAAGAAACAAAGACAATTAACATGTCTCAGATCTTGAGGAAAATCAGAATTGTAACTTAAGTTTGATCTACTTTATGACCTTGCAGTGGCGTGGCCAAGGAGACAGGATCTCGCAGGATTTTACAAATTGTGTTTACAAGGAATTTGAATTGGGAGCATAGATAAGGTCTGCTGGTCACAGAAATACAGACTTAAAAGCCCATAATGTTAAAACATTCCTTTTAGTTTCAGGGGAGGGGGAATGGAGAGAGGGAGAGAGGACACAGGGAAGCTTACAGCAAAATTTTCACTGTTTATAGCTTTCTTAGGGAAGAAAACACATGCACAAATTGTGATGTTAGGAATATTTTAAGCATATATCTTCAATATTATTCATCCAGGACCAAAGTAAGTCCTGATGCAGGAAATGAGTGAGTTTCACTGCTTTCTGAGCCTCTACTCAACCCAGGAAGCCCGGCTGACACCTCCTCTCAGAGTTTTCTGCTTAGAAAACCAATAATAACACAAATGTTACTGGAAAGGGATCCCAATTGGGGCAAATCTACAGAATAAAAGGAAAGCAAGTTTATTAGGAAAGTAAGAGAATAAAGAATGGCTACTATATAGGCAGAGAAGTGGTATGGGCTGCTGGTTGTCCATTTTTATGGTTATTTCTTGATTATACGTTAAACAAAAGAAGGATTATTCATGAATTCCCCGGGCAATTCCCAAAGCTGAGGTTTCCTCCACTCTTTAGTTTCTAGGGAAACTTCCTGATGTTGCTATGGCATTTGTAAACTGTCATGGCTCTGTGGGGAGTGTCTTTTAGAATGTTAAAGCATAATACTTAGCATATAATGAGCAATGAGGACAAACAGAGGTCACTTTTGTCACCATCTTGGTTTTGGTGGGCTTCAGCCCAGTTTCTTTACTGTAAACTTTATTAGCAAGGTCTTTATGACCTGGATCTTGTGCAGACCTCCTATCTCATCCTGTGACTAAGAACGCCTTAGCTTACTGGGAATGTAGCCCAGCAGGTCTCAGTCTTATTTTTCCTACCCCTTATTCAAGATGAAGTTGTTCTGGTTCCAAAGCCTCTGACACAAATAATGTAACAGAAATATTTATAATATGAGCATGATTATATTGTCAAATATAAAATAAAATATCATAATGGCAACAATCAATTTTATGTGTCACCTTGACTAGACCACAGTCTCAACTACTCAATCACACACTAGCCTAGGTGTTGCTCCCATGGCTTAACACAGGTGTTAGTAGAGACTGCCATTATTTTTTCCCAGTCATGAAGTCACAAAGAGTGTTTTAGATAATCTAGGTGGTGCTGATTCAAAGAGAGTGTAACAGAAGACCATAGGACTCCGTGGTAGATGGCAGATGCAGGTCTTCCCAGGAATTCCAGCCTGTCTTTCCCGACGGCCAGCAGTATTGACCTTAGGCTGCCCGGGGAGACCCTACGATTACTGTCACCCAGAGCTCACTGCACAATGGAGTGTCCATCCTCAGCTTGTTGTAACCGAGCGAGTTAGAGAGAAACGCCGCACTTTGAGATGAATTCAGGAGTCCTTTATTAGCTGGCAACTGAGAGATGGCTAACGCTGGAAATTCTCTCAGCCCCGAAGAAGGTGCTAGATTTTCTTTTATACTTTGGTTTAGAGAGGGGAGGGGGAGCCTAACTGTAGCATTCTAACAGGAGTAAAACAGGCAAAAAAGTTGAAAGGACAAATGGTTACAGGCAAACAGTTCCAGGTGCAGGGGCTTTAAATTCATCACAAGATGATAGGTGTGGGGGCTCTGGGTGTTATCTGCCAGACACAAATGCAGGGGCTTTAGGGTACCATCACCTGGCCAAATTCCTGGGAACTGCGGACACAGCTTGCCACAGTACCTTATCAGTTAATCGCACTCTTTGAGATGCTGGGAGTCAGCTTAAACAAGTTAAGTCCTTGAGGAAGGGGGTGGGTGAGGAGCCCTTGATGTCTTACAAATGAAGGAGCCAAATGGAGTCTGTTCCAGCTTCCTGAGCTAAGGGAGAGTCTATTCATATTAAAACAAGATAAGGTATCACAAGCTCTCCTCAAAGTCACAGGTGAGAGTCCAAACTTTGTGACAGTGTGAGAAGCATAAGATCAGCTCTACATCAACATCCCATTGGAGAAAACTAGTATTATTCCCTTCATGACTAATGCCTGCTTCATTTTCCAAATGCCTCCATGCACAGAAGACAGCAGGATTTTCCAGGCAATAGTGAGTGAGGAAGACCCCTCAGCCTACCCAGCTCCTGCGGACCTGAGCCTTGGAATTTAGACTACAGAAAACACATCCTCTGTTTTCAGGAAAGAGAAGAAGAAAGGGATCTGTGAGAATCAAGTCTACTGGGAAGGAAAATGGATTAGCAGAAAGAGGGTCAACTGAATCAGTCTGAGTCAGATGTGCCCAGTTTCACAAGATGAAGGGGGATTGCTGTGAAAACCATCAGGTTTTAAGAACCCTGACCCTGGGTGAGCCTCTCTCTTGGCTCCCATCAGAACTCAAAGCCTGTTCTAATCAGAGATTCCCATGGAGGTCTCTGCCCTGAGTCTAATTGGAAAACATTCCCCAGGTTTCCCTGGGATTCCTCAAAACTCTCACCCTGTTGACCACGAAAGGATTATTTCTGCCCCCAAAGTGACACTGTGGCTTCTGTGGAGGTGAGGATGTGTCCTCCTGTTTTAAAAAAAAAAAACAGACACAAAAAGGAAAAAAAAGGTTGCATTTAGAGACATCAAATATTAGTACAGGATTGTAAATCTGGAGAAGTTCCCCGGGGAAATTTGACAATGAGGCCGCCCCAGGCCATCACAGGAAGCCAGCCCTCAGCAGCACCTGCACCTGCCCTGGAGACAGCCCCGTGCTCAGTGTGCTGTCGCCCCCTGGTGGTCCCAAGGGACCCCTGCAGGGAGGTTTGTGTCTGGGCTCACACTGACTTCCCCTCACTGTGTCTCTCGCACAGTAATAAACAGCCGTGTCCTCGGCTCTCAGGCTGTTCATTTGCAGATACAGTGAGTTCTTGGCGTTGTCTCTGGAGATGGTGAATCGGCCCTTCACAGAGTCTGCGTAGTATATGGTACTACCACTACTACTAATGTATGAAACCCACTCCAGCCCCTTCCCTGGAGCCTGGCGGACCCAGTTCATTTCATAACTACTGAAGGTGAATCCAGAGGCTGCACAGGAGAGTCTCAGGGACCCTCCAGGCTGTACCAAGCCTCCCCCAGACTCCACCAGCTGCACCTCACACTGGACACCTGCAAACAAAGAGACACCAAGGTCAGAAACTGCCACACATATCCACTGTTTCTCTCACTCATATCCACACACACTAAATCTCTCTAGTTTTCCATGAATCACCTTCTAAAATAGCAACAAGGAAAACCCAGCACAGCCCCAACTCCATGGTGAGTCCTCTGTGTTCAGTGCTGATCACCAAGTGGAAATGCCTTGGAATCCAGGGCTAAGGCACCTCTCTGAGAGCTGCAGGGTCAGGGTTGGGTTGGTTTTCATCAGTAGAGGGAGGGCCCTATTTGCATATCTCCTACTATATAGCAAGCTCTAGGGTGGGACCCTTGAGGAGTAGGCTGTACCCAGATAAGACGACGGTGCCCTGTAGAAGTTTGCTGGCAATGATTGCATTTGGAAAATATGCTGTCTTATTATGAAATTGTGCTGTGATAAACACTTTGCACTAATCACCCTATTTCATTTTAAATATTCATGTAAACTATGTTCTGTAGGAGACAATATTTTCTCCATTTACAGAAGTGGAAGTAAACCCACACATGGGGGGGCTCTGTATGCGTCTCGGAGCTCATGTCTGGGATGAGTGAACCCCGGTATCTGGCCCTGTGCTCTTCATCACTGTCTCTGACATCCCCCTAAACCAACTCCAGGACAAAGCTGGATGTGTCTAGTGTTTTTATCAGAACCCACATTCCGTAATAAGAGCATGTGTGGTTTTGCTGCCCTCCAGCACTCTTCTGAAAATATGGAGAGAACTAGGATCCAGGCACATTAATTTTCAGGTACTTCTGACATTGAACTTATTTTTTCTGTCTTTCTATTACTCTTTCCTTGTCTAAGTTTCCATTTGTTTGCTTGTAAGACATTTTATGAGGCTTAATTGAAAGATAATAAACTTCACATATTTAAAATGTACAACTAATAAAAATGATGTAACTGCTATCATTACCAAGAAAGTGGACAAGTGAATTCTTCTCAACATTTCCCCTTGTTCTGCTGTATTCCTCCTCCTCTCCCCCTCCCTTCTTCTACCATTACCCCAGGCAACTACTTATCTTCATTATTTTACTTCAGATGCATTTTTATTTATCAGAATTTATAAAAATGAAATTACATAGTATATATTCTTATTTGTTTAGCTTATTTTACTCAACATAAATACTTAGATATTTTACCTTGTTGCTCTGTGTATCAGGCATTAATTTATTATAAATGACGGGTAGTATTCCAGTGAACACATTTACCATAATTTGTTTTTCTATTAAGAAGCTTAACAATATTTGTCTGGGCGGCAAGCCACCCAGGTGCTGAGGCAAGAGACTGAGGGCACAAGCTGTTCCAGTGTAATGAAGAGAATATGTAAAATAAGAATAGTTGTACTAGAAATAGGTTATAGATATGATTATATATGAATATCATTAATCATCAGTCTGTAGCATTACTCTTTATTCCAACATTATAATAATCCTTGCTCTACAATTATAACCTAGGAAAAACCAGGCCATACAGCAATAGGAGCTGAAGGGACACAGTGAGAAGTGACCAGAAGACAGGAGTGTGAGCCTCTGTCACGCCCGGACAGGGCCACTAGAGGGCTCCTCGGTCTAGCGGTAGCGCCAGTGCCTGGGAAGGCACCCATTACCCATTACTTAGAAGACCTGGAAAGGGAGTCTCCCTTTCCCCGGGGGAGTTAGAGAAGACTCTGCTCCACCACCTCTTGTGGAAGGCCTGACATCAGTCAAACCTGCCCGCAGCCCTCCAGAGGCCTAAACGTCTCTCTGTGATGCTGTGCTTCAGCGGTCACACTCCTGTTTCACTTTCATGTTCCACTCTGTACACCTGGCTCCGCCCTCTAGATAGCAGTAGCAGAATTAGTGAAAGTATTAAAGTCTTTGATCTTTCTGAGAAGAGAATGGAATAAATAATGACCTAAGCTGTCCTCTCTCTCTCTCCGCCTCGGCTGCCAAACAGGGAAGTGCCCTCTGTCTGGTGGACACGTGACCCACATGACCTTATCAATCATTGCAGATGACTCACACTCCTTACCCTTCCCCTTTTGCCTTGTATCCAATAAATAACAGCGGAGCCAGGCATTCGGGGCCACTTCTAGTCTGTGTCTTGGTGGTAGTGGTCCCCTGGGTCCGGCTGTTTTTTCTTCTATCTCTTTGTCTTGTGCCTTTATTTCTACGATCTCTCATCTCTGCACATGGGGAGAAAGATCCACAGACCCTGTAGGGCTGGCCCCTACATATTTGCATTCTTTTTTTACTCTGGGTCTTATTAAAAATTCTTCTACACAGCTTGGAAATGTACATAGATGAATAATATATTTTACTTATGTTTTACAACAACAGTATCAACAAAAATAGATAAACAGAGGAGCTGGAATTTTGGAATTTTTTTTTTTGAGACAGAGTCTCACTCTGTCGCCCAGGCTGGAGTGCAATGGTACGACTTGCAAACTCTGCCTCCTGGGTTCAAGCTATTCTCCAGTATCAGCCTCCCAAGTAGCTGGGATTACAGGTGCCTGCCACCATGCCAAGCTATTTTTTTTTTGTATTTTTAGTAGAGACAGGTTTTACCATGTTGGCCAGGGTGGTCTCAAACTCCTGACCTCAGGTGATCCACATACCTCAGCCTCCCAAAGCGTTGGGATTACAGGTGTGAGCCACCACAACTGGCCATTTTTTAAAAATAATACTTTAGATACTTGAAGTTTTAAGATAAACAGCAAATGTGAAATCTAGGGAGAGGCAAGTTCTTGTAAAGAGTAACAAAGCTGGGGTATGAGCTGAACTGAGGCAGAGTATGGCATGTAAAATGTAGGCTATTACAAGATGAAAACACACATATATATTGGATTGCTTGAAGTCAAGTGTGGTAAATGTGTTGTAGGGTGAATTTCTTAGGGACCACAGACTGAAGAGTTTTCCTATCCTATTGAATCCTTTTTCCCCAAAATGGGGACAGTCACCAAAATTGTTCTGTCCCATTGTGTCTGTCTAGGAGAGAAAAAGTGCCCACCCTTCTGAAAAGCGTTCAGACCCACCTTCCATATCCCCACTGGAGAACAAAGAAATTATTCTGGAGGGGCAAGCCACCAAAACCAGTATCTTAGGGGCACTGGGGCAATCCCTTAGGAACTGAGATGGGAAAAGAGGTCTTCACCTAAGTTCCATTGAGAAGTATCTCCCCTCCTTCTTATTTAATCAGAGCCTTAATCTGCAGTTCTAGTCAGCAAATCTGTAAGGTGATAACACCGAAAGAGAACGTTGGAGCTGTGGGAGGGAACAACTGGGGAAAACAAGAGGACTCCACAGCAGGGAAAAGAGCAAGAACACACAGACCAACATCTCATCTGGAGGAAGTTCAGAAACATTGGGAAGGTCACACCCAGACTCATGTTCACAATATGAACCCAGGAAAGGTCAGAAAATCTCCCTTTATTCTATTGCTTTCCACCAATTTCACAATTGTCAGTTAAATAACATTTAAATCCACCTGAGGGAGCTGAACATGATTCTCTGGAGGAGGGAACAGGTGAAGAGACAAAGCCAAGCAGGAAAGAAAAACAAGATATCACTGGAGGATCTGAAGTCTCTGGTGGACACAGAAGAACAGACTTCAACTTTGATGTCCACTGCAAAAGTGAATGTCAAATATAGTTCTGAGAAGATTCACAGATACTTCCACAGTAAAGGCCTGGCAAAGGTAAAGTGTGGTCAAATACAGGCAGAAATGCATAAAATGAAATAATAAGCCAGTATCCACTGTCCATCCCAGTATCTGTGGCTATCAACAATTATTACATACATTAATGAGAAGTACCAAAGTCGTAATAAACAAATGATCAGCATGAGATTTGTAGATGAAACAGATATTATAAATATCTAATTAAACAAGATATGTAAAGTAACTATGATTCATATGCAAGAATCTCTTAAAGAAATCGTGGACATAGATAGGGAACTGAAATATGAAAATACTAAGAATAAATCAAATGGAAATGCGTAAGAAATCAAAAGCAATGCTGTATGAACATCGAGCAATCTTTTGGCACACACCTCAGTAGAGCTGGCTCAGCTTTTCAATAAAACCATGTGATTAGTATGTCACTAGAAATTTCACAAAGTAAATTGCAAACGAAAAGAGAGTGAAGAAAGAAACTAAACATTAATATCAAAATTATAGTATGTGTATATTTTAAATCTGAGAAGGAGAAATTATAAATACACAGAAACTATTTGAAAAAGATAATAGCGAAGAATGTTCCCAATTTTGTGAAAGAAACTGAACTACAGATCCTAGAAGCAAAGAGAACCCCAAACAGAGTAAATAAAAACAAACACATGAACCACACATCCACCAAGGACACAGTGGTGCACAAGAAAAAGCTCACACATCACACACCACACACACATTTTCTCAGCTTTATTCTTTTTACTTAGTTGTTTTAAAATTATTTATATTTATAGTATTAAGTAGTAGTCTAAAATTAAAAGATATTATCCTATGCATAACTCTGTCTATGCATACCATTATCAAATACACGATTTGGTGCAAATGAATGTAACTACATTGTTAGTTAATTAACTATTTCAAAGAAAAATGGTATTTATTCCTGTCTCTGTGTTGAATCATTTGTAATGTACGCCAATATAATTCTTTTTAATTAAAGGATTTTTCAAAGTTGGCACATAATAACTGCTTATGTTTATGGGATACAGTGTGATATTTGAATACATGTGTGCCACTTGGTATGACCAAAATCAGAACAATGAGCAAATTCGTCAGTTCAGACACTAACATTTATTTGTGTTGGTAGCATAGAAAATTCTCTCTTCTGGCTTCTTGTAAACAGAAAACGTACAATATATTGTTAACTGTAGTCACCCTACTGTGCTGTAGAACACTAGAGCACATCCCTCCTGTCTACCTGTAATTGTGTGTTTGTTAACAAACCTCTTCTTATCTCTCAGCCTTCTCTCATTCCTGGCATCTCATCACCACTACTCTACTATTTACTTCTAGAAGTAACGCTGAGAAATGCGGTATTTATTTTTCTGTGTCTGACTCATTTCACTCAACATAGTGGTGTCCCATTCCATCCATGTTGCTTTAAATGGCAGAATTTCATTGTTAAGGCTGAATAATATTCCATTGTGTAAATATATCACATTTTATGTATCCATTCATCTGTTGATGGACACATATGTTGATTTCATATCTTAGAAATTGTGATTAGTGCTGCAATAAACATGGGTGTACAGGTATCTCTTCAATATTAGTTTTTTCTTTTAAATATTTAAATAGATATATACTTAGCAGTTGGATTGCTGGAATATATGGTAGTTCTATTTTTTTCCCTTGATGGCTGCACTAATTTACATTTCCACCAGTGGTCTATGAGTTTTACTTTCTAGGCATCCTGGCCAGCTTTTAATAAGTATGTATGTATGTATTTGTTTTTCAGATAACAAACTTTCTAGCAGAGATGAAGGGTGAAAAGACATCTCATTATGAATTTGCATTTTCCTGAATATTAGTGTATATATATGTATGTATGTATACTAATAGGTCTATCTATCTATCTGTCTGTCTATGATCTATTTGCCCTTTGCAAGGCTCTTTTTTTTTTTTTTTGAGATGGAGTTTCACTCTTGTTGCCCAGGATGGAGTGCAATGGCGCAATCTCAGCTCACTGCAACCTTCACCTCCTGGGTTCAAGTGATTCTCCTGCCTCAGTCTCCCTAGCAGCTGGGTATACAGGCGCCCACCACCACGCTCAGCTAATTTTTTGTAATTTTTTTTTTTGAGATGGAGTTTCCCTCTTGTTGCCCAGGCTGGAGTGCAATGGTGCCATCTCAGCTCACCGCAACCTCCACCTCCCAGGTTCAAGTGATGCTCCTGCCTCAGCCTCCCGAGTAGCTGGGATTACAGGCGCATGCCACCATGCCCAGCTAATTTTGTACTTTTAGTAGAGACAGGGTGTTCTTTATGTTGGTCAGGCTGGTGTCGAGCTCCTAACCTCAGGTGATCTGCGCAACTTGCCTCCCAAATTGCTGGTACTACAGACATGAACCACCACACCCGTTGAGCTTATTTCACATGCTTGGTAGTAATCCTTTGTCATATTAATAGTTTTCAATATTGTCTATCATCTGCAGGTCCTCTCTTAACTCAATTGTTTCCTTCAGTGTGCAGGAGCTACTCTTTCTTGATAGAACCTGGACAGGTGTGCTGAGGTGCTCTGGGACATTGGAGGGGAAGAGATGGACCCAATATCCAGAACCAGGTGACTTTTACTCACCATGTAGTTCTGAGTTTATGGTTTGAGCAGATGCAGAAATTTGTCCAGGACTTCTGGGGGGTAAAGAATTTGAAGGGAGAATGATATAGCTTATTAGTCAAATAAATGAAGATATCATAATTGTGCATATATTCTTGTAAGTGGGGGTAGCTCAGCAGTGTGTCTTCATCTGCAGAAAAGAGGAAATTATGTCTGCTGTGAAAAGAATGCATGATTTTTGACATATGTGGTTATTATTAATGACAACTGAGCCTGGATACTAGGTCATGTTATAATACTAGTGGAAAGACTCAATAGAAGAAAAAATGTCATAGCAACAAAAACGAAGCCCCGAAGATTTGAATGAAATGGCTTCAAATATTACTAGTCATGAACATGCCAAGAAAAATCAACTGCCATAATCAGAAGTATAATTCATGACCACTCATGTGATTCATGTTGGGAAAATATAAAATATCCATTTAATGGCTCATGACCACCTCACAAAATGACTCAGAGAAGAAGTTAAGAACAGAGGGTGACCTTACAAGAAGCAGAGGCCAAACATTTGAGGAGAGGTAGAATGTGTGTCAGAATTGTGAGAAGTAGAAACCTGAACTCTGCAGAGAAGCAGCAGTGATCAAAGGCAGTGCTGAGTCCACTTGAGTTTAGTGGTGAATACAGAAAAGATAGATTTCTCTGCCCTCATTGTTTTTGTTCTCAAGACTCTCTTGGAAGCTCAGTTGTGAACATTGGAAATCTACTTAAAACTTAATCATGGCAAGCAATTTTTCACTGAAGAAAATGGTAACAATGTGGGGGTAATTAAATTTTGGTTATAAATATTAGTTGTTGAAACCTCCACGTCAGTCTCTAGTAATTTCTATCATAAAATGCTCAGCCCCATCAATGGAGTCTTCTTACCCTATCAGGGATGAGTGTCCATGTGGGCACGTGGTGCAGTCACGGAGGCTGGGGAGATGGTCTGTCCAGGCTTTCCTGGTCCTTCAGATGAGAATTGCAGAGTTGTCTCCTCCCCTATTCCCACCAATTTTCATATTATTTCATGTGACCCTTGAGAATGTATTGCCATGTCTCTACATAATAGGAGTCAAATCTGGCATGAAGCTGACATTCTGGGTGTATCAGTGTAGAACTGGGCAAAGAAACTGCCTGCCTACATGAACTATTGCATTATCCAGGCCTGGAGCCTCTCACATCTAGGCTTTGAATTTTATTCTTGATTTTCTGTGTTGTTTAGTCAGTTCAAATGTTCTTTTTAACTTTCTACTGAATGTTAACTTTCTCACATAATAATCTAGAGGCATAAAGACTAAAAAATTACTTATTTGGAAATTAACCCAAGTTCCAGGTGAGGCCATAGTTTGTGGTGATAATGAGACAGGGAGAAGCATGGCTGGAAACTATGACTGTGCTTATAAATGCTTCATGTTAACAGGGAAGACCCTGTACACCTAAGAGATTTAGACACTGCCACTGAGAACCTCGACCTAATATTATTTGTTATGAATTGCACCTCAATGATAAAACTCTAGGCTTTTGACTAAAATTGCTATTACTAATGTAAGCTTTTCTTTGGAATACAGCCCTCTATCTGATGTAAAATCAGCCCAGATGGCAGAAGTGATTGTATTTATTAGAACTTCCAATTTGTCAAACTAGGAAACAAACACATTTTAGGGCAGTGCATGGCTTTGGGATGCTTTGTTAACAACAGAGCATCTCATATGTTCCGGAACACCCACCAAAATGGGCAAGTTAGGGAACTCTTAGAAGCACTCCTTTATCCCAGATTCCTGGCAAATATAAAGACGGTAGTCATTGCAAAAAGAGGTAACATTGAAGCTAAGAAAACTGCCACAGCAGATCATATCCTCAGAAGAGAAAACTGCTGAGAGGGTCACAGATGTTATTAAAGCATAACTTTAGGTCCTGATTTTAAATAAAAATAAATGAAAAAACATCTAGTTATTGACTTTGCTTAGATAATTTGTGCCAGATTATTACAAATTAATATTTGATGTATTTCAACTCTTCAATTTATAGACAAATTCATTATCCAATTAAACACTTTGAGGAAACAGCAGAGGTTAATTCTTGATGAAGTGTAACAAGACAGCCACAAAATCCTGGGAGAACCCTATCATTGGGACCTAGACAGAAACCAAGCCACAGGGCCCTTTGGACACATTTAGGTAAAATTTCCTCAATTTCCACCCTTAAGGGGATGTGAAAGTATTTTATTTATAATCTATATGTGTTCTCCGTGTCTTGAAATAATTCATTGACAAAAGGCTACAGCCCTTTCAGTTGGTTAAACACTTCGGTATTTTGTGTTTTTAGCCTGTGACCTGCCAGGTTTTGCATGAACTGAGTGAAGTACACCCATGAAAGGAACTATTATAAAATGATTCTGTGAGGTATGGCTGATACTAAAGTATGACACTGTTATAACCTCCCACAATCTTCCACATAAGTTTATGGGTATCCATGTGCAGAAGAAAATAAATGGACTGGCTAGACACAGTGACTCACTCCTGTAATATCAGCAGTTTGGGAGGCCAAGGCGGGCAGATCAAGAGGTCAAGAGTTCTAGACCAAGCCTGGTCAACATGCTGAAACCCTGTCTCTAATAAGGTGTTCTTACATTAAAATTATCACAATTTTAAGGAACCCTTGAACTCCCTTGGCGACATGTACTCCTACTAGCACTGTGGCATTATGGTCCTCTGCCTCAAGGATGTATCTGTTATTGCCCCATGACTTGATGGCTGGAACAAATACATTTAGAGATTTTACCTCCAATACTAGCCTTTGCCATACAGTATTTGGATGAGGCAGAACACTCAAAGAGATTCATGTATTATGCTCATTCCTATCACCAACAGATTAAAGCTGCCATTCCAGTATGTCTTTTTAACAACAGCCTGTTTCAATTTTAGGCAGGAAAATTTATGTATTAGAAAAAATTTTAGAGAAAAACTTTCCTTGAAACACTGGAAGGAATCTTATTAAATATTTTTATGAACACTACAGTAAAACTCCATGGAGTCAGTCCTTGGGATTTGTTTTGCAATTCAATAAGGAATTAAAAATTCCACACAAATGGAACACTACTCCCATAGAGGGAATTTGTACATACTTAATTAATAGTCCAACCTTCACTAAGAGGCACTCTCCTATGGGAATCCAAAACTTAACAGATCTCTGTAACCTGCTGAAGTCTCAATGGACTTTACCTCTATGCAGCCATAAATGCAAAGGCAAATTTTGTATTTTTGTGCATGAGTGATCTGGACACACCCTTTGCATTTTAACTGAATTTCATGGAAACATGATTACTTACTAGGAACTCATATTTAATGGTATTCAAAAACTCATCACCCTTGTGATGGGGTGACAATAGGTGCCTTGGAGAAATATGCTGATGCTTCACTTGAACAAGTTCTAGACTCTTCCCTTGGCTTCATGGTTTCTCACTCAGTACAGATATGTCTAGGAACAAAACCCAACACTGACATCCAGCAGTTTCTTCTCTTGTGAAATTTATTTGTTTCTTTGTTTTCCTGTCTTTCTCTTATTCTCTCTCTTGCCTTCTCATTATGATTTTCGCTATATCATTCTGAAACCTGCTAACATTACGCATCTTGAATCATGCCAATTTCCAGCCTCAAAAAGAAAAATGTGCAAACTCATAATTTTCTTAACAAGGTTAGAAAACTTCCTGCCTTTCCACCAGATTCATTAGAGACTCCCAATGAGAATCATGATGAAATGTTGTGTGTTTTTGGATCATACCTCAAAACTGAAACTGCTTTTTATAATGGTTTTTCCGTTTGTATTTCCACTATTGTGCAAAGTTGTATGAAGACTCCAAAATAAAAGAAAAATAGAAATACCTGATGACTCAGCAAATCCTATTCTGAGTATGTTCTAAAGAAGATAAAATCACTGCCTCATAAAGGCATGTGCACTCCATGTTCTTGCAGCTCTATTCACAATAGCCCAGATATGAAAGCAACCTCAGTGTCTGTAGGTGGAGAAATGGATATAAAAATATAATCGATGTAGGCAATAGAATATTATTCAGCCATAAATGTTGATATCTTGTCATTTGCAACAATATGAATGGAAGTGGAAGCCATAATGTTAAGTTAAATAAACCAAACACAGAAAGACAAATATTGCATCTTCTTACTTTTATGTCACAACTAAAACATTGGATTTCCTGAAGACAGAGAGTAGATTGTTGTTTACCAGAAGCCTGGTTGGATACAAGAGAGAAGAGGATAAAGAGAGGATGATTACTGAAGACAGATATACAGTTATATAGGAGAAATACAACCTAAATGTTTGATAGATGAGTAAGGTGACTATAGTTAACGATAATCTAATGTATACGTTAAAATAGCCAGAAGAGAGTTGTTCAAATGTGCCTAGCATAAAGAAAATATACACGTTTAATGTGATAGATATACCAATCCTGATCTGATCTTTACACGTTTATAAATGCATCAATATATTACATGTTCCCATAAATTAGGTATATCTATTATATGCCTATAAAATAAATATATAATCTCCATGGCATGGTTTTACAAAAATATTAAAAAGTTCTCCAATTTATGTAAAAATACAAAAGCTTTAAATAGCCAAAATAATTTTGGGTAAAATATAACTGAATATATCATATTCTATAATTTCAAAATCAAATCTATGTAAATCAAAACAGTATAATGCTGACATTTAAACAGACATAGAATCCAACAGAACATTACAGACAATCTGGAAGTCCACCAATTTCTTCCCAATAAACTGATCTTTGATGAACTGCCAAGAACACACAATAGAGAAAAAACAGTCTCTTCAACAAGTGCTGTGAAAACTGGGCATCCATATGCGGAAGAAAAAAAATGGACCTTATCTCACACAATACATATAAATCAGCTAAAAATGGATTTAAGACTTAAACAAAGACCTGAATATGTGGTACAAAGTTATCCATGTATGGTTTGGAACAAAATGCAAATTAGTACAGCCATTATGAAAAAACAGCATCAAGATTACTCAATGAATTGAACATAGAATATACCCACTTCTGAGTATACATCTAGAGAAAATAAAGTGAGTGTGACAAATATATGTTTATTGTGAGATTATTCATAATAGCCTAGATATAGAAAATAGGTCAATGTCCATCTATGAATCAACAGATAAAATGTGGCTTATTCCTACCTAAAAGTGAATATTATTCTGCCTTTAAAAACGAGGAAATTCTAACATGTACAACACATAGAGAACACTTTGCTAAGTGGAGTGAGACACAGAGAGTCAAATGTTGCATGAACTCATTTATATGTAGAATCTAAAATATTCATGCTCTTGGAAGCAAAGTAGAATAGTAGTTCCCAGGGGCTGGGAGGAGGAAAAAATTGGCTGATGTTGGTCAAAGGTTATAACTTTCAGTTATGCAGGTTGATACAGTTTGGCTCTGTGTTCCCACTCAAATCTCAGGCCAAATTGTAATCCCTACATGTTGAAGGAAGGGCCTAATATAAAGTGATTGGGTAATGGGGTGGCCTTCCTCTTTGCTGTTCTCCTGATAAAGTTCTCAAGAGATCTGATGGTTTAAAAGTGTGGCACCTCCCGTCTCCCTTGCTGTCTCTCTCCTGCCATCTTGCAAAGAAGATTTTTGAATCCCCTTCACCTTCGGCCATCATTGTGTGTCTTGATGCCTCCCAGTAATGCTTCCTGTTTAGCCTGAAGAACTGTGAGTCTACTAAACTCTTTTCTTCATAAATTACCCAGTCTCAGGTAGTTCTTTACAGCAGTGTAAGAATCAACTAATACAGAAAATTTGCACTAGGAGTGGGCACTGCTATTAAGATACCTAAAACTGTGGAAGTGACTTTGTAACTGGGTAATGGACAGAGGCTGGTAAAGCTTGGAGGGCTCACAAGAAGACAGGAAGCTGTGGAAAAGTTTGAAACTTTCTAGAGGCTTACTGAATGGTTTTGAACAAAATGCAGATAGTGATATGGACAATAAAGTCCAGGCTGAGGTGGTCTCAGATGCTAAGATGAAGAACTTCTTGTGAACTGGAGTAAAGCTCACACTTGCTATGCTTTAGCAAAAAGACTAGTGGCATTTTGCCCCTGCCCTAGAGATCTGTGCAATGTTGAACTAGGGAGAGATGACTTAAGGTATCTAGCAGAAAAAATTTCTAAGTAGCAAAGCATTCAATATTTGCCCTGGCTGTTTCTGAAAATGTAAGTCATATGCATTCATTAAGAGATGGTCTGAAATTTGAACTTATGTTTAAAAGGGAAGCAGATCATAAAAGGTTGAAAAAAATTGCAGCCTGACCATGTGGTAGACAAGAAGAATCCATTTCCTGGGAAGAAATTCAAGCGGGCTGCAGAAATTTGCATAAGTAATGAGGAACCCGATGGGAAAAACATCTTGAGAGCATTTCAGAGATCTTTGCTGCGGTCCCTCCCATCACAGGCCCAGAAGCCCAGTAGAGAAAAATGGTTTCATGGTCCAGGCCCAGGACCCGACTGCTCTGTGCAGCCTTGGGACATCCCTGTCCCTCTCCTGCCAGCCATGGCTAAAGGGGCCAAGGTCCAGCTCAGGCCATTGCTTCAGAGGGTGCAAGCCCTAAGCTTTGGTTGCTTCCACGTGGTGTTGAGTCTGCGGGTGCACATAAGGCAAGAGTTGAGGTTTGGGAGCTTCCTCTTAGATTTCAGATGACGTATGAAAATGTCTGGGTATTCAGGCAGAAGTCTTATGCAGGGCTGAGCCCTAATGGAGTACCTCTACTAGGCCAGTGTGGAAGGAAAATGTGGTGTTGGATCTCCCACACAGAGTACCCACTGGGCACTAGGCACTAGATGCCTAGTGGATCTGTGAGAAGAGGGGCACCTTCCTCCAGACCCCGGAATGGTAGATCCACCAACAGCTTGCATGCTGTGCCTGTAAAGCCATAGAAACTCAATGCCAGCCTATCAAAGCAGTCATGGGGACTGTACCACGTTGAGCCACAGGGTGGAGCTTCCTAAGGCCTTGGGAGCCCAACCCTTGTATCAGTGTGTCCTGGATGTGAGACATGGGGTAAAAGGAAATTATGCTGTAGCTTTAACATTTAATGGCTGCCCTACTGGTGTTTGGACTTGCATGGGGCCTGTAGCCCCTTTTCTGTGGCCAATGACACCCATTTGGAATGGGAGCATTTACCCAGTACATGCACCTCCATTGTGTCTTGGAAATAACTAACTTCTTTTTAATTTTACAGGTTTATAGGGGGAAGAAATTTACCTTGTCTCAGAGGTGACTTTAGACTATAGATTTTTGTGATAATGCTGAAATGAGTTAAGCCTGGAAGACTGTTGAGAAGGCATAATGATATTTTGCAATGTGAGAAGGACATGAGATTTCTGATAGACCATGGGTGGAATGATATGGTTTGGCTCTGTGTTTTCACCCACATCTCATGTCAAATTTTAATCCCCAAGTGTTGTAGCAGGTGTCTGATGGGGAGTGATTGGATCATGCGGGCGGTCTTCCCTTTTGCTGTTCTTGTGACAGAGTTCTCACAAGATCTCAAGGTTTAAAAGGGTGGTGCATCTCCCCTTGCTCTTTCTCTCTCTCCTGCCAGCATGTGAAGCGGTCCTTGCTTCCCCTTCACTTTCTGTGATGACTGTAAGTTTCCTGATACCTCCTAGTAATACTTGCTGTTAAGCCTGCAGAACTGTGAGTCAACTAAACCACTTTTCTTCATAAATTTCCCAGTCTCAGGTAGTTCCTTACATTAGGGTGAGAATGGACTAATACACAGGTTGAAATAGTTCTGGAGATCAAACCTACAGCAATGTGACTATACTAATGAATGTTGCATTATAAACATATCTTTTGCCAGACAAGTAGATATTAGGTGATTTCATCACACATACACAATAAATTAAAGGCATAAAATGTTAACTCTCTGAGATGATAGGCATGCCAATTACCTTGATCATTATGAGCATTTCCCCAAGAATATCAATACATCAATTGGTGTACCTTAAATACAGAAAATTTTATTTGTCAGTGATAGCTCCATAAAGCTGAAAAGGTATAATGCATACTTATATTTCAACATATTTTATCAATAAAAATGTGTGAATATAAACAGAAGAACTTGTACAAAGATATGTATGACAGTTTTGTTTATGATATTTATATTGGAAACAAATTTAAATTCCATCAACAGGAAAATAGATATACATATTGTCACTTATTCCCTTAATGAACTGATTTATTTAATAATCTGTCATTTATTAATGCAATGGACTGATTCAGATATGAAATATCTATATGTGTATGAGTACATACATATTTATACATATGTTGACAAAACCTTGATAGATGCTATCACATGAATGAACCTCACAGATAGTAAAAGCTTCTTACAAAAATGAGCTATAATATTTTATTCCATGTATATGAAATTCAAAACAAGAAAATGGACCTATAGTGACAGAAATCAGAACATTTTTCTATTTACATTTCTCTGATGATTAGTGATGTTAAACATTTTAAAAATATATTTGCTGGTCACTTGTATGTATTCCTTTGAGAAGTGTCTGTGTCATTTGCCCACGCATTAGTCCATTTTCAAACTGCTAACAAAGACACACCCAAAACTGGGAACAAAAAGAGGTTTAATTGGAATTACAGTTCCACATGGCTGTGAAGGCCTCCAAAACACGGTGGCAGGTAAAAGGCACTCCTTACCTGGTGATGGCAAGAGAAAAAGAGGAAGAAGCAAAAGCGGAAACCCCTGATAAACCCATCAGATAAACCCCTGATAAGTCTCATTAGATCTGGTGAGACTTATTCACTACCAAGAGAATAGCACGGGAAAGACAGGCCCCCATGGTTCAATTACCTCCCCCTGGGTCCGTCTCACAACACATGGGAATTCTGGGAGATACAATTCAAGTTGATATTTGGGTGGGGACACAGCAAACCGTATCAGCCCATTTTTAATGGGGTTATTATTATTATTATTTTTTGCTTCTTGATTTGTTTAATTTCCCTATAGATTCTGGATATTACGGCTTTGTTGGATGGAACGTTTGTGAATATCTTTCCACATTCTGTAGGTTGTCTGAGTACTGTGCTGTTAGTTTTGTTTGCTTCTTTGTTTGTTTTGCTGAGCAGGAGCTCCTCAGTTAATTAGGCCCCACTTGTCTATTTTTCTTTTTGTTGCAATTGGTTTTGGATACTCAGCCAACATTTTTTTGTCAAACCTGATGTCAAGAAGAGTATTTCCTAGGTTGTCTTCAAGGATTTTTATGGTTTGAGGTCTTACATTTAAAACTTTAATGAATTTTGTGTTAATTTTATACATGTTGAAAGTAGATATCCAGCTTCAATCTTCATCATATGCCTAGCCAGTTGTCCCAGCACCATTTATTGAACAGGGAGTCCCTTCCTCATTGCTTGTTTTCATCAGCCTTATCAAAGATGAGATGACTGTAGGTGTGCAGCCATGCACCACTCAGAATGGTTATCACTAAAAAGTCAAAAAACAATGGATGCTGCTGGGACTGTGGAGAAAAGAGAACACATACACTGATGAGGGGAATATAAATTGGTGTTTCCATTTTGGAAATCAGACTGGAGATTTCTCAAAGAACTTAAAACAGAGATATCATTTTACGCAGCAGTCCCACCACGGGGTATACACTGAAAAGTAAGCAAATAATTCTACCAAAAAGACACATACACATCTATGTTCATTGCTGTGCTATTCACAGTGGCAACGACATAGATCAAACCAGATGCACATCATTGGTAGACTGAATATACAAAATGCGGTACATCTACAATGTATAATACTACACAGCCAT
Organism: Homo sapiens; assembly: GCF_000001405.40. NCBI lineage: Eukaryota > Metazoa > Chordata > Mammalia > Primates > Hominidae > Homo > Homo sapiens. The sequence goes on from NC_000014.9 coordinate 106,554,315, forward strand.
GAAAAAGAATGAAATCATGTCCTTTGCAGTAAAATGAAAGAAGCTGGGGCCCTTAATCCTAAACAAATTAATGTAGGAGCAGAAAACTGAATACCACATATTCTCCTAAGTAAGACCTCAGCATTGAGCACACATGGACATAATTATGAGAATGATAGACACTGTGGACTGCTGGAGAGTGGAGGGAGAGGATGGTGGAATCTGTATTCCAAACCTCAGCATCACTCAATAATCCCCCGTGACAAATCCAAACATTTACCCTCTGTATCTATATTAAATTTGAAAAAAAATTCCTTATGTGAGAGCTGACTGGAAGCACCGAAGAGGACACTTGTTGTGGAGATGGACCTGCTCCTCATCATAACTTAGATGCTGGAGACAAATGTGTGCACATTTGCCAGAAACCCTCAAACTGTACATTGAAAATATATGTATTTTGTATAGGTTAATTTTATCTCATAAAAATCAAAAATTGACATTTGTAGGAAAATATTTTATATTGAAATTAAAATATTAATAAAATGTATATGAAAATTAAAATGCAAAATGTAAATGTGATTATTATGATAATTATTAAAATGCATTCAGCTCTATCTACTAGAATAAAATCCCAGAAATAAGAAAGATAAAGGTGGCATCTTAAAATGAAAAATTAATAAATACACATATCACGGGTAAGTAAAACATGGCTAAAAAATATGTGGAACATTTTATATTATTAGTTATAAAAGTTAATAAACTAGTGATATAATATTTTAACCTGATTTATCAGGATAAATTTCTAATATTCTGTATAAAATCACAATTGGGGACAGCTGACAGGAAAATAACAATATTTGCAAGTTCATGTTCTAAATGTTAATATAATCTCAATGTTGGCTCAGCTATTACACCTGAAATTTGTAATTATATCATTTATTTGTTTGAGTCTTTGGAAAAATTAATTTTAAGAGATGACTTAGCAGAATCATCTACAATATGGAGATAATAGCATCTCATCTACAAATAAATTGAGAATCCATAATACATGTATATCCTGATAAGAAACCCTGTTCCATGGAAAAGGGCTTATCCTATTTGGTTGTGATACGTTACTGTTAAAATTATCACCTTCACGATGATTTAGAAAATTAAAGCAAACCCTGATGAATTGAAGTGTGATGTTGCTTGTTTGGTACAACAGCGGGGTAAGGATAATGAAGAGCCCTGTGATCCCGAGGAGATGGCCTAATCCAAGGAGAGGGAGGCTCCAGGTCGTGTGGACTCACACGGGGCTCCTCCTTCTGCCCGTCCTGCAGCCTCTCCAGAAGTCTTCGGGAGACAGGGGTGAGGATGGGCCCTCGAGATGATCCAGTGAGATCTGGAAGCGAAGAAAAAGATAATGATCTGGGATAAATTAAAAAATTAAAATAAAGAAAATTATTGTAATTTCACAAATTATGGTTGTTTATATTTATAAGGTAAGAAGCAATGTTATGATTTGTGAATACAATATGGAATAACTAAGATAATTGAGAAATAAGATAATTATCATTCACCACCTCAAATTCTTATCATATATCGTAACAACAACATCTGAAATTTACTGTTAGCTCTCTTGAAATGACCAATATACTACTTTTAAATGAACAAATAGAAATAAATTCAAGTAAACGATTAAAAATAACAAATCAATTATAAATTACTCTAACATTTATATTTACTTCATCATTATGTTTGATTCCTTAGGACACATTTTTAGAATTATTTTATTGTAATGTTTAATATAAATCCCTATGGTTATATGCATAGGTCTGCGTGTTTATATATCTTTTTTCTTTCTTTCCTTCTTTTCTTCCTTCCTTCCTTTCTTCCTTCCTTCCTTCCTCTCTCTTTCTTTCTCTCTTTTCCTTCCTTCCTTCCTTCCTTCCTTCCTTCCTTCCTCTCTCTTTCTTTCTCTCTTTTCCTTCCTTCCTTCCTTCCTTCCTTCCTTCCTTCCTTCCTTCCTTCCTTCCTTTCTTCCTTTCTTCCTTTTCTTTTCTTTCTTTCATACAAAGTCTCGCTCTGTCGCCAGGCTGGAGTGTAGTGGCAGTCCACTCCACTCACTGTGACTTCCGCTTCCCGGATTCAAGCAATTCTCCTTGCTCAGCCTCCCGAGTAGCTGGGATTACAGGCGCCCCTCACCACGCCAGGCTAATTTTTGTAAATTTTTAGTATAAACGGGGTTTCAGGCCTAAACAACTGTCTATCGTTAAAAGTGTTTGTCCCTATAGCTATGTAGTTGCTGATGTCAACAAATGTTAATAAAACTCTGGGAGAATCAGTGCAAATAATTAGGAATGTTTATTTCTTGAAAGTATACACTTAAAAATATATCCATAGAGTTGTAAAAATTACCAAAATTTAAAAACTAATGATAATAAATGAACAGTAAATACAAGTAATAAAATATCACAGCCTAGAAGGCTCGAGTCCTGGGAAGATAAAGGTGACTTTTCCAGCCAAGGAAAAAGGAAACCTCCCCCTGCACCTGCTCCTGGGACCTGTCCCGTACTCAGTCGGTCCCTAGCGCCCCCTGGTGGCTCTGTGCGCCCCTGCAGGGAGGTTTGTGTCTGGGCTCACACTGACCTCCCCTCACTGTGTCTCTAGTACAGTAATACACGGCTGTGTCCTCGGTTTTCAGGCTGTTCATTTGCAGATAGGCGATGCTTTTGGAATCATCTCTTGAGATGGTGAATCTGCCTTTCACAGACGCGGCGTATTCTGTTGTCCCACCATAAGCTTTGCTTCTAATGAAACCTACCCACTCCAGCCCCTTCCCTGGAGCCTGGCGGACCCAGCTCATAGCATAATCACCAAAGGTGAATCCAGAAGCTGTACAGGAGAGTCTCAGGGACCGCCCTGGCTGTACCAAGCCTCCCCCAGACTCCACCAGCTGCACCTCACATTGGACACCTGCAAACACAGAAACACCAAGGTCAGAAACTGCCACACATATCCACTGTTTCTACCACTCATGTCCCCTCACACTCAGTATCTCTAGTACACCATGAATTACCTTTTAAAATAGCAACAAGGAAAACCCAGCTAAGCCCAAACTCCATGGTTGGTGGTCTGTGTTCAGTGCTGATCACCAAGTGGAAACTCCTGGGAATCTCACGGCTGGGGCTCCTCTCCCAGAGCTGCAGGGTCAGGGCTGGGCTCATTTTCATCAGCAGAGGGAGGGCCTTATTTGCATGTCTCCTACTATATACCAAGCTCTGGGGTGGGACACCTGAGGAGAGGACGGGGCCCAGATAAGATGACTGTGCCTTGAAGGAGTTTGGTGACAATGATGGTATTTGGGAAATATGCTGTCTTATTGTAAAATTATGCTGTGATAAACACCTTGAACTGATCACCCTATTTAATTTTACATATTTGTATAAATTATATTTTGTCAGTCAGTGGTCTCTCCATGTACAGATGTGGAAGTAAACCACACACGGAAAAGGGACTAAGTGTGTATGTTAGAGCTCATGTTTGGGATAAGTGATCGCTGGTATCTTGGCCTGTGCTCCTCATCACTGGCCCCAATAACTCCCTGAACCAACTCCAGGACAAAGCTAAATGTGCCGAGTGTGGTTTGTAGAACCCACTTTCTGTAGTGAGAACATGCGTGATTTTGCTGCATTTTAGCATTCACCTAAAGATATGGTGAGAACTAGGGTTCAGGCAGATACATTCTTAAATATTTCTGAAATTTAATATACATTTTCTCTTTCTATCACTCCTTCTTGTCTAACTTTCAATTTTTGCTTGTAATAAAGTTTATAAGTTTAGTTTACAGATAATAAACTTTCACATATTTAAAGATTACAGTTGATAAAAATGATGTAACCGTCATCCTTATCAAGTTGGACAAGAGAATTCTTAACATTTCCTTTTGTTCTTCTGTATTCTTTCTCCTTTTCCTTTCTTTCTTCTACCATTTCCCTGGCAACTACTGATCTTTACATTGCTGCAAATTCATTTTAATTTTTCAGAATTTATAAAAATGAAATAACATAGTATACATTCTCATTTGTTTGGCTTATTTTAGTTAGCATAAATGGATATTTTACCTTGTAGTTGGGTATATCAAATGTTTACTTATTATAAATGCTGGGTAGCATTCTAGCAAACAAATTTACTATAATTTGTTTTCCTATTAAGCAGCTAAACAATATTTGAATTTTTTATTATTCTGGGTGTTACTAAAAATTTGCTACTAAGCTTGGAAATGTACAGAAAAAAGGAATGTATTTTTCTTATTTTTTACAACTGCATCAACAATAACAGATAAACATGGAGGATGGAATTTTGCCAATTTTCTTTAATATTTCTGATAAAATTTCAAAACACACAACAAATCTGAAGCTTATGGAGAAGCAATTTCTTGTAGAGAGTAACAAAGCCAGGGTTTGAAATTACCTAAGGCAGAGTCTGGAATATAAAATATTGTCTGTTCCAAGAAAAAATACAAATATATATTGGGCTGCTTGAAATTGAGTGTGGGAAACGCTTTTTAGTGTGAAATTTTAAGGGACCACATGCCCAAAAGCAACCTATCCTCTTGAATCCCTTTCCCCAAGAAAGGGGACAGTTACTAAAGTCTTACTTTCCCGAAGTGTCTTTCTGGGAGAGAACAAGATCCTCGACATCTAAAATGTATTCAGACCCAACTCCCTTAATCCCCCTACAGAACTAAGAATTTACTCTGCAGGGACAAGCTACTGAAACCAGAATCCTAGGAACACTGGTTCAACCCTACAGGAATTGAGATGGGAACAGAGATCCTCACCAAAGATCTATTGAGGAGCAGCTCCCCTATCTTGCTTATGGAATCAGAGCCTTAGTCTGCAGGGCAGGGCAGAAGATCTGGAAGGTGATGACACTGACTGAGAACACTAGAGCTGTGGGAGGGAGCACCTGGGGAAAACAGGAGGACTCTACCCCAGGGAAAGGGGCAAGAACACCCAGACCAGCATCTCATATGGAGGAGGGTCAGGAACACTCACAAGGTCATGCCCAGACTCTGGGTCACAATGCCTTCCTAGGAATATGGAAAAAGGAATATGGACCTAGGAATATGGAGTCTTTAGCCTAATGTCTTTAACCGATTTAGAAATTGTCAGTTAAATAAAACAATTGAATGCACCTGAGGGAGCTGAAAGAGATTCTCTGGGGTACAGAACAAGTTGAAGAGACAAAGTCAAGCAGACAAAAAACAAAGAAGGCATCATTGGAAGATTTGTAATCTCTGGTGGACATAGAACAACAGAGTTCAATTAGTTTTTGAAACCCTGAAATCAGTCTTTAGTAATTTTATATGATAAAATAGTCAGCCTCATCAATGGAGTCTTATCCCCATCAGGGATGAATATCCGTGTGGGCACGTGGTGCATTTCTGGTCATGGAGGCAGGGGAGATGGTTGGTTGAGGCATTCATGGTCCTTCAGAAGAGAATTCCAGAAATGTCTCTGCCCCTTTTCCAGCCAATATTTAACATATGTGTGTGAGCCTTGGGAATGTTGTCACCATGTCACAGCATGATAGGAGTCCCCTGGGGGGTGAAGCTGCCTTTCTGGATGTATCAGTGTGGAAAATTGAGACAAGAAACAGCCTGGGCACATGAGCTGTCAAATTATTCAATCCTGGAGCCACTCACATCCAGGCTTCCTGTTTCATCAGGTTGTGATTTTCCTCATTGTTTGGTCAGCCTGGGTTGTCTTTCTTCACTCTCTGCTGAAATAGTCACACATAATAATCCGGAGGCTTTGAGATAAGTAAGTGACTAATTAGATAATTAGAACAAGTGCCAAGTGAATTTACTGTGTGGTTAACAAAGTGACAGACAGGAGACATGGCTGGATACTACGAGAGTGTTCACATCTATTTTATCTAGATTAGCAAAATATCTTGTGTATCCCTTAGGTAATATTCCCATTGAGACCCTTGATTTAACATTAGTTCTTGATTAATAACACTTAAATAATAAAAGTAGTGGTTATTAATTAATAATATATATTACTAGTGCAAATTTTCATTTAGGATATATTCCTCTACCTGATATAAAATCAGCCCAGAAGGCAGAAGTTATTGCACTTACTAGAGCTTGTCAATTAACCAAAGACCAGGATTAAATACAGATGTTCTACTGTAGTGCAGAATTTTAAACTGTGCTGCAGGCAGAGGAGGTTTTTAAATCTCCTGGAAGCCCCATCAAAATGGCCAACAAGAAAAGACACTTTCAAATAAACTCCTACATTCTAGAGACCTTACATATAAATTTGAAACTAATGCAAACAAAGAGAAAAACAAAATCTAGTATGGAAGCTAGAATAATGTTCTGGTGCATCATTACACCAAACACTCAGTCTTAACCTGGTTTGTAATATTATCCAAACAGAAGGCATTGCCATTGTTCGTATCATACAGAATCAATCCCACTCACAATATTCTGGATATGTTGAAAAAATGGCATCTTTAAATTTAAAAATTATAACCACTTTAATAAAATATGGAAACTCTCTTGGCCAAGAGTTATCCCACAAGCACTACGGCATTACGTTCCCTCTCTCAGGACTCATCAGTTACTGCCCTGTGACTTGGGAGCTGGAAGATTCATACATTTAGAAATTTTACCCTCATTGCTCACCTTCCTCCTACTGCAGGCGTGTGTTACACAATATTGAACGTAATTTTTGTATTATACTCACTCCATCACCAAAAGTTTAAGGTTGCCTTTTTATGTCATCTTTTAATAGTATTTTGTGATCTTCAACCATGAAATTATCACTATTGGAAGAAACATCAGGAGAACACTCTGCTGTTGAAACTATTGAAATAAATCTTATCAGACATTATTAACCAAAACGCTGCAGAGAAAATTCAGGGAGTCAATTCTTGGGTTAATATTTTGCAACCAAATAATCATTTCTGAGCAGACATGGTGGCTCATGCCTTTAATTCCACCATTTTTAGAAACAAAACCAGGGGAATCACGTGAGACCAGGAGTTCAAGACCAGCCTGGGCAACATAGAGAGACCCCATTTCTATGAAACAATTTTTTTTAAATCAGCTGTGTGTGGTGGTGCACCTCTCTAGTCCATGCTACTCAGGAGGCTGAGACAGAAGGATTATGTGAGCCAGAAGTTCAGGGTAACAGTGAGCTATGATTGTGCCACTGCACTCCAACCTGTGTGACACAGTGAGGCCCTATCTCTAATTATACTGATAATAACTAAGCATTTTACACAGTTGTAAGGCACCTCAAATATAAGATATTAAACTGAGTATCCTCAAAAATCCTCTGGTGGTTCTGATGTTTTGGAGCAGACAGTTCACCTAAGACATTCAGAATAGGTGGATGATTTTAGATAGTGAAAAGTCTCCACACAAGACATTGGAACAGGACCCTTGTCTAATCCCCTGCCCCATGCCTTTCACCTCACTCTCCTTGTTTTCCTCCTAATTTTCATTATGATTTGCTTATTCTTATAAGCAGTCTTCTCCTTTTTTGTAGGCCTGGTTGTTGTCCACCCATCTTGGGCTGATATTTTTTTACTCTTTTTTTTTTTTTTGAGATGGAGTCTTGCTCTGTCACCCAGGCTGCAGTGCAGTGGTGTGATCTCAGCTCACTACAACCTACGCCCCCTGGGATTAAGCTATTCTCCTGCCTCAGCCTCCTGAGTAGCTGGGATTACAGGCGCCCACCACCACAACCCAACTATTTTTTTTTTAAATATTTTTAGTAGAGACGGGGTTTCACCATATTGGCCAGGCTGGTCTTGAACTCCTGACCTCATGATCCACCTGCCTCAGCCTCCCCAAATGCTGGGATGACAGACTTAGGCCACCGTGACCAGAACGATTTTTATAGGTGCTACATAGAATAAGTCATCAGACTATTGTTTTGATATCTGACTGCTGATAGCTTAAGGCTCATTCCTTCATCATCTCCTTTCTTTCCCACACGAGGTGAATCTAGTTAGGAATCACAGGAGTTACCCTATTTGAAGCCATGTAGATGTTCAAACGCCACAAACTCCTTTCTTGAGTGAGAACCCTCACTCTGCCCACACCACCAAGCCACTACAGGAACCCTGAGCCAGTCTCCTTTCTTGCTCTATCGAGCCATTTTGGACATTCCTGAGAGACCAGCTGTACTCTCAGCAGACACCTGAAGAGTGTAATTAACCTTTCCGTATTCACATGGGGGAGTGTGTGGCACCCACAGATGTGACATCCACATGACATTTTAATTGTGATCTCTTGGCCTTTTTATGGTGTCAGCTAGAACTGATGCTGTGAGCTTGTTGCCACGTCTCCTAACCACAGGACACACCCGTTCCCTGAACCAACCCCAGGACACAGCTGGACATGCCTGATGTGGTTTCATTAACCCCCATTATGTAATGAAATCATGACATTATTTTCTTGTATTCTAGCGTTTCCCTAAAAATACAGGTGGACTTAGGGTTTATTCGTGTGTATATCCGGGAGTCTTTGATTTCTTATGTATATCTAATTAAATCTTTAATTCTGTGTTGAGAAATTTAAAATTTCTTCAGTTTGATGAGTGAAGTCCTTATGCTATTGTTCTGTGATTTTCTTTTTTTATTTATCATACATTTTATTCATCTATGTCTAACTAATTTTCTACAAAATTATACTTGTTTTAACTTGTAATATTTTAATAGGGTGAAATTCACAAATAATAGGCATCCCACAATGTGTACGATTTGATTAATAGTGACATAACTATTACCTTCATCAACATAGAAAAAACTCCACTACCGTCAGCATTTCTTCTTCATTTCCTACAATTTCTGGTTCCTAACCCTTCCCTCCTCACACCAGGTCCAGAGTCAACTACTGGTTTTCTTTATGTAACTTTAGATTAGCATTCATTTTATAGAATTTGTAAAAGTGGAACAGTATGTATGTACTTGTATTTGTTTGTCTTATTTTAATAAGCATATATACTTGTGAATTTACACTTGCTGTTGAGAGTATCCAGCCTTACCTGATTGTAACAGTCGGTGTTTTTCCAGTGAGCGAATTTACCACCTTGTGTTTACTGATTAAGCTGATGATTGGTATTCAGATTGCTTTCAGCCTCTGGGTATTATTAAAAAAAAGCTGCTACTCATCTTAGAGAAGCACGCAGCTGAGAAACACAACGTTCTTATTCTTACAACAATATGAACAGTGGCTGAACTGGAAAAGCTGCGCTTTAATCAATTGTCTTCAACACATCAGGTAATTGAAGTTAGAAAATTCTGTGTGTGTTTCAGTTTGTGAGCTAGAGAGGAGTGAAGAAGGGAGAAAGAGGAGAAAGAGACATAATTGACCATGATTTATGAGGTTCTCAAATAAATCCAGGGACTCAGAGTCTTAATGGAAAAGTTCCACATAAGATGGAGAGGACGGGCCGGGCGCGGTGGCTCACACCTGTAATCCCAGCACTGTGGGAGGCCAAGGCGGGCGGATCAACTGAGATCATGAGTTTGAGGCCAGCCTGGCCAATATGGCGAAATCCGGTCTCTACTAAAAATACAAAACTTAGCCAGGCGCGGTGGTGCACACCTGTAATTCCAGCTACTCGGGAGGCTGAGTCAGGAGAATCGCTTGAACTCGGGAGGCGGAGGTTGGAGTGAGCCGAGATCGCGCCACTGCACTCCAGCCTGGGTGACAGAGCAGGACTCAAAAAAAAAAAAAAAAAAAAAAAAGGGAGAGGACGACTTGATGCACCTACATATGGTTATTTATTTACATAAACGCCATTTTCTAATAATACAAAGAATCACGTACATGAGAATAAACACAGTGGCGGGTGTCAGTGAAATATGATGATGATGCCAAACCCCATCTCCAGCACCTTTTCCTCTTGCACCTGCCTTGATGTGTGTCCTGAGCGCCCCCTGGTGTCCCGAGGGCCTCCCGCAGTTCCTGAGCTTCCCTGCAGGGAGGTTTGTTTCTGGGCTCACAATGACTTCCCCTTGCTGTATCTTTTGTGTAAAAATTCATGGTTGTGTACTCGTTGCTCAGGTAGCTCAGCTGTAGAAGAAACTGTGTTTTGGATGTGGATCTGGAGATGGTGACTGGACTCTTGAGGCGTGGGTTGCGTTGTGTTCTCCCTCATGACCTGTGCACCTGATTCACTCCAGTCCCTTCCCTGGGGAGCTGAGGGATCCAGCTCCAGCAGGAAGCACTGGTTGTGATGGAGAAGCAGAGACAGCACAGATGAGGGAGAGGGTCTGTGAGGGCTTCGCCAGGCCAAGAACGCACGAGAAATACAGATGTCGGCATGCACAGGTTCTGAACAACACGTTGAAATTCACAAATATGCACATTTTCATGAGAATGAAGAGCTCAGTGTTTTGAAATTTGTGAATCCCCTAGAACAAATAGTGGATACTAAAGTTAGAATAAGAATAATAAATGGTCACTTATTTTCTTCAAACTTTCAACCAAATAAGAAAGAGAATCTGCTGTCAGGGGAGTGGGTATTGAATTATTACCTCTGTCTATGATAACAGTGATTTTTCAGAATCTGATTGACCTGTGATAGCCTAAAGGATGTCCTAATCCTGAATCCACAATTAGACCTGAGCAGCAATCATGGGCCGTGGAGGTCGCCTCACATGTGGAAAGATCTGACTCTGCAAAGCTGTACACGGGGGTCTCTGCAGGCCCTTAGTTGTACAGGAACAGCTCCTCCCTCAGACTCAGAGTAAGGACAATGTGCTCTTTATCTGGGGGAGGTGAGGGTTAGTGTGTGGAAAGAACCAAACTCACTCTAATCAATATCTCTGTACTTGGACAGAAACCAAGGTTTACAAGAATCAATGAACTTGGGATAAAGTAGGAAATTACAAGGACATTACAATTGTTTGCAAGCTGCGCGCTTGCTTCTCCATGTCATCTGAGAGGACCAAGGAAAATCATGTTTTCTTCTGTACATTTCCATAAAAGGTGTTCCCACCCTGAGAACGCACCTCCTATACCTCCAACGTCAGGGAGCCCCTGGACCAGGCACCCGGCACAGCTCTCTGACACCATCACCCGGTTTTTGACAAAGAGACCCATCCTGGAGCTCCTCCCAAACAATGACTGTGCACAGTGAAGATGCTAACGCGTGGCTGCTGCTGGGCACATGGGGGATTCCTGATGGACAGCTGTGTTCCAGGAGGAACCAGCGGCCTTGATGGACTTAGCTTAGACCACAGGGTTGTTGGGAAGCTCCATCAGACTCCCACCTTCTCCAGCACTGTTGTGAGATTGGCATAGTGAGCTGACAATGTCTACAGCCTCACCCGGCCTCCTGCGCGCTTTTCTGCCTCTTGCCTCTCCCCTACACTCCACCACCTGCACCTCACACTAGACACTTACAAACACAGAGACATTTTGGTCAGAACCTGCCACACATAATCACTGTTTTTTCACTCATATCCACTCACACTCAATATCTTTTGTTCTCCATTATTCGCCTTTCTGACAAATGACAATGTTTCCTCCTATAGTAGCAAACTTTACTAACCCAGAGACATCAGTGGTAGGCGCAGATCCATAAAGACAGAGGCCCAGGCGAACTGTTGGATGCAGAGGAATCCACAGATCTGGAAGGAAAGTAGACCTTTGCCTTCACCTGCACCTGTACCTGCCCCTGGAACTGTCCCTGCCTTTTGTGTGTGCTGAGTGCCCACTGCAGCCCAGCCTCCTCCCTCCTCCCTGCAGGAAATTTTGTGTCTGGGTTCACACTGATGTCCCTTCATTTGGTACCTTTGACTCAATAATACAGAGCCATATTCTCAGCTCTCAGACTGTTCATTTGCAGATACAACCTGTGCTTGGCATTGTCTTTGGAGATGGTGAATCTGACCTTCACAGAGTCTGCATATTATGTCTGACTTCCATCGTACATTATATCTACTACTCACTGCAGCCCCTTTCCTGGAGCCTGGCAGATTCAGCTGATCTAGTAGCTACAGAAGGTGGATTCAGAGGATGCACGGCAGAGTCTCAGGCACATTCAGCTTGTGCCAACTCTCCCCAAGACTCCACCATCTGCACCCCACACTAGACACCTACAAGCACAGAGACATCTGAGTCAGAACCTGCCACACAGAATCACTGTTTTTTCACTCATATCCACTCACACTCCATATCTCAAGTTCTCCATTATTCGCCTTTTAAAATAATGACAAGGGAAACCCAGCTCAGCCCTAACTCTATGGTGAGCCATGTTTGTACAGAGCTGATCATCAAATCCAAACTCCTGGTAATTCTGGACTAGAGATCTTCTCCCAGAGTTGCAGGGTCAGGGCAGGGCTGGTTTTCATCAGGAGAGGGAGGGCCCTATTTTCTTGTCTCCTCCTCTGTAGCAAACTCTGATGTGGGACCCCTTAGGAGAGAGCAGAGCCCAGAGCAGATGTGAGACTCCTGGAGGAGTTTAGTGGTGATGGCAGCATTTGGGAAAATATAATTTCTTATTATGTGATTTTCCCATTAAAATTACTAAGCAATTATTATTTTATTTCTATTTTACATAGTTATAAAAATAGAAATATAACCGCATTAACAAGAGTTTAAGAGATATGAAGTGAGAAATAGAAAACAATAAGAAAGGAGGAGACTTCAACACCTCACCCTCAATAATGTATAGAACATCCATAAAAAAATTCTTAGGAAGCCCATGGACTTAAACAACACTATTGAACAAACTGACCTAATAGACATCTACAGAACATTCCAACCAAGCGCAGTGTAATACGCATGCTTCTCAAGCACACTATAAATATTCTTCATGATAGCCTATATGTTAGATAAAAAATGGCTCTCAGAATTTAAAAAAGTCATGCCAACTGTTCTCTAACTTTTTTAAAAAATGATGAGTCGCCAACCTTCTAAGCTATTTCTAAAAGGCTACAATTACCGTGTTGCCAGTGACAGACAAACACAAAGGAAGAAAATTAAACTTCAAAGAAATATTTATACAAATGAACTACACCAAAATAATAGTCAACTAAGTTCTATAAGACTTTAAAAGGATCATGCAACATGACAAACTCAAATTTCCAGTCCATTGACTCAAATGTCAGCCTCCTCTGGCAAAACCCCCAGAGACACACCAAGAAACAATACTTTCCCAGCCATGTAGGCATCCTTTAATCCAATCAAGTTGACACCTAGTATCAAGCATCAAAAGCCCACCTCTTGTCAACTTAGCACCCCTACACATCTAGCTGCAATCATGCTTGATCTCCAAATAAAGACAATAATAAGGTCATAATTATGCCTAACATAATACAGCTATCCTTCATACAACTGAAAGTGCACTAATCCTTAACCTACATACATACCACTACATATAGTTAACAACATTTAAATGCTGTTAGGAAGTCAATAAATCTTGTGACACATGATAAAAAGAAAACAAATTCAATGAAAACAATTAATATATTTTTGTTTGTTTGTTTGTTTTTTAGATGGAGTCTCAGTCTGTTGCCCAGGCTGGAGTGCAGTGGTGCAATCTTGGCTCACTGCCACCTCTGCCTCGCGGGTTCAGGGTTCAAGCTATTCTCCTGTCTCAGCCTTCTGAGAAGCCTGGGATTACAGGCACCTGCCACCATGCCAGGCTAATTTTTGTATTTTTGGTAGAGACGGGGTTTCACCATACTGGTCAAGCTGGTCTCGACCTCTAGACCTCAGGTAATCCACCCACCTTGGCTTCCTAAATTGCTGGGATTACAGGTGTGAGCCACCGTGTCCGGCACAATGAAGATATTTTCTTAGTACAGTTATACACATGCAGAAATATATTCCTAACAAGATATGGAGAAAATATCCTGAGACTTTGCTGAAGTTGCTTATCAGCTTAAGGAGATACTCACGACAATTACGGTCCCCACTTCTGGTCGTGTGGTCATTCCTGGTATTGACAACTACCTTCTTCCACTACCCATTCTGTATTTGTTTTGCCTTCAGCAAGTACCTTGGCTGGTCAGGATTTTTAATCTGGGTGAAGACCCAAACTTTTATTTCTGAAGTATCTGGGCCATTTGTATTCCTGCCTGAATTAGGTTGTTTTTTCCCATTGATCTTAATCCCATGGCAAAGTAATACTAAGAGATGTCCTAAGAAATCTCCTGTATTCCAGACATACTCTGTCTCACCTCCATTGTGGAGTAGTAGTCTGATTTCAAATTGATAGTCCGGGTCAATCACCCCAGCCATTCAAATGAGAGAGGTTTTTTTTTTCAATTTATGTAAATGCATATCTTTGAAATTTTGAATGGGATTGCATTGAATCTGTAAATGCTTAGGTTAGGATGGACATATTAACAATGTATGTTCCAGTAACACAAGAACACAAGATAGCCTTCCATTTATTTGTGTTTTCTTACATTTTAATCAATATATTATAATTTTCAATGTGCAGATATTTTGTATCCTTGTTAAATTTATTTTGGTAAAATTTATTTTATGAATTTTAAGCTGTTGTATTTAGATTTATTTTCTTGATTTTAATTTTGAATAATCATTTTTTAGTGTATACAGAAGATGCTTATTTTTGTAGGTTGATTTTTGTTTAATTTCAATAGCTTTGGGGGTAAATATTTTTTTGTTAGATGGAGGAATTATATAGCAATAAATTCTGAGATTTTAGTACATTCATCACCTGAATAGTGTACACTCTACCTAAAGTGTAGTTATTTTCTCTCTAGTATCCATCCTATTCTTTCCCTTCTGAGTCTCCAAAGTCCCTTATATCACTCTGTATGCCTTTGCCAGTTCATAGCCCATCTCCCACTTGTAAGTGTGCAAACACAGTTTTTGCTTTTCTACTCCTGTGTAACTTCACTTATACTCATTACCTCCAGCTTCATCCAAGTTGCTGCAAAGGACATTATGCCATTCCCTTTAACGGCTTGGTAGTATTCCATGATGTATATATGTCAAATTTTCTTTTTCTTTTCTTTTCTTTTCTTTTTTTTTTTTTTTTTTGAGGCAGAGTCTTGCTCTGTCACCCAGGCTGGAGTGCAGTGCTGCAATCTCGGTTCACTGCAGCCTCTGCCTCCCGGGTTCAAGCAATTCTCCTGCCTCAGCCTCCCGAGTAGCTGGGACTCCAGGTGCACGCCAACAGGTCCGGCAAATTTTTTGTATTTTTAGTAGAGACGGGATTTCACCATGTTGGCCAGGATGGTGTCGATCTCCTGAGCTCGTGATCCGCCCTCTTCGGCCTCCCGAAATGCTGGGATTACAGGCGATGTCACATTTTCTTTCTGAACTCATTGGCCAATGGGCATTTAAATTGGTTTCACATATTTTCAATTTTGAATTCTGCTGCTATAAACATACATATACACGTCTTTTTCATATAATGACTTTATTTCCTTTGGGTAGCTCTCCAGTAATGAGATTGCTGGATCAAACAGTAGATCTGGCCAGGTGTGATGCTGCACGCCTGTAATTTCAGTAATTTGGGCTGCCGAGCGGGGAGGATCAGCTGAGGTCAGGAGTTGGAGACCAGCCTGGCCAACATGGGGAAACCCCTTCTCTACAAAAATTCAAAAAACAATTAGCCAGGCATGATGGTGGGTGCCTGTAATCCCAGATACTCTGGAGGCTGAGGTGGGAGCATCACTTGACACGGGAGGCGGAGGTTGCAATGAGATGAGATTGCACCACTGCACTCCAGCCTGGGTGACTGAGAGAGACTCCATCTCAAAAAAGAAAAAAAAAATAGTAGATCTACCTTTCTGCTTTTCAAGAAATCTCAATAGTGTTTTCCATAGTGGTTATACTAAATTACATTTTCATCAACAGTGTATAAGCATTCCCTTTTGTTTTTTGACTTTTTATAGTGGCCATTCTTGCAGGATTAGGTGTTATTAGATTGTGGTTTTAATTTGTATTTTCCTGATGATTAGTGATGTTACACAGTTTTTCATATGTTTGTTGGCCATTTGTATATCTTCTTCTGAGAACTATCTATTTATGTCCCTTGTCCACTTTCAAATGGGATCGTTTGTTTTTTCTTGGCGACTTGTTTTAGTATTTTGTAGATTCTGAATATACCAATTTTTTGTCAGATGTGAAGTTTGCACATATTTTCTCCCGTTCTGTGAGTTGTCTTTTTACTCCATTGACTCTTAGTTGTGCTGTGAAGAAACACTTTAGTTTAAATGGGTTCCATAAATTTAGTTTTGTTTTTGCTGCATTTGCTTTTGGGGTCTTAGTTATAAATTCTTTGCCTACCCTGATGTCTAAAAGTGTTTTTCCAATATTGTTTTCTAGAATTTTTGAGTTTAATGTCTTATATTTCAGTACCTGATTCATCTTGAGTTGGTCTTTTATATGGTGACAGATAGAAATCCAGTTTTATTCTTTTACATGTGGCTTGCTAGTTTTTCTTGTACCATTTGTTAAATGTGGTGTCTATTTTTCAATTTAAAATTTGGTACATTTTGCAAAGCATCAGTTGGATTTACATATGTGGCTTTATTTCTGGGTTCTCTATTTTGTTCCAGTGGTCTATGAGCCTACTATTATGTCAGTGCCATGTTGTTTTGGTAACTGCAGCCTTGTGGTGTAATATGAAGTTCAGTAATGTGATGGCTCCAATTTTCTTTATCTTATTAGGATTTCTTTGGGTATTTTGGCTTTTTTTTGGTTTCAAATAAATTTCAGCGTTATTATTTTTGAATTCTGTAGAAAATAATGTTGGTATTTTAATAAGAATTTCATTGATTCTGTAGATTGCTTTAGGCATTATGGTCATTTTCACAATAGCGATTCTTGCAATCCATGATCAGGGGATGCATTTGCATTTGTTTGTATCATCTATGATTTCTTTCAGCAGTGTTGTGTAGTTCTCCTTGTTGAGATCTTTTACCCTTTTGGTTAAGTATATTGGTAAATATACTATCTTTTCGCAGCTTCTGTAAAAGGGATGGAGTTCTTGATTTAACTCTCAGCATTGCTGTTGTTGATATATAGCCGTGCTACTAATTTGTGTACATGTATTTTGTAATCTGAGACTTAACTGAATTCATTTACTAAAACTATTAGTATTTTGGAGGAGTCTAGGGTTTTAATATATATAATCCCTTGATCTGTAAACAGTGATAGTCTGACGTTCTCTTTTTAAATTTGGATACCCTTATTTTTTTTCTCCTGACTAATTGCTCTGGCTAGAACTTCCAGAACTATGTTGAATAGAATTGGTGAACTTGGGCATCCTTGTATTGTTTGTGTTCTCAGGGTAAATGCTTTTAACTTTTTCACATTCAGCATGATATTAGCTGTGGATTTTTCATATGTAACTTTTATTAGTTTGAGGCAGGTTTCTTCTATGCCTCATTTATTTACAGTTTTTATCATTAAAAAATGCTGAATTTTGTTGAATGCTTTTTCTGCATCTATTGAGACAATCGTAAGGTTTTTATTTGTAATTCTGTTTATGTGATGTATTACATTTATTGACTTGAGTATGTTCAAATAATCCCTGCAATTCTGAGATGAAACACGCTTGATCATGAGGAATTATCTTTTTGATGTGCTGTTGAACTCAACTAGCTATTTTTTTTTTTGCTATTTTTGCATCTATATTTATCAGGGAAATTCATCTGTAGAGTGTGTGTGTGTCTGTGTGTGTGTGTTTTCCTGGTTTTGGTATCTTGGTTATACTAGCTTCATAGAATAATTTAGGGAGGATTCTTTTTTATCTAAATTTAAAAAATAGTTGCAGCAAAATTGGCAGCAATTCTTCTTTAAATTTTTTGATAGAATTCAGCTGTGAATTCACCTGGCCCTATTTCATTGTTGTTATTGTTGGCAATTCTTGAATTACTGATTCAATCTCACTGTTTGTTATTTGTCTATTCAAAGTAACTGTTTCTTTTTTATTTAATCTAGGAGTGTTGTATGTTTCTAGAAATTTTTCCATTTCCTCTAAGTCTTCTACATTGTGCACATGAAGGTGAACTTAGTAGTCTCAAATTATTTTTTATATTAGTGGTGTAGATTGTAATGTCTCGTTTCATTTCTGAGCTTATTTGGATCTTTGATATTCTTTTCTTTGTTAATCTAGCTAATGACCCATGAATTTGTTTATTTTTTCAAATAACCAACTGTTTGTTTCATTGCTTTTTTTTGTTTGGATTGCATTTAGTTCTGCTCTGATCTTTGTTATTTCTTTTCTTCTTCTGGCTCTATGTTTAGTTTGTTCTTGTTTCTCCAATTTCTCAAGGTGTGACATTAGGTTGTGAATTTGTGCTCTTTCAGACTTTTTGATGCAGGCAGCTGGCACTATAAACTTTCCTCTTATCACTGCTTTTCCTTTATTTTTGAGGTTTCAATAACTTGTCTCATTATTATAATTTAATTAAGATAATTTTTAAATTTTCATCTTGATGTAACTGTTAACCCAGATATTATTCAGAAGCAAATTTCTTAATTTCTATGTATTTGTTCATTTTCGACAGTTCTTTAGCGAGATGATTTTTAGTTTTATTCTGCTGTGGTCTGAGAAGATACTTGATATGATTTCATTGTTTTAAAAATTTATTGAGACTTGTTTTGTGGCCTAGTATATGCTCTACCTTGGAGAATGTTGCATGTGCTGATTAGAAGAATGTATATTCTGCAGATCTTGGATAGAATGTTCTGTAAATATCTGCTGCATCCATTTGTTCCAGTGAGTCATTTAGGTGCATTGTTTATCTGTTGACTTTTTGTCTCGAAGATCTGTTTAGTACTGTCATGATTGTACTAAAATCTCCCATTATGATTGTTTTGCTAACTCTCTCAGTTTTTTAGGTCTAGCAGTACTTGTTTAATGAATCTAGTTCCTCCAGTGTTTGGTGCATATAAATATGTAATTGTAATTTTTTGTTGAATTGATCCTTTTATCATTGTATAGTGATCATCTATGTCTTTTTAAATTGTTTTTGCTTTGAAGTCCTGTTTTGTCTGAGATCAAAAATAGCTAGTCCTGCTCACTCCTGGTTTCTATTTTTGTGAAATTCCTTCTTCCATGCCTTTTATGATTTACATTCAATGTGAATATTTAGATATGAGTTGCTATTCTCTTTGTCATGTCATTACCTAATTTTGTTTATTCTTTGATATTGTGTTATTGTTTTATAGGCCCCGTGAGTTTTTAATTTTTAAGAGGTTCCATTTTTGTGCATATTGGCCTTTTGTTTCAAGGTTTAGAACTTATTCTAGCATTTCTTGTAGTGCTGGTTTGATAGTGATGAATTCCCTCAGCATTTGTTTTTCTGAAAATGACTTTATTTCTTTTTTATTTATAAAACAGTTTGGCGGGATAAAAAAGAATTCTTGGTTGAAAGTTTTTCTGTTTAAGGAGTTTGAAAATAGAACCCTAATCTGTCTTGCTTGTCAAGTTTCTGCTGAGACGTCTGCCATTATTCTGATGGGTTTCTTCGTTTTACTGCTCTTAGAATTATTTCCTTCATGTAGACTTTAGGTAGCCTGATGACTGTATGCTTGGTGAAGGTATTTTTGCAATGAATTCCCCAGGAGTTCCTTGAACTTTTTGGATTTGGATATCTAGGTCTTTAGTCAGGCCAGAGAAGTAGTTCTCAATTATTCCTTCAGAGAAGTTTTCCAAACTTATTATTATTTTTTCTTCTTCAGGAGCACCAATTATTCTTAAATTTGTTTGTTTTACATAATCCCATATTTCCTGGAGACTTTTTTCACTTCTTTTGGCTCTTTTTAAATTTATTTTTCTCTGATTTGGTTATTTCAATAATAGTCTGGTCTTTCTACTTTTTTCTTTAACTGTTTCCTTTTTCTTTTTCCTCGAATATTTTACTTCTACTTTTATTTTGTACTGTTTCTAGTCTATTGTTATTTCTGCTACTTTTTTCTAGTCTATTTTTCAAACTTTCCATGGCATTTTGTAATTCCCTTTCCAATTCCCTGCATTTTTTTAAATTTTCAGGAGTTCTGATTGGTTTCTCTTTAGGATGTCTATCTCTCTGTAAAAATTTGTATTCATATTCTCAACAGTTTTATAAATTTATTTATTATGATTTTTGCCTTTTTCTGATATCTTCTTGAGTAGCTTATCAATCAACATTCTGATTTTCTTTTCTGATATTTCAAAGACTCCATTTTTGTTATGGTTTATTGCTGGAGAGGTAGTGTGACCTTGTGACCTTTTGGCACTGGCACAGCACCCTGTTTTCTCATTTTTCCCCAGTTATTTTTCTCATTTCCTCTCATTTTGGTAGATTTTCTAATTATTATTGAATTTATGTTTGATTTGACTGTTTCTTGTGTTTGTTTTTAAATGGATTTTTTTCCCTTAAGAATGAGACTTTAATGCTTATAATTAATTACAACCTGATTTGGTTTTTGGTCCTTAGAGGGGTGAAGACTCTGTAAGAGTTCCGGGGTTATGGAGAATCTTTGTATGATGGCTTTCCTATGTGTTGATTGCAGTAGAAATCTGCTCGGTCTGTGAGCAAGTTCACTGTCTTCTATGGGGTTAGAATGGTAGAGGTCTCTTAAACCTTATCTCATTCCTCTGTGGCATGCACATGTTTATTTTATTTGTCCCCAGTGATTTATTTATTTGCTTGATGGCTCAAGCTTCACATCAGTGGAGGACTTTTCCTTGGGTAGAAACTAGTTGTGGCTAAAGCAGGTGGGTAAATTAAGTCCCAGCCTTGACAGAGTTGGCTGAAAGAGGTTTTAGTGAGTCCCACTGAGGTCTTATCGGTGGGAAGGGTTGGAACCACCTCAGCTCTCTTGTCAAGTCAGTAGGAAATTTATCCACCTCTCAGACATACTGCTGTCCCAGTATTCCGGCTATTCAGATAAGACAGGCATGTTTTTTCATCTGTACAAATGTTCATGTGCCAAATAGAGAGGAACTGTGACTCTCTGTCTCATGCAAGCCTGAATCCAGAAAGTGCTGTTTCTGGGGGATGCAGTCACAATGATGTGTTCCAGAAAGGCTGTCTATAGTTGCACCCATGCTGAGGTCTTGTGGGAGAGACCCCAAGTGTGCCTACAGTGGTGTACAAGGGGGAAAGGCTTCCTCTTCTTCAAGATTCTTCACAAGCAACAGGGCTGTCTGTTGAGAAAGAGCTGAAGACTTTCCCAGCTGAGCCCAGTGCTGCAACTGTACTTCTGCTAGAAGAAGTTTCCCACCAGTGGAGGGATCTGGTGTCCAAGGCCTGCCATCCAGATTCTCTTGTCCCATGAGGTGTTCCCTCAATGTGGTGCACTCCCTTCCCCTAAGAGGAGGAGAACCTGGGAGCCATGGTACTGTGAGTTATGTTTCTTCTCTAGGTCTAGCTGCCCAGTGACGTTGACACACTTCAGGCTGGTGTGGGCAAATGTCTCTAAGTGATCCAGTGATGTGAACTGTCCTCATATTTTTCAACAGTGAGCAGCAGAACCGGGTCTGATGGGAGTGGCAGGCAGGAGAGTGAAGGAGACTCTGTGAAATTCCATGGATATTGATAGCCTTTGTGTACTGGCTTTCTTGAATGATGGTTATAGTAGCAATGAACTGGTCACATGGAGAGACTCAGGATCTCCTGGTCATCCAAAGTGGTGCAGGCCATGGTGATAACTGAGATCGCACAGTCATTTTCTCCTTCCAGGATGCAGTGTTAGTCTACTAGGAGATGCTGTAATGCATGGTTGGTTGGCCTCCAGCTAAGAGGTGGTGCTTGCAAAAGAGCACCAGCTGCATTATTAGCGGTGGGATTTTTGCAAGCCTTGTGTTGCCCAGGTATGGGGGCTACTATGGATTCTTAGGCAGTGGGTGTGGCTATGTAGCTCCCAAAAGATGCTGTCTTTTGTGTTAAGCTGCCAGGGCAGGTGGCTGCACAAAGCAAGGTGAGGGTTGGGCCAGGTGGGTTTCCGCTCTGAGTCTCTGTATGCAGGGCAAGCAGCAGCCCCTGTGGGTGTGGGGGACAGGGGTGGTTCTCAGGCCACTGGGATGATGTTCCAGATGGGACCATGGCTGCCTCTGCTGCACAGAAGTTTGGGCAGGGGGTGGGGAGTGGCAGGTGGTGGTAGGCCCCACACAGTTCCCACATACTTGGTGAGGCTGATCCACTCCCGTGGTGTTCCACTGGCAGCAGTGAGATGAGTTTCAGTCAATCTGTGATCAATACCTGCAAATGCCAGGAGTCATAGGCTGTCCCCATGGAGACTGCAGCCATGGGTTTCATGCCATGCCCCTTCCTGTCTGCTGCAAAGCAGGGCACCAGCTCCTGCACCCATGGCTCCTAAACTTGCAGAGCCCACTTTTAACACTTCCCTACCCAGGCCCTGGCCAAGGGAGTTCGTCCCAACCCTAGGTTATATTACACACCCCTGTTGAGAGCTACTTTCAACTTGGGACCACTGGCTGAAATTTTTGGCTGTTCTCCCTCAAATGCTGGGGACTCCCAGCCCTTCACCTGACTCACAGTGTAGGCTGCAGCTTCCTGCTTTTTCAGAAAGTTTGTAGATTATTTCAGTGTTTCTGTTCAGTTCCTGCATTGCTTCTTGAAAATAAGTCCGCGATGTTCATCTCTCCACATCAGTTTGTCCTTCCAAGTGGAAGAGGTATACTAGCAATGCCTCTAACCTGCCATCTTGAAATGTAAGTTTGATTTTGGATTCTGCAACTTTATTGAATTTCTTCATTAGTTTCAATCTTTTTTGGTGGAGTGTTTAAGGCTTTGTATAAATAAGAGCATGTAATATGTAAAAATATATTTTATATTTATTCATTACTATATGGATGACTTCTATTTTTTTCTTCTGGCCTGTTTTGTCTAGACCACCCAGTGCTGTGTTTAATAATATTGGTGATAGTGAAGCATCTTGTCTAGTTTCTAGTCTTAGAGGAAAATAAAATTTTCATCACTGTGTATGATGTTAGATGTGGGCTTGTGATATGTGGTCTTTATTATGTTGAGGTATATATGTTTTATGCATAATATGTTCAGATTTTTAAAAATTAGAGTGTAGTGGATTTCGACAGAGGCTCTTTCTGCATCTATTGACATGGACATATGGTGCATATGGTTTTAGTCCTTCAATATTTTCATTTGATATATCACATTTATTTCTGCAGGTTGAAACTTCATTGCTTCCTAGAGATAAACCACACCTGATCATGGTGAATTCTGTTGTTAATGTGCTGTTGAATTTGGTTTCTCACCACCCTTGAGAGTTTTTGAAACTAGATAATCAGGGATATTAGCCTGTAATTTTATTTATTTGGAGTGTCTTTTCCTTGCTTTGGAAATAGGACCTTCCAAAATAAGCTTGCATGTATTTTTTCCTCTTTATTTTGTTGGAAATTTGTATAGAGATTCTAGTTTTTTTTTAAATTTTTGATAAAATTCAGTAGTGAAGCCATGAAGTTCTTGACTTTTCTTTGATTTGAGATGTTTGAAAAATCACTGACTCAATCTCTTTACTCATAGGTCTGTTCAGTTTTTTTTTTCGGGATGGAGTCTCACTCTGTTGCCCAGTCTGGAATGCAGTGGCTAGATTTCGGCTTATTTCAACCTCTGCCTCCCGGGTTCAATCTCTTCTCTGGCCTTAGGCTCCCAAGTATCTGGGACTACAGGCGAGCACCACCATGTCCAGCTAATTTTTGTATTTTTAGTGGAGACAGCGTTTCTCCACGTTTGCCAGACCGATATCGAACTCCTGACCTCAGGTGATCCACCGGCCATGGCCTCCCAAAGTGCTGGGATTACAGGAATGAGCAAACACACCCAACCCAGAGTTTTTATTTCTTTATGGTTCAGTTTTGATAGATCGTATGTTTTTAAAAATTTATCTTTATTTTAATTTATCCAATTTTTATGAAAGAAGTCTTTATTACACCAGAATACTTATGAATTGGCACAAAGATGAATTATTCAGTACATATTATTGAAAGGAAAACAATCACCAAACAAAGATAACCTATTAATAGTTCAAAAAGGGGTTAAATGATTTTGTAAAATTAAGTAGAAAATAAAAGAAGGAGTGAGTGAGAGTGGACAGGAGGGAGGAAGGCAAGCAAGCAATGATGAACTGTGTAAAATTTTCACTAATTAAAATACTGTCATATTGGAGAGGTGCCTGTTAGGCAGCCTTTTGATGTTAACCATCTAATATACACCATGAACAACCTTGTAGAACACACAAGAGCCCCGTCAGAGAATCCACCTCCCATGGTCAGGTCCCCTATACAGTTGCCTTAGGGGCTGGGAACCCTCCCACATTGTTCTCTGGTTCTTGCTCCTGAGGACACAAACAGCCAGTGTTTCCTCCCCGGATGAATAGAGAGGCCCCTGGGGAGTGAGTCTCTAGCAGCTCATTCTGCACCTGCGGTGTGGAGGGTTTTAGACGGGCTCGGGGCTGGTTTCTCTCACTGTGTGTCTCGCACAGTAATACATGGCGGTGTCCGAGGCCTTCAGGCTGCTCCACTGCAGGTAGGCGGTGCTGATGGACTTGTCGGCTGAGATGGTGACCTGGCCTTGGAAGGACGGGCTGTATCTGGTATCAGAGTCACCAGGATAGATGATCCCCATCCACTCCAGGCCTTTCCCGGGCATCTGGCGCACCCAGCCGATCCAGTAGCTGGTAAAGCTGTATCCAGAACCCTTACAGGAGATCTTCAGAGACTCCCCGGGCTTTTTCACCTCTGCTCCAGACTGCACCAGCTGCACCTCGGCACAGACTCCTGTGGGGGAGACACAAAATTTGAATCAGGGGCTCCTTTCCACCCGTTCTCCTCTGTGACCTCAAGCCCTCGGCAGGACTGACCTTGGAGAACAGCCAGGAGGAGGGCGAGGATGGCGGTTGACCCCATGATGGTGGAGGACAGAAAATGAAGCCCTGAGATCCCAGCTGGGCAGTGAGGGAGACTCACTGTGGAGGGGAGCCCTGGGTTTAAGTGGGGAGGCCCCCACTTGCATTTGCATAGTTGTCACCCTGCCCTGAAGGGAGGAGTCTACAGCGTTTATAACCCAGAACCTCAAATGCAGAAAAAGGCTGGCCTGAGCCTCCTGGGAGGGGCAGAGTAAGGTCTCAATAATTCCTTACACCCTGCTATTGTCCCTCTCCACTCTTTTCCATGTTTCTTCGAGACCCATACAGGGCCTCCCTTCTTCCACCCTTCTCTGTGACCCTGTGAAGGTGATAAATCTAGTTGAAACTATGTGTGTTAAAAAAAATGAGAAATAGTGCCAGGAAAGGCCATGAAGAGAAAATTCAAATGCACTTATGCCTGATAACAAGAACTACTAAAAAAACTACTGTCTATTCCCTGGCAATTTCGTGTGAGTTGGACTACGGCCTGGGCATCAAGCAAGGGCAGGACCACCTCAGGACCTCAACAGTCCTCAAGATGATTAACTTGCCAGACCTTCACCCATGCAAAATCGCACATTTTTCCTGGCCATTTTGTCTTCTAGATTTTTACACTCTGCCAATTCAACATGAATAGGGAATATTTGTTTAGGTCTCTGACTTGCTGATGGACCTGAAGGGATGCCCATTGCTGCACCCAACTCCTGGTAGTGCTGTTTTAAGTCCTTTGTGTCAACCCCAGCACCTTCTTGTTTAGTTCTTTCATTTTTTAACATTTATTTTATGATATCCACATTGCTTGGAGGAGGCCCTTAACTATCCCCTTTGTCTGCCCCATTTTTTTGTGAAGCACTCTCATTTCATTAGCACCTAAAAGATCCAGAGAAAAAGCCAAAGCAACACAAACTACACAAGTTCTGAAACTATACAGGATCTGATATCCAGTGCACCAGGGAAGCTGTCTCATCAAGAACATCCTACTTGAGGTTGGGATCAGCTACGTCTGTCATATGTCTGTTGTGAGCTGTGGGTCCAGCATCCTCCCAAACATTCTCCTCTCATCTGCAGCACACGAAGCCAGAGAAGCTGCTACGTCAGTCACTCTCATAGTCCATTGGCTAACTTTGTTCACAATCCGATGATATAAATTAATGATATCAATCATATCACAAAATGATGCCACTTTCCATGCTGTCCTCCTTGTTATAGTTGTCTAGTGGATTCCTCTCCCCAGCCCAAACTCTGGGCTACCTTCTGTGTCACTCTTATGTGTTGTGTGTTGTTTCTGGACAACTGTACCCTTTGGTGGTGAATGGGAGTCTAGCAGCCTCGGCTCACAGGGCACACTGCAGGGCTGGATGTGCATCTTTTTACTATTATTTTAGCTATCACAGATATGAATTGCATATTCGGGTTGTTCCTCATTATTTTTACTTTTCCTTTTTCAGGGAACAACTCCTAGGAAGCTGTATCTGTTGTTTCTAAATTCCATGGATTACTTTCACTTCCTGCTCCTTATTGGAGTGTACATGCCATCTCAT